>NC_000007.14:154013868-154326933 GCF_000001405.40 Homo sapiens | reverse complement strand
ACTATTTCCAGGCTAACAAGACCAATCACCTCCCTTTCCTATTCCTTCCTTGTAGGAAATCAAGAGGAAATCTTTTAAATGTTCCAATCATTGAACAGGAATTCCTTCCAGGCCCCGAGGAAATCCATTTTACTTGCCATATACCTTAAGAAAGGATATGAATTAGCATTGAACAGCTAGCTCTCTAGAAAAAATTATTATGGGGAAACCAACTGATATTATTTCTATGTAACAACTATACAGATTGTATGACGATGATTGCAGTAGCCTGCAAATGTTTTAAAGTGTTTCTATGTATACAGGCTAAAATTAGAAATACAACAGACTGGCAGAATTATGCATTCTTGACAAACATACAACACTGTGTAAATTAGGATGAGGATGAGGTCTCCCCTGGCAACAAGGGAAATTAGTCCACTGGTGGCAGGTAGAGTTGTCATATCATATTCATATCGCATTTCTTAAATCATAGGTTCAATTTTATCATCATTATATCTGCATCCTTGTTTTGTGACAGTATATATAGACTTTGAGCTCTGACTTTTATCCTCCAGAGATGACTTAAGAATACAAAAGACTCGACCGCATAAATAAGGAACCACCAAGACGTGGCCATATCATGTTTCTAGACAGGGACCTGAGTCATAGAAGGTGACATCCCCATAAACAGAACCCAAGGCTTGTATGCCACAGACCTTAGGCACAGGGTCATGCATATTTTGCTGTGCTGGTCATTTGGACATATTTCAGTATGTTTTATTGCCTACAGTTATTTCATCATAAGTCTTTGAAGAGTTAATTGATCAACATTTGCCAAATCTCAAGGATCTCAGACAGTGAGGTTTAATTTTTCCTAAAGGCAAGGAGGTAAGGTCATACATATCTGAGATAGCCTTCACTAAAGAAGTACAGGCTTCATGCAGGCTTTATGCATGAAAAATAACTTGAAATCCTTTTTTTTGGTCAATAAAAGTGTCAGGTTTAAGATTCAATTAAAATGATGCATGCCTCTTATATGGCAGTTCCTGACAACAAAACCTCCAAAAAAGTAAGACATTCAGGTAACAGAGAGGCACAATTTATATTTGCTATTTGAATCAATTAAAAATGTGCCCTTGGCCTAAACATTTAGGTATGTGTGTATGACAGAAAATATAAGTGTCTTCCCTCTGATTATTAATCATATGTATTGAATACTGACAGTCTTGGTGCAGTTCTCAATAGATTATGAAAACACCATCCAAATCTTTAGTTTCTAATGAAAATAAAGCAAAAATAAAGAACCAACTTTCTGAATCATTAGAGTAAATGCCTAATTAAGAAAGGTTGCTCTATTTCTTAGGGAATGAAATTTCCATCACAGGAGAGATTCCAGCTAGACTCTTGCTAATTTGTGGTTCTGAGGGTAACGTGTAAAGAGATCCATTGCAACAAAGAATAATGAAGACCCAGCTTGTATTTGAAATAAAGGTTTAAAGTCAGTCCCAGAAGGAATTGTGGGCACTTGAGGCTCAAGATTATCAAGGCCTGCCATGAATACTCTGGAAAGCAAGTATTTTTTGTCATTAAGGGGTTCCCAGAAAACTTCTATTTGCTATATAGGCCCTACATCCCATCTGAGCAGAATGGCTGGTGAGACACTGGGTGGTACAAGGGGGATGGAGTGAGGAGACCCACTGGGGCCCAACTCTGCCGATTCGCAGCCATTGGGGGTCTGGGCACCTTCTCTCACTAAGCTTTCATTTCCTATAGAAAATGGAGACTGTAGGCCAGGCACGGTGGCTCATATCTGTAATCCCAGCATTTTGGGAGGCCAAGGTGGGAGAATCACTTGAGGTCAGGAATTCGAGACCAGCCTGGCTAATATGGTAAAACCTTGTCTCTACTAAAAATATAAAAAAATTAGCCAAGCATGGTGGTACACATCTGTAGTCCCAGCTACTCGGGAGGCTGAGTGAGGCAGGAGAACCGCTTCAACCCAGGAGGCAGAGGTTGCAGTGAGCCAAGATGGTGCCATTGCACTCCATCCAGGGGCAACAGAGCAAGACTCAAAAAAAAAAAAAAAATAACAAAAGGAAAGAAGAAAGAAAGAAAGAAAAGAAAATGGAGACAATAAATCCCATCCTAAGAGTTTGTGAGGACGGACCACATAAACACCAGGCCATGAAAGGGCCGAGGGATGCCTGAGGCTGCAGGTCAGGTCAGCTAGCATCACGGTTTCCACGTCAGGACAAGATTCAGGATGTTGAAACAAGACGTGATTTCCTGCCTGGGTGAAACGAACAAGGTGCCCCGTCAGGCCAGGAAACACCCCCAACCCAGACATGGAGCCTGCTGCCTGGACTGGTAACAAAAGGTGAGTGCAATCAAGTAGGGCAGAGGGAGACCCGGCGGTCATGCTGGATGGAACCTGGGAGGGGAGATCACACCGGGGTCACCCCGTGGTAAGAGGAAGAAGTCAAGCTGAGGCTAGGTTTTGGGTTCTGATACGGGCCCCAGAGAAGTCCAGAGAAGAGGCCAGTGGAGACCCATCCGGCATCAGCCTGCATCTGCATGGAAGGGGCAGAAGTGCAGTGAGAATGATTCAAAGGGGGGAGCGCACAAGCAAACACAACTTTGATTAAATTATCTGAAACATAATGGAACAGAACAAAGGGTACCGGAGCAGAAAGGCTAGGAGCAGACATCAGCTCCCCAAGCAACCTGCTGTGCATGTAAAAGGCAACCGTGAACAGGAAGTACTAGGCAAGTTACTGTAGTAATCATAATTAAATCAATCCGTAGACCATCATCAAACAGAAAATTAGATATATATTCTATTTTTCCACGAACCCCACCCACTATGTCCTCTGCTCATGGTTCTGTCCTGATTGAAGAAATGTTTCATGGGACTCAGTGTTTCCTCTTGGTATCACTCCTTTTAAGTGTCATTGGAAAATATGGGTCTGCGTATATGTGTATTTTACAAGAGAGATTTTGTAGTTTTCACCTGTACTGTCTCACTTGTACCTCTCATTAGCTTTCATCCATATCAAACCCATCAGATGTTGGCTAGAATGAAATCAGATTGCTTTTATTTATTTCAAACTGCAACCAGCTCAGATCAAAATATTACAAACTCATGGGAATCAGCTAAAAAGGAGACTCAGAACCTCTATGGGAAGTTTATGAAACAGCATGGCTCCCCCTTGTCCCAGTGTTCTGAGGGTGACAGAGGAAGAGGAAAAGGAACTAAGGCTGAAATCTGTAAAAATAGCAAGCTCAAATGGCTCAGAGACAAGTGTAATATTATTCCTGGAGTTCTCCTCTCAAGAAAGATGATTCCATCCACTTACCCCAGAGATGGCAAATGGGTCAATAAAACCTCATGGTTAGGGGACCAAAAGCAGCAAGTGCTCCACAGAAGTTAGTTGACGATGAAAATAGACATGTACCTTTTGTGGAGAGCTTGACGAAATCATCTGTCATCAAGGTCGGAGCTTGCCCCAAATAAATGACTAAAGCCAAAAGGATCTCACACTCACACAGTCAACGGAACACTCGCTTCATATGCAGCCCTCATTTCTTACAGCCTTTTGTGCAAAAGCACTTGCTTTTTTTTTTTCTTTTTTAATGCAAACTACAGTGTTTTAGCTTTAAGCCAACTGTGCCAATTTAAAGAACTATACATAAACTCCAAAAGAGACTTTCACGATAGAGCTATCTTGGAAAAGTGAATCTCGGAAATGAACAATATCCTCACAGTTTTATTGTCAAGCTTACAATAGCTCTTCATGTTTAAATACGTTATAAACTTTTCCAAGATGTGCATGGAATGGTATTTCATTTGGTTTTGAAGTTTCTTTATTATTCCATTTATTTTTTTTTTTGAACAGGGCTAATGAGCTCACTCTCTTCTGCAACCAGGCCAGCTTCTGGAACACACTATAAAACAGAAGGTCTGACTGGAGTAATACCATCTCGGTTTGTATGGTGGTACAGTCATAATGAACTTTCACACACATTACCTGATTTGATTTTTGCTCATGGCGTTTGAAACCAGGTTGATAACGTCGGTTGTGTGATATAAGTACAGGCATTGAAGCAGGCATATTTAGCTAATGTGAGCATGTTTTATGTTTCAAACACCTTGAAGGCAAAGACTACAATGTTTACTGCCTATAAACCCCCTCTCAGGATATGACACTTCTCTCTTCATAGTATATACCCAATAAATGCTACTATCTTCCCGAGTACACCTGGAATTAAGAGATTTGCTAGAGTCGAGGAAATGTTCTGTTCTATCGGATGCTGCTATGGTTTCAGGAATCTACTCTTATTTCCCCCGCCACTGAAAACTGTTAAGTTCCCTGAAGGAGGAGTTCAGGTCTCACAGTATTTGTAATCTTCTACATTGCCTAAGATCATTGGAAAGTGAATTATTAAGCACGAGTCTCTCCATGGCACAGAATATCACAGGTATAAAGTTTTAGACCAAACGAAAATTGTCTTCCTTCGGTAGTTGACTCTTTTGCCCATCCAGTGTGCTTGTCAAAGTGTCAGAGCATGGTGGGGTCTGGGTTAGAGATGGCAGAGTTAGTCAAACTGAGCTTATTTTGCCCAAATAAGAAGAAATGGAGAACAAGCTTCTACAAACAAAAATGCACATTGCATCCTAATGTGATGGGAGCACTTTAAGTCTATTTCCTAATTGTGGGGTTTTACAACTCAGAATGTGGGCTCATACTGCTTCGTCCCCAGGCCAGGTGGCTGCTCTAGAGGTGGACACATAACTTTAGCCAGGGCTGGCAGAGTCCTTCCGTGGGCCTTTCCAGGCTGGGCTGAGGAGGTGGGGGAGGGTGAGGGTCTGCTCTTCTAGAGAACTAAGCTGGGGGTTGGGGGTTGGGGGTTGGGGGTGTGGTTGTAGAAAGTGCTGGGAGATGCCTTCTCTCTATGAGGGCAATAGAGTGCCCACAGGAGGGGAGCAGCTGCTGCCCTTCGCTGGCGGGGGTTTTCAGCCTTTTGCAATTCTGTGTCAGCTACCACAGTATCTTTCCCTAAATCCCACTTTTGCCTTAGACAAGGGTCTAAGGCCGCTACCTGCAGGGAAGAGAAGCTCCTCTGTAAAGCCATGTTCAATTTCTTCCTCTTTTTTTTTTTTTTTTTTTTTGAGACAGAGTCTTGCTCTGTCACCCAGGCTGGAGTGCAGTGGCGCAATCTTAGCTCACTGCAACCTCCGCCTTCTGGGTTCAAGCGATCCTCCTGCCTCAGCCTCCTGTGTAGCTGGGATTACAGGCACCCGCCACTATGCCCGGCTAATTTTTTTTGTATTTTTAGTAGAGACGGGGTTTCACCATATTGGCTAGGCTGTTCTTGAACTCCTGACCTTGTGATCCGCCCGCCTCAGCCTCCCAAAGGTGCTGGGATTACAGACGTGAGCGACCGCGCCTGGCCGCCATCATCAATTTCTAATCTTCACTGATCCCCAACAAGTAATAATGAAGGAACCAGGGTGAAAAATCTCCGTGATGGTTCCTAGCCTTCTCCTAACTTCCTCTTCAACTCCAGCTGTGGCACCCCTGCACCCCAGACCCAGTGTTCATCTTAAGGAGAGTAGAGAGGGATACATGGAGAGCAGGTTTTGTAAAATTATAGCATTTTTTCTTTTTTTTTTTTTAAAGACAGGGTCTGGCTCTGTCACCTAGGCTAGAGCACAGTGGCACAATCACAGCTCACTGCAGCCTCGATCTTTTGGGCTTAAGCGATCCTCCCACCTCAGCCTCTTGAGTAGCTGGGACTACAGGCATGCACCACCTGCTAATTTTGGTATTTTTTTGTAGAGATGGATTTTTGCCATGCTGCCTAAACTGTGGAACATTTTCTTTGGTGAAAGCTGCAAGTGTAAATTCTATCAATGCAGAGAATAATCAATGCCTAGAGCACAAAGAAGCTGTTAAATATGAATATTCTTATTTTTTCCATTGGATCCTTTGTGCCTAGAAGTCTGTTAAATAACTAGCAGATGCTCAGTACATATTTATATAGAATAAATAGTACCCTTTGCTCAGAAAGTTCTCAGCAAATATTTATAATAATAAACACTACCTCCTCTAAAACTCTAGAAAATTACTACATTTGCCAATATAAGTTCAAACAGAAGTACAATAGGGGCCGGGCACAGTGGCTCACGCCTGTAATCCCAGCACGTTGGGAGGTTGAGGCAGGCGGATCACCTGAGGCCAGGAGTTCGAGACCAGCCTGGCCAACATGGTGAAACCCTGTCTTTACTAAAAGTACAAAAAATTAGCTGGCCATGGTGGCACATGCCTGTGGTCCCAGCTACTAGGGAGGCTGAGGCAGAAGGATCGCTTAAACCCTGGAAGGCAGGGGTTGCTGTGAGCCGAGATCGCACTGCTGCACTCCGACCTGGGCAACAGAGGAAAATTCTGTCTCAAGAAAAACAACAACAAAAAAAAAAACAAAGTACAATTGGCTATTTTATCTCTTCATAATATGGATTATGGATACAGTTTCTACTGTCTGGAGATGATTCTCATTTTCCTGTAGAATT
This sequence comes from Homo sapiens, assembly GCF_000001405.40. Classification (NCBI taxonomy): domain Eukaryota; kingdom Metazoa; phylum Chordata; class Mammalia; order Primates; family Hominidae; genus Homo; species Homo sapiens. The sequence goes on along the minus strand of NC_000007.14, from coordinate 154,320,383 downwards.
GAGGACATTAGAAGGTAGGAGACAGTTTTTGTGAAAACCAAGTACGGAATGGAGCGGCCATGGGAACTTCTGGACACCAGAGTCCTTTATGGAGACCGCACTGGACACAGGGCCGGCCTGAAGTGAGAGGCACCGTCAGTGTAAAGCACACATGCCATTCCAAAGACTCGGAGTGGAAAAAACAAACGTAAAATATTTCATTAACAATTTTTATATTGCTTCTATGTTGGAATAATAGATTTTTGAGATATTAGATTAAATAAAATACATGGTAAAATCATTTCCATCTGTTTCTTCTTAATTTTTAAAGGTGGCTAGTAAAATTTTTAAATTACATAGTAGTTCATGTTGCATATATATATATATATATATATATATATATTTGAAATATTTGAGACAGAGTCTTGCTCTGTCACCCAGGCTGGAGTACAGTGGTGTGATCTCGGCTCACCGCAACCTCCGCCTCCTGGGTTCAAGCAATTCTCCTGCCTCAGCCTCCTGTGTAGCTGGGATTACAGGCACCCACCACCATGCCCAGCTAATTTTTGTATTGTTAGTAGAGACAGGGTTTCGCCATGTTGGCCAGGATGGTCTCGATCTCCTGACCTCGTGATCTGCCCACCTCAGCATCCCAAAGTGCTGGGACTACAGGCGTGAGCCACTGCACCCGGCATGTTGCATATTTTTTGAGACAAAGTCTCACTCCTATTGCCCAGGCTGAAGTGCAGTGGTCCAATCTCAGCTCACTACAACCTCCGCCTCCTGGGTTCAAGCGATTCTCCCATGTCAGCCTCCTGAGTAGCTGGGATTACAGGCACCCGCCACCACACCTGAGCAATTTTTTGTATTTTTAGTAGAGATGGGGTTTCACCATGTTGGCCAGGCTGGTCTTGAACTCCTGACCTCAGGCAATCCACCCGCCTCGGCCTCCCAAAGTGCTGGGATTACAGGCATGAATCACCATGCCCAGTCTCATGTTGCATTTTGTTAGCACTGGTGCTAAGCGTTATACAAATATAAAGCAGGACTGTTACTCTATTCTAGACACTGAAATTATGCAGAGAAAAAGAGTTTTAACCTTGTCTTTAAAAATAAAAATCTCGCCTGTGTTAGAGCAAAACAATTTGAAGACAAAAAAAGTTTTATTTCAATCCTAACAGTAAAATGGTCTTTGTGTTTGTACATGAAATAGATAATCATTAGGTATAATTTTTGTTGTAAAAAAATCAGTAAGACTGTTGGAGAAGTTCATGAGGACAAGCGCAGAGAGGCTGCACACAGGCATTCCATGGTGTCCAGACTTCATTACTCTCCCCTGACATGGCAGACACCTCCTGCTGCTGGCCCTGGGGGCCACATAAAGATCATCACACTGCCCCAAACCAACACACTCTAAACCAGAACCGCAGAGGAGGGTAGGCTGGATGAAGAACACACATGCCTGGGCATAAGCCCATCACCCACATCAATGATCCTCACTGCCAACACAGAAGCTACCAGACAGCATGGCCCTCGAATGGCCAGGTTCTCCGAAGCTGTTTCTTTTTTCTCTAACATATAAGCTCATGCCATGGCTTGGGGGGGGTGGGGTATAGTGTGGGAAGGTGGGAACACAAATGCTATTACACTGTTACTACACTCTACTTACTGAGCCCAAGAAAGAAAGAAATACATCCTGAATAACAAAGGACAGAAACCCAGCTCTGCATTCCAAACTTACGGGTACAACTTAGCCTCTTTCAGTGATTTCTGGTTCTGTTGCAATAGGTGTGAACTGGGACATCTTTAACTTGCTCAACAAGTATCAGTCAAGGGATTTATGTTTCCAAGAAGTTTTATCAGTGTACAAATCATTTTCAAAGGACTTTCCATGAAGTGATTCCAAGCTTTTGGTCTTGGTATTTGGGGGCTGGAAGAGAGGTGGGGAGAGCAAGTGAGGGTGTGGTTGATAGGGTGTAATTGATTTGTGGCTTAATAACTTTTTCCCTAGGTCACTCTCATTATCTCTAAATCGATTATACCTCTTTACAGGATAATGTGAGGAAGTAATTGGCATTCCTAAGCATACAAAGAGTGAGAACGAGGGAGACGAATATTGAGTCCTATGTCATTAACAACTCTCATATACATTTCTAAGTACAACTATATAATTAATACATAATCTCTGTGAATATTTTCAATGCCCAACACTAGCTGATTTGAGACCAGAAGTGAGGATTCCCTCACAGGGTAAAGCTTATACAAAATTTTATTTTTTGAAAATTTCAAAATCTCCAGTGTAATTAGGAATTCTCTGTATATTGTTAAAATTTAAAACACTGGATCAACACATAAACTACCATATCACTAAAAGTTATTTGGAGTTTCATGAAATGAATATTTGAATCAAAAACATAAAGTCAGTATTTTCTTTACTTGGCATGCATTTGTTGAGAATATGTCATTCAAGCCATGAGGTTCGCAAAATATACAAGCCAGACTCTCCACTCACAGCAATCTTGATCTTCTTTGGTGTTTTTATTGGATTCAATTACTGTCTGTTCCTTTAAGTATAATTTTCTCAATTACTGTCTGTTACTTTAAGTATAATTTGTGTTTCAAGCCAAGCCAAAACAATTATATAAACCTGAAATTTTCAGCAGAGATGTTACAGAATAATGATAAAAATTCTAATTACACATCCATTCATTACTGGGGCCATAATTCTTCAGAATCTACATTCAGTAATCTAAAACCAAGTATCACCATTAGATTTCAATAAGTACAAAATACAGTCTATTTTACATGCAATTATATACACTAGCTGCTTGACAACTTCAGATTCCCAATAGTATCACTATAGAACTAGGTGAAAGAAGTATCTACATCGCAAACACATTTTCGACAATGAATACACCATAGTAGAGCCTCAGGTACCTTAGCATAATGGTGCAGCCACATGTCTAAGTGAATTTAATAAAGTCAAAAACTGCAGACTAATTGCTACAACTCTATCTTATTTTCTGTCCAATTTATTATTATTTATTTATTTTGAGACAGAGTCATGCTCTGTCGCCCAGGCTGGATTCACCATGTTAGCCAGGATGGTCTCAATCTCCTGACCTCATGATCCGCCCGCCTCAGCCTCCCAAAGTGCTGTGATTACAGGCGTGAGCCACCACACCTGGCTTTCTGTCCAATTTCAAGCACAGCTGCAGTGAAGGAAAAGTAAACTACTTTATTCAGTGCAGCAAACCCACTTCATTGGAAGTAAATCTGTGTCTATTTAGCAAAGTCTGCCCTGTAGCCAGATTGGTGGGGGGACAGGGAGACAGCCAAATCTTTGACCCAACTCATATAATCATGCTTCTGCTTCTTTACACCTTGGGATACTGTAATTACCATACTGGTAACAGTCACAGCTGTTATTAGTCAAGCACTTGCTCAAGGTGGAAACTGAGGTTACCCAACTTGTCCAACGCTGCCTACCTAGCAAGTGCCAGAGCTGGAATTTAAACTCAGACCTGTCTGAATCCCAGGCTGGTGCTCCTTCTCCCGTACCACAATCCCCCCATTGCCCCCATTCTCCCAAACTGTACGTGCTACAGTTTCACTAACTCATTCACTTCTGTGTAAGAAAGCATTTCACCCTGTCCCCCACATCTGAAATCTCTCCTGAACCTACAATGACTCATTAAAAAGTTCTACAAACTTCCCCAAGCCAGACCCAGTAGAGGGCAACTGAGGCAAACATTCCAGAACTTTGCATTCCTCTGATCTTGATTCCCCATCTTTCTTTCCTCAAAGCACTTCTCCAACCTGAGAAATAGAAGATCAACCCAATTGTTCAAGTCTGCTTTTTCTCTGCATCGGAGAAGGTGGTTCAATTAGAACTTACTTTTCCACTTCAACAACTCATTTCAGTGGATGGAGAAGACTTGAAGCTTCTGTTTCAACAACAAAAAAGGGCTTTGGTGATGTAAAATGCCCATTTTTCAACAGTTCTTTGATTTCTGATGGTTTTCTTATCTATACAGTTGGTAAATGAGAGAATATTCACTTATCTTATGGAGATGAATCACAGCAAGACTGAATGTTGATGCATGGCTGGTGGCTGGAGTGAATAGTTCATGCTTCTGTAGCAGAGAAATGTTTTTGGGTAGGACAGGTGAGGGTGGAGTGTTGGGAAAGGAAGAGTGGCTATGACACTTTAAACAATAGGGAAAGCAAGGTGAGTTAGCAATTCAGAGGGAGATTTGATTTCTCTACAGGGCTCTGAAAATTTGATTACTTTGTTCAATGGTTCATTCGATGAATAAATAGTAAAACCACAGACCCTCAACTTTGTGTATAACTCAGTAGAGGAGGTTTAGAGAGGAGGACACAATTCATTCACTCACTGATTCATTTAGCACACAAGCAAGTGGGTCACCATTGTGCTTGGCGTCAGAGATACAACAAGTAACGTGGCATGTTTTGTGTCCTTCAGAAGCTTATATATGTGTGTCAAGGTACAGGAAGTACCATATTAAAGTCTTGAGGTCTTCAATACTTGGGGTTCTTAGTTAAACTGACCCCTATGGAGGAAGACACAGTCATGTATCCCAGGCTGAGGCCACCATGTGGTTGAGGACAGAACCATATTCCTTTAGCCTTTAATCACCTGACATGGATCACGGTCCATTACCTACCACTTCTGGGATCTCCTACCCATTGCTCCCTTACCACTCTCCCTGGCCCATTCCAGCCTCTTCTACATGCTGTGCCTCCCTAGCACAGCCCCCCAGAGGTGATGGCTGCTGGTCAATATCTATGTAAGCTTTGAGCACTGAGTACATTCCTACTGATGTGTCTTAAGACTGTGCTAGCTTGCTGGGGACCATGGTGACCACAGAGACGCTCAACCTGGAGTCCACAGACAGAAATGAAGGGAATGTGAACCTTAGGAACTCAAAAAATTGTAGGGATTTTTCTGGCAAGCAGTCCTATGGCTTTCATCAGATCCTCAAAAGTGTTAATAAGCAACATACTTTTGGTTCATTTTAAGCTTGTGAGCAAATAAAATTTCCAGATGTTTCAACATCTGAAGCCCTGCTGGGCCAAACCCCCAATGTGTACAGGTGATGTCCTGGGATTCCTCTCCCTCACACTCACATATTCCCACACCTGTTGTATAACTACTACCTTTGAGGTTATTCAGCTGTAAGATGAGATTGAAAATTAACTACTGCATACTTCCAAAGCATGCATAATTTACTATTTGTTGCTTCCTTTTAAAAATTGGGGAGATACACAACGGTAACATCCTCATTATTTTCCTTGTTTCAAAAGCAACTCATTAAATAACGAATTACTCAAATATGACAGATTGCTACGAACAACCTCATGCATCCAGCACTGGTGCAATAAAAAGAAGAAATGGCTGTGTTTGTCCATGAGATGTGAAGAGGAAAAACCGCAGTAGGTTTGATTTACCTGGAGGACACAAACCTTTTCTTAACTGACCTCCAGGCGAGAATTTGTTAACCCATTCATATTATCTAATTCCTTTATTTCCTTTGCAGCTGCCAGTTAACAGTTTTCGTGTTAATCTTCTTGGCATATTATATTTCCCACGTTTCACTCAGGATTGCTTGATTTGGAGGAAAAAAAAAAGGAGGGAGTTGTGTTCTGAATTTGCAGCTTGCCAGCTGCATGATTTTGGTAATTTACTCAACCTCTCTGAGCTTGGTTTTACTCCTGTGCAAGATTAGACTGCTGAATTAGATGTGTGGTTTGTGAGCTGGGCTCCCCCATGCCCTGGGGCTCTGCTGACACGTCTCAGGGGCACTAAGCCAGCACGTTCACCACCTTCACATGCCAATCTTGGAAAAGACGTGCCCTTTGGAAAAGGGGTTTACGTTACTAAAACAAAAGTCCAAAAATCACTGGGCAAGAGGGGCTATAAGAAGCTTTAAAAGTCAAACATTCTATGATTTTGTAGAACAAATCATCTTAAAAATGGGACATGAGCTCTGACCAAATGCTGAAAATAAGAAGATTCAAGTAGCATTGGGATGTCAGCACATAGTAGGTGTTCACTGAACAATAGTTTGAAATCTCCATGCCAAGAACAGCATTCCGTGTTTCTATATTTTGTTTTTTACAGCAACAGCGTGACAGGAATCATCCCCATTTCATAGATACAGAATCAGTCCAGAACTGTCCAATATCCCTCAGCTAGCAGGTGGAGGAGCTCGGATCAGAAGTCAGGGGCATCCATGCCAAAGCACAGCAATTCTCCCAACTCCCCCGTAAGTTAGCTATTGGCAAGTCAAGGGTCAGGTCTTCATCATCCCAAGCCTAGTAATGAGCAGAAAGAATTAATAAAATGCACCAAGGGAGCTTTTGAGACGTTGTTACAGCTTCATGGTTTTTAATGGCAAAATAGTTCTTACCTGCCAAAGTTCTCTTATTGGTTAATCTCTTCTTTAACCAAGTCATATGTACCATATGACCTGGTGTTCCAGGCATGGCAGACTGCATCAAAATGAACATCAAAATATCTGGCTCATCAAAATCAGAGCCAGAAATTGTATTAATAATTATATTGAGTCTTCCTAAATGTTTCTTTCTCAGGCTATTCCAGGAAGTACTACATATATATGTAAGGGTGTGTGTGTGTGTGTGTGTGTGCGTGCGTGTGTGTGTATATATATATATATATATATATATATATACCATATCTTAAAATATCTTGTTGCTTCTAGGTAAACTTGAATTTATTTGTGAAATAACAAACTCTTTTTGCTCTTTGAAAGCCAGAAGTTTCTAGTCCCTTTTTTCACCTATCAAAACATGCCTAGATTAAATAATCACATTCAGAAAATAAAATTTTGATGTCCAAGTCACTCCTCTGGTTTTACCTATTCCACAAACACCTGTTCTCTTAAGCAAGAGCCTCTCGTGCCACGTTCAGACTTCCTCCCTCCCTTCTAGAACTTTACAAGCCCATTGCTGTTTTCCATTGTATGCTTTCAAAACACTTTCATATCACAGTTCCTGTTTCTGTTTTCCCAAACCATCTCTGTGTGCCCCTGCAGCCACATTCCACCTTTCTCCAGCAGACCGCTGGCTGCACCTTGGGTCCAGGCACCCTGGCTGTGGACTGTTCTGCTCTCTCCTGACCTTGAGCTGTTCCCATCCAGCTCTCCTTTCCCCCTACCTTGGCTCTCCCATTACTGTTTATCAAAATAAAAATCTTCCTTGGATCCAATATCTGTCTAATAAGTGGATGGGATATTAGGCAGACTATTAAAATTAAAAATATGTTTCCTTCCCTTTCCCACTCAGAGGCCTGATTTGAGATACATACTTAGTGTCATAATTTTGGAATTCCTAGAGTGAATGCTATAACAACTTCAAATATTCTAAAAAGAATGAAGAATTTCAAGAATCACTGCTAGAGAATAAAGAAATAACTTATTTTCATTAATTTGGAAACATATATCATTACTATTCAAGACCACCTCTGTCACATATTATTTCCAAAAGACAAAACATGGAATATGCTTTGAATATTTTTTGGTTCTGATCTCACATCTTGCTGTGGGTAGCCTACTCAAAGGGTTGAACCAATCCTTTTTAAGAGAATGAATTACCATTGTCTCCAAGAGAAATCTTATGAGCATGTCCACAAGATGGACTTCGGCCTTTTAAAGTGTTTTGAGAGAGCCCCGCCATCACCACGGTGTTCCCATTTTAATCAGCAGATTTGGCTGGTCTCCCATCGCCCCCTCTGCCCACACATACATGGGCGCACATACAGATATTGTTTAAAAGCCTGTGTTCCAAATTAATAACTTAGCAGCTCGAGGTGACGCTTGAGTCTCGTGCAGTTCCACACTGGGGAAAGCAGTTTTTCTTGAATTCTGGCAGGGGAAGTTAAATTTCTTAAAAATGGATCAGATACTAGTAAAGGAATAATTACATACATTGTCACTAAAAATTTGCGGAGCAAGACTTCATTATATCAGCAACGTGCTTTGTAAAGCCATTGGTGGAGGGCTGCATTCAGGATCCCAGCCACCAGGATCAAAGGGGACCCACAGCACTGACTCCATGCCTGTGCATATTATGGCAGTTTTTCCTAAGAAGGAATCGCTGCACATTTCAACACTATTACTATCAAATCCTTCAGGATTTGAAAGCAGAAAGCAGCAACAGGATCTGTAATTTGGTACTTGCCTGATACAAGACCAGCTCTAATGTGAACACAGAATGAACAGATACCTCCAGGATGTGCACAGCCTGTCGATGATTTAAGGGGTGCCAAGACTGTCCCCGCTGTGACCTCACCTTCATTATTCCTTAACGATGTGACTAAATATTTTTTCTTCCATCAGGTCTTGCCACAACTTTGTGCCTGAAATTTCCACCATTAATAATTGCATTGGGTTTTATCACCAATAGCTACTGTTGAAATTGCAAATGCTCTCAGGAAAGTACTGCATGACACCCACCTTACACTTTTTGTTTAATGAATGGATTTGTCTCAGTCATTTAGCAAGGCCCAGGTGGAAAAGCACATGGAGCATTTTTGATAGAAGAGTCAAGTATGAGAAAATGGTGCTAAACCATGGGTACCAGTGGAGATTAAGGGCCTACCCGGGATGTAGAAGTAAAGAGTCCTGAAAGGTCAACAACAAATGGGGATGGGAGTAGGACAGAGAATAAACTTTCTGGATTTGATCATTCTACCTGGGCTGTGTGTGTTGAGACCTCTCCACTCCCCACTTCAAGAAACACATGCTATCAAAGTCAGGAAGGACTTTAGGATATCAGCCACATGCAGAATTGCACCAACAAACAGGATTGCAATTTACATCCCACCCAGATTTTCTTTTTCTTTTTCTTTTTTTTTTTTGTGGAGACAGGGTTTCACTCCATTGCCCAGGCTAGAGTTCAGCGGTGTGATCACGGCTCACTGCAAACTTGACCTCCCTGGGCTCAGGTGATCCTCCTACCTCAGCCTCCTGAGTAACTGGGACAACAGGCATGCGCCACCACCACGCCTGGATAATTTTTCTATTTTTTCTAGACATGGGGCTTCGCCATGTTGCCCAGGCTGGTGTTGAACTCCTAAACTCAAGCAATCCTCTCTCGTCGGCCTCCCAAAGACTGCAGGTATGAGCCACTGCACGCGGCTCCCCATGCAAATTGACATGGTTACCTACTTCCATGATTTAAGGCTATGGGGTAACCAAGCCTACATCTTCAAATAAAACCACTTTATTTTGTTTTTCCAAACAGTGTCTGAAACAAGATGATACACCCCCTACCTGTCCGATCTTTTACAAGCAAGGATGTCAACCATTGACCTCTCAGAGCTTATAGAGAATCACTTTCTCCCCGAATTATATACTCTTCCTCAGGTTTTAGAACTCTGGATCCACAGATTCACTCTGCCCTCTCTTTCTCAATGACAGAGGGTGCATGATGCCTACTGCAAAACTAGATCAGTGAGTGCCAAACACAGGCACAGCTCATTTCCATAAAAGATAATAACGCTACAATTCCCGATGAGGCAGAGACGGTGACCGTTCATTCCTCTAAGTGATTAGCATCTTAACACTTTCCACGTGCACGCTGTTCATTCCTCTAAGTGATTAGCATCTTAACACTTTCCACGTGCACGCTGGAGCTAAGATGTTTCGGTGAAGGTTAATGAAAAGCACCCTCCAGCCCTCACGTGTTCTCCATGGAGCATTTGAAGGTTTTGAGTATATCTGCCCTGATAACCACAGTATTGAGAATGAGGGGGCTGGATTTGGTTTAATGGAATGTCAGAATAAAATAACAAAATGCATTTAATGCACAGAGAAAGCATTTTAAAAAACAAAACCAAACAGAAACACTGTTTCCATTGTTTTGAGTTTGGGTTGCACCAAAAGCCAATCTGGGTATCATTTGTCCTTGCTCTCAATTGCCTGGGCTTTCATTTGATGTGCTAAATGGCACTTGCTGATTTGCACTTTTTAGTAAGTTGGTGACACGGATCCCAAAAGATTGTGAACTACCTGTCAGTTCTCAGAGCACAGCGCATGCCGCCTCCAGGCTAGTTGCGTGCTTGCTTCCTCATCATGTTGTTCTCTTTGGTAACAAGCAAAACATCCCTCCTCTGAGGATAGCACCACACCAGCTAAGCTCTTTCCCTTCCCCAAAGACTCCATGCTGCTCCCCATCAGCTCAAGGACCCACTCTGGTGTTCCCAGTAGGGAGCTCTGGTTCTGGACCTGCTCTCTGTAGGATATCCAAGACTTCCCAGTTCTCTCCTCAAATCCTTCACACATCAGCCTATTTTGCAGCCAAACTCCATCCTGTCTCCCGGCTCTGGAAGTCCATGAGTCCCAGATGTACTTCTACACAATCCTAAGAACCTGGTGTCCCTATTCTTCAGCAGTTCCTTCAAGTTTTCTTTTTATCTACAGAGTCTTAGATAATTTAGACCATGCACAGATGGAATTTACTGTACGTGAGCATGGCTGCTACATCCAATGTCCGTGTGAACTGTGAAAGGGCCACCAACCCCACCCCATGCCCTTTTTGAACTGCAAAAGGACCACCTTCCCTATTGGGACTCCTCAATAGTTATGTGCACTTCCTAATATTGAATCTTGTTTTTCTGTGTTCTTTTCACTTCTTTTTTTTCCTGTTACCACATTTATCTTAAATACGGATGTCTCACATTGCCTTTTAATATGGCTACATAAAAAATTTAACTCTCATTATGGTCAAAGTTAGATCCTCTCTTTCAGTATCTACTGCAAGAAGCAACAAGATCAAAATCAGAGAGCAGCGGACAGGAACATCAGAAATTCTCTTACTGGGCCATTACCTATGTGCCCTTCCGGGAGGCCACCTAACCTCTCCCAGAATTCACATGCATTTCAATGTCCGTTCTATGGAATCTGTTGTTTAAAAATTTCTATTCATTTCAAAAAGTTCTTCTGTAATGGCATTATTATATATGTTCAGACACCAAATTTAAGTTAATACTAGGTCCTGGGGCTCATAATTTAATAGAAGAACAGACACATGGGGAGTTATCTATCAGGATTTGTACAACTTGAAGAAAACTGAGAAGCAACAAAAAACAGCAGTCACATATACAAGGTGTGATGAGAACAGCTGATTTTCAGGTCTAAGGAAGTTAAAAATGTGACTGAACATATAACCAAAGATCCAAGTTAGCCAGTGGAATGTAGGCTATTTCCATGTGAAAGGAGGTTTTTCTGGAGATCTTTTGAGGAAAGGCATATTCTCACACATTTGTGAGATTCCTCAGCACGAGAGCATGAACTAGGACCAACGAGTGCATGTGTGGGGTCCTTTCCAACTCTGATTTTGTGACACACGAGGTGTGCCTGTGTGTGACTGTTCACGTGTGTGCATTTGTTTGTGTGTGCATACGCATGCACACACATACATACACATGCACACAATATGCTAGGAAAAACTTATCCCTGCTTAATATTTGAGCAAAAATGTGTCCTGGCTCATTGCAAGCAGAGGGAATTAATTTTTCGTCTTCTCTTAATAGCTTTACTGATCACTGCTTTTCAATTTTAAATCATTTGAAATGGAGACAGTATGTACTACAATAAATTTGTACTTTTATTTATTTTAAGGGAAAAAAAATCCCTTAATTTGGTTTTCTAAGGAAGAGCTCCGTTGGCTTGTGAGAATATAGTAAATTTAAGCCAGACTTGCCTCAGTGTTTTTTCTGGGTCCCTCACCAGGCTTCCCTCTGCGCAGGAGCAGAGGTCAGGTGCAGCCAATGCTCAGCCATTTTCACCGAGGAGTCTCAGTATCACCTGATTGGCTTCAGAGCCAAAGGATCAACTCAGTTCATGCAGATTAAAGTATATATTGCTTCCAAACATCTCTGGGTTTGCAATACTTCATTTAAAAATAAACTTTAGCATCTCCAAAGAGAAAGAGAAATAGTCTCCCAGAAGCCAATTCTCCTTGTTACTCTGGCTTGTTTATTTAGTATCCTTTAAAAAACAAACCAAAAATCCCAAAATACTCTTTTTACACATTTTTTTTAGCAAACACGGTAGAAAAAAAACAACAATCTCTAACTAATAGTAAAATCTTTTTTTTTTCTAATTTCCCCCCTAATTTGTGGCCATCCTCAGCACACAAAAATTATTTCCACCCACCACCCATATGCCTGGTTTCCAAATACCAAGGCTGGTAAAGAAACTCACTTTCCTCTGTTCACTTGCTAAGAAGTAATGGGTAGTCTATTGCAGTAACCAAACAGCTGGAAGGATGTCGGAGATGGCATCAGGCTCCATTCAATCCCAGTTCTCTGGTTAATGCCTCACAAGATGAGGATGTGAGGTGCCAGTGAGTTTCTCATAAGAATCAACACTTGGTGATTTGCAGGCAGTCATTGAGTTAGCACAGTTTAATGACCCCCTGCTTCAAAACCAATCCACAAAGCAGCAATCCTCTCTCTCACTCAAAAAATAAATTAAAAAAAAAAAAAAAGAAACATATTCCTCTTTCCTGGTCTCCCTACACATGCCTACCAGCCTGGGAATAGAGGTATCCCTGAAGTTTCATTAGCAACCAGGAAAATAAAATAAAATAAAGAATGGAGAACTCATTAAGAGTTCTGCAGTCTAAGCACACAGCATAGTTTTAATACCTTTCAAAATTATATATAATGCAGGAATAAGAGACTGTCTTTAGGGATTTTATTTTAGGAGGTTATTTACCTCTTTATGTTCTAAGCAGTGTGTTCAGACCCCAGGTAAGGTCTCCTCAAGGTATATACACTTGAAATGTGGGGTCTTCACCCCCTGTCCCATCTGGCTTATCTTATCTCTGCTGTTCCCCTCTTCATTATACTTCATGGTGGGGGTGGGGGCTGTTCATTTTTTAGGGTTGAGGTGACACCTCTCTGAGGAGGGAGAAAAAGCGGCTTCACAACTGCATGGGATGAGGACAGCTGCTTCTTCTGGGTGTCCCACCTGCTCGCTGTAGCCATGGCTGCCTCTGCTCTTCAGTTTTATATCAGTTTAAGCCTTCTCCGATTGAATAGGTTCAAGGACATGGGATTTCCAATGACAAAAAGGTATAAAATCAAACCAAGAGCTCATAGGTCCTCCAAAACCCACACCCTAATTAACTATTCCCACTCTCCTGGCATGCTCAGGTATCAGGCAAAATAAGAGCAAATTTGTACAGGAAACAAGGGATTTCTTTTACATAACACAGATTGGGCTTCTGACTCCCAATCCTTGGGTGTATCGGGTGTAGACCTATGAACAGCAATGCACTCTTTCGTAATTATTACTTCTCTCCCATGGTCAGGGATGCTACCTGAGTCCTAGTTCAAGCCTGAAAGCCCATCGCACACTTACTTCATAACTAATGAGGGAGGAGAACTGTAATAAAAAGAAACCCAGTTAATTACAGAATGCTAATTTAGTGTGGAAATATTTCTTTATTGAGCAAATATTCTGTGGAATTTTTGAAAGGAGGAGGGTTTGGTTTGTCTGTTTTGAACCTGTCAAGCTATACTGAGCATCAATCCTTATGCACACTGTCACACTGAATATAAAAATTTTTAATGTCCGTATTTACAGAATCTTCTTCCCAGATGACATAAAACTTCATTTAAGTTCTTTAGATGATGATAATGATGGTACTAATAAAATGGCCCCCTTTTATCGATAAATGGGCTTTGGGAAATGACCCCACTAAATACAAATCCAAACTCATCTTCGTGTAAGTCTCTGAAGAGTTGGCATGGAATTCTGTCACACAGTGTCCTCAAGGAGGCTCTTCAGCTTCCTGAACTCTAAAGAGGTCGCCTATCTTTGCCCTAATCCTAGCAAATGAGATCCAACAGCAACCCTAAAATAAATAGGAGAAGTCAGCTTAAGCTGTTGATTTACCACGCTTGAGCAAACTGCTTTGTGAATCTATTGGTGTCTCCCAGGATCTATTTTAATGATCTGCCTGAGGTGAACTGAGCAATGATTAAAAGACAAGAACCCTCAAGATCTTCCAAGGAGGGAATTACGATGTCTACACGCGTGGTGAAGCGGCTGGCTGACTCACCTTTCCTCCCTCACCCCTTGGGCCTCTGCAGACCGTGGTCTTCTCAGGACAAGGCGAGCGGCCGCCCTGTGCCATGTGGGACCCACGCAGCCTTCCCCGTCCGCGGTCAGCCCTTTAAACCTGCACCTTCTCGGCCGAGTCCTCCTTTATCCCGACCGTCTATCCTTCGGCTTCTCTAGCAGGGACAGTTTGCTCTTGAGGGAAACAGGAGGAAAGGGCCACGAGGTATCCAAAGAAAAGTCCTTTCAGTAAGCTCATTTTCTTTGACTTGTCTTAGAACCAAAGCAAAGTCCTGTTGGAGGGTCAGAATACGCTGATGTTTCTGGCTACAACCCTCTTCCCCCAAGTTACAAAGTACTAGCTGGGAACCTTCCCAGGGAACTCGTTAGATCTGGCGGCTCTGTAGAGAGAGGCCTTTGTCCAGAGGTGTTTCACATCAAGTTTACCTTGACAGAGGTTCCCTGTGCCTGTACCTTAATCATCAAGCCAGGGCGCCCTTTAGAGAGAGAAGCCAGGGAGAGGAGAGCCGCAGACTCCAGCAGCACCCAGCACTCTACGTCTCCTCCCAGCTTGGTGGCTCAGGGGGCTACAGTCATAAACCAATACAAAATACAAAATTCTTCCCCAAATACATATCCTCCCTCTCTGTCTCTGTCTCTCTCATGCACACACATATGCACGCATGCACACGCACGCACACACACACACACGGACCCCCAAAAGCAGCATTACCTGTTCCTGCTGCTGCACGGATTTCCCCGAAGCGCTTGGCTCCTTGGCTGTGGTCATGGTCTGTCCAGGCGCTTCCCACCACCGGGGCAGGTGGGGTCTGACGGCGAGTTGGGAGCCACCAGAGTCCAAGCGGTAAGGTAAGGAGGAGTGTGATTTTAGTCCATACTTCCGAAATCACAAGGCTATTTTGGGGAGGATGGGGGAGGGAGGGTGGGTAGACAAGACGAGTTTGCTCTTTAAATGCAAGCAGCAGAGAGAGGATCCGAAGCAGGAAGCTGCCGCTGCTTAGTGGGGCTTCTCCAATTAGCAACAGCCTCTGCAATCGCCACAGAAACAATGATAACTGCTTAGCAACCGGCAAGTGGCGGCTGGGTGCAGGAAGGGGACCCGAGTGATGCGCGCTGCCTCCTCGCCCGCCTCCCGGCCCGGCGCCCACGGCGCATGCTCCGGCCGCCCGCTCAGCCGGGCTGGGGCTGGGGCTGGGGCTGGGGCTGGGGCTGGGGCTGGGGCTGGGGCTGGGGCTGGGGCTGGGGAGGGGGCCGCGGAGGCAGCGACTGCCGCGGAGACGCCGCGCCCGCAGCCACAGCCTCGGTCACCGCATCCATCAGGGCCCCGCGCCGCGCCCGGGTGTCTGAACCTGCGGCCCCCACGCAGGGCGCGCCAGACAGCGCGTACCTGGACAGGGGGCAGAGGTGGCCCCAGGAGGGATGCCCTTTGTTTTTTCTTGGTGCAAAGTGTCTGATGCGTGTTTGAGAAGGAAGGGGGTCTGGGAGCACCGGAGGCAGGCAGCTTTTCTGTTTGCCCAGTGGATTTGGCAGGAACACTGGTTGTTGAAATCTTGGGCTTTGTTTTCCTCAAAATTCAGAAAACTTATGTTCCATCGTTAGAATCAAAGAATCTACATTTCTCTAAGAAAATCAACCAGGACCTCAAGGGTGTTTGTCCATTAAAAGAAAGACAGGGAGAGAGAGAGAGGAAAAAAAAAACATTCCAGCCTGTGTGATGACCTTACAGAAACATGAGGGCTCCCCACTGTGTCCTGAGCTCAAGGAGAAAGAGACAAAGCAGGACAGGAGACGGACTGTCCAGCACTCCCTGCCTGAGGCCAGAGGCTGCTGTCGTGTCCTGACCCAGGTACCACTGCCCCTGCCTGGCTCCCTGCACCGGAGCAGTCAGTTAGTGGGTAGAGCGGAAATGCAGGTGGCAAACTCTAAGGAAAGTGCAATCAGCCAGTCATTTGCAGGTGGGAGTATCTCCTGGCCCTCCAGAAGCAGCTCAGAACTCAGTGCCCAGAGGCCTGGCACTCTTTCTCTGCACTCCAGGCCAGCATGTGGCCAAGCTCTCTGTTGATGCATTTCCCACTCCTGGTCTGGAACCTCTACTTTCACCCATTGGCACTTGGTCACAGGCATTCACTGGCCTGAGAGTTCAGCCATTTATATATACGGGGAACTCTCAATAATAAAGTCCTTCAGGCCAGGGCCTGAATCAGTCACTCTAGTCTTTGCATCTCTGTGATGCCCAGTATAGTTCCTTACAGAAAAGAGGCCAACTAGACATGCTTCCATTTAAAAGGTGTTGAAGATTTCCCCTTGTTCAGCCCCTTTCCAATGCCCAGCACTGCTTCCCACCCCATCATTTTACAAAAACAAACCAGCCAGCAAAATGCAAGGCACTGTGGGCTTCTTTGGAATTGATGGCTGAATCCAGGTCACGGCAGAGTGGCTGGTCACCTCTACCATGGCCTGAACTTAATTCTGGTCTGAGTACGTATTTGGCAGACTCTAAGAAGTCTGGGTAGATGGCTGGTAGCTTGCATGGTTCGGCCAGGGGTAAAGAAATGAAAACCCCGTGTGAAACCCTTGCTGTGTGGTATGGGTGTGTGCTTGGCCTTGGTTGCACTGGCTTAGACTCCTGCATGGGACAGGGAGGTCCAGGGGTGGGTATAGCAGTGGTATCAGTTCTCAGCTTGTCTTTGTGACCCTGCCTCCTGGGATGCTAGGAACCTAAGTTCTTATCAGTGTTGGTAGGAGGGACTGGGCCGGGCCAAGCAAGAGTCGGCCTTAGAGGGTCTTCCTACGGTCACAGGTTCCTCAGTGCAAGGTCCCTCCTTGGTCACGTCTCTGGCCCTGGGAGCCACTGCGGTGTAAGGTCACCAAGCAAACCTGTCATGGAGGCCCCAGCAGCTGAGTAAACAGGCTCAGAAAGAAGGGCTGGGTAGCCAGGTGGGCAGTCACTCTCCCCTCACACACCTGAAATGCAGTTGACCCCTGGAGGACCTCAGTCACAGGGAAAATCACAGCCCCTGCCTTAAAGTAGACCAGCGCAGTTTCAGCCTCAGAGTTGCTCAGGACCTCAGATCACCCTGTCCTTCTGGGATTCCTCTTAAACCTAAAACCCCAATTAGCTGGGCGTGGCGGCGCATGCCTGTAATCCCAGCTACTTGAGAGGCTAAGGCAGGAGAATCGCTTGAACCTGAGGGGCGGAAGTTGCAGTGAGCTGAGATGGTGCCATTGCACTCCAGCCTGGGTGACAGGGCAAGACTCCGTCTCAAAACAAACAAACAAACAAAAAAACTAAAACCCCAGGGATGGGTCAAATGTTGAGCTCCCATCTGTTCGCATCTTAGGAAGGATTCATTGCTAACCCACTGAGACCATGGGCTTGACCCAGGGGTGATATCCAGGAGGAAGACAGCAGACGAGAGGAAGACAGGTCTCCTTCAATGATTCCAGGGCCCCTGACCTAAACCCTAAACTGAGGAGCGGTACCACAGGGAATGCTCAGCGGTGCATGCTGGGGAATCCATGTGGGTGCATCCCATTTTCCTTCTCAGTAAAGAGCTTAAAATATTTTTTTACACCTAAACAAATATGGATAGAGTGCAAAGCTTGTGGATATTTGTAAAGTGATACATGATCCTTCAAAGGAATGTCCTGCTGGGATCAGATTGCTTGGACTTTGACCAGCCAGGCCCCACCGGGGCTCCCCACCTCCCTCACTCATCTACTCTGCCATTCACCCATCTGTCATCAGGAGCCTCCAGGTGGGGAAGTTTAGGAATTACTGGTGGAGAACCAGGCCAGGTTGTGCCACTCAGTACCTTTCCTTGGAACATTCTGGTACCAGGTTCTCAGCTGCCCACCTTTTTACATACTTGACTTTGGCTGTTTTTAAAAACAAAAGAGCGAGATATCCTGCCATTGGTGACAGCATGAATGAACCTGGAGGAAAGATGCCAAGAGAAATGAGCCAGGCACAGAAGAACAAATGCGGCACAGTTCCACTTCTATGAGGCTTTGAAAGTAGCCAAACTCACGGAGGCAAAAGGAACAGGGTAGTGGTTGCCTGGGACTGGTGGGAGCGGGAGGTGAGGAGTTGCTAATTGAAAGGCATAAAGTCTCAATTATGTGAGATGAATAAGTTTGACAGATCTGCTGTACAACCTTGTACCTACAGATAACTTGCACACTAAAAATCCGTTAAGAGGGTAGATCACGAGGTCAGGAGATCGAGACCATCCTGGCTAACATGGTGAAACCCCGTCTCTGCTAAAAATGCAAAAAATTAGCCGGGCGTGGTGTCACGCTCCTGTAGTCCTAGCTGCTCGGGAGGCTGAGGCAGGAGGATCACTTGAACCTGGGAGGTGGAGGTTGCAGTGAGCCGAGATTGCACCACTGCACTCCAGCCTGGGTGACAGAGCTGGGTGACAGCCCGGGTGAGAGCTCTGTCTCCAACAAAAAAAAAAAAAAAAAAAAAAAAAAAGAGGGCAGATCTTGTATTAAGTGTTCTTACCATAATGAAATAGGACTGCCTTTTATTCATATTTTAAAGTTAATCAGTATGCCTCCAGAGAACAAACATTGTACTTAAGTTTATCCTCTCAAGCTAAAGGTGTTTGCTTATTACTGCAAATACAGAAAGGCCTATCTTTCATTGGAGATCAAAACTAAATCTGCCTGGGCATTATCGGTGCCATCATCTAGAGCTCCGTGGTCAAAGAGAAGGTTAACAACTGGCAAATACAGGACGTGTTACCCCCCCTAAAGTTGTGCAGACCAAGAGAAAATACAAGACTTTACAGGCTCATTTCTAGAAAGCAGCATCTATAAGTATTATGGTTTTCAGTAACTACGGGCTGCAGGAAAAGCAACTCAGAGAAGACTTGAGGATGAATCTAGCAGGGGCAAGAGTGGGGAAAAAGAGCCACTGCACTCCTTTCCAAGCGCCTTGCACAGAAGAGGTGCTCAATGAATACTGACTTGGCATCAGACATACTTAGCAAAGAAAGACACTACATGCTCACCTGCCCTTAATCATAACAATAACAATGGCCAAGCTACCTGCAGCGGTGGAAGTGCCAGATGGTTAATATCTGACCTCACACCTCCAGCAACACCATGAGGCAGACTGTTATTTCCCCCATTTTACAGGTGAGGAAATTGATATTCAGAAAATTTAATATGAAACCCAAGGTCACTCAGAGCAAGTAAGTCACAGCAGAACTTGAACCTTGGCAGTCTAGACCCTAAACCACCATATAACATCGCCTGTGTGTGTCTGTGTCCTAATCTCTCTTCTTATAAGGACATCAGCCATATTAAATTAGGGCCCACCCATAGGACCTCATTTTAACTTGATTCACCTCTTTAAAGACCGTATCTCCAAATATCATCACATTCTGAAGCACTGGGTGTTAAGACTTCAACACATGGATTTTTGGGGGACCCAACAGCCCATAATAATGATTACTATCCCCATTTCATTTATGAGGGAAGTGAGGCTTGAACTGATAAGAAACTCTTCCAAGTTCACAGTCAGCAGAAAACAGCAGAGTTGGTATTCATATCCAGATGTTTGATCCAAGCCCTTGCCCCAACCCCACACACACACAGCCCCAAATCCCCACACACGTATACACACGTCCTGTGTCTCTTCAGACCCCTCCAAAGTGCTTGGGCGGGAGATCCAGTCCCAAATTCTCCAAACAAGTTTAAGACGTCTCAAGTCATGTCTGTCTACTCCAGCTTCTGCTAAGAAACAGGCAGCTCAAGGGGTCTTGCTATGACCTTGACTCTGGGCCAGTGCCTCCCTTTGTGTCTAGGAAGAATTGCAATTTGATGGAGCACAAGTACCTTGCAAGGAGCATCTTGGAAAAAGTGCTGATCTCAGTGCCTCCCTAGTGAAGGCTCCTGGTGTCTGTGAGTGAAAGCACCTCCATTTTGCAGCTAAGTACTCTCGTGGTGGCCGATAAACACACTTAGCAAAGACTGCACCAGAGCCTGATGCTCAGCCAAGACGGGTCTTCTCTGTAGTCACTGGGCATAGGTACCCCCTGGAGCCTGGCGGGGCATGGGGGCAGGCCCACCTGCCAACCCGGGACTCCAGCAGCCGCTTGTCTTGCCATGCTATTTACCTCCCACTCCCACGGGCACTTTTGCCCAATTCTATTAGCAATTTCTCAGATACCTGCAACCAGCCTGACAAATGGATTTGAGGCGCAATCAGTCCTGTGCAGGTGCAACTGAAGAGAGGCGTTTTCACTTGGGAAAGCCAATCTAGCCTTAGCCATTCTCCCCCCTCCAGATGTGTCTGAGTAGGGCTGCTGGCAGAGGCACAGCTAATTAGGTTTGTTTGTAGCCGTGCAAGCCTGCATCCCTCCGCAGCCTGATGCAATTTCTCACCCTTCTGATTTACACTCACCTTGCCCTAAGTAGACAATCAGCTGCAGTCGCTTTGCTTCGAATATCATTTAATCAGCAAGTGTTTATCCAGGACCTACTATGTGCAGACGAAAGCCCTACAAGAAATAGGCCTGCCGGCTGATTTGCTCAGGAAGGTAGAGATCAAAATGTCTTTAAATTGTGAGTTGTGATGATTTTGGATTGTAAGTCTTTGCCATCTGCAAGAGAAGTCACTTCTTCTAACTTACAATCCCCTAAAAATAAAAATGAATGTGGGGCAGCAGGGTACGATTCTTCTGGAGTCATGCCAGGATCCAAAGAAACTAGTTGGAAAGAAAGAAACAACAACAACAAAAAACCCACACTTTTTCTTCAACTCATACAAAAAGACCAAGTTGGGATGGAACTGTGGATGAGTTTTCTGGCCTGAGGACCAGCTTTCCGACAGTCGACCACTGCGTGCTCACTGTCACCTCAGACATTTCAACTAGAACTCTCCAGCTCCCACTGAGGAGTTCTCCCTGCATTTGGAGGCTTGTTTGGGTTTGGTTTTGGTTTTCTCTTGCACGCCCATTACTTAAATGCTGAGGTCCCTGGAAGCTGCTGGGTCTGCGTGGTCAGGGCTCACCGGGGCAAGGAGCCGTGGGCAACCCAACGCCAGCACCCCTTTGAGGGGAAGGGTCTGGGAAGACAGAGGAAAGGGTCTAGGAAGAGAAATAAAGTGCACCAAAAATGGACCCAAATCACCTGTGAGATCCTTACAGACTGGTAAACCTCACCTGGGGAGGAGGAAGTCCCTGAAGCCAAATTCAATTCTCCTCAGCTTGCAGAACACATTTCTCCTGTGTCCAGTAATCTAACCCTGGGGAATTATTTCTTGTTCAGTAAGAATGTCTCAAAGAAGACCCAAGGCGAGTTGGTGTGGGCAGGGAGGCCGAGGGTCTCGCGGATGAGAACGCAGACCAGAGCCAGGCCCAACAAGCAAGGCTGAACATCTGGGCCCATTTTGTCCACACTTCAAATTATAGCTGGGAGAGTGAACTTGGTCCAAAGTCTGTCCCTCCCCCAGGCTTCGAGAGGAAGAGTTTCCTCTTGGGAGTATAAACCAAGAGAGCTGCCGGGGCCACAGCTTTCCCTCCCAGCAGGGTATGGACGGTGAGGGTTGGCTGGGACAGAGTTCCCAAAGGCCCTAACGCACTCATCACCTTCACCCCATGCTTCAGGCACTACTGCTAGAGTAAAGGATGCAATGATTTTTTCTTTGGTTAAAAGAACACGGGTACATCTCTTGAACTAGAAGTGGGAAAAGGCTAGAGAATCACACCCGGGTGATCTGGGGCTTCCTTCATTTTAAATTCTTTATTAGTAAGAAAAATAAGAATGTGGAGGTGCAATAAGAGCACAGGCACACATCGCTTCTGGGTAGTTTAATGTCTGCCTGCCCTTCCATGTCCCTTCTCTTGTGTCTCCAGAATATTAGAATGCTGTGGATAAGGAGTAGATCCCCCACTGCCCCGGAGCCTTCTAGATGAATAGGCTGCACACGCAGCAGGGGTCTCCAGAGATGCACAACCAATAGTGTGTGTATGTGTGTGTGTGGAGAGAGAGAGACAGATTTTTAAGGATGGTGGATTGTGGGGGCTGGCAGATGTGAAGTCTGCAGGGCAGGGCAGCTGGCTGGAAACCCGGGGAAGAGTTGGGATGGTGGCTCAAGCCTGAAGGCTGTCTGGAGGCAGAATCCTTTCCTCCCTGGGAGACCTCATTATTTTCTCCTAAAGCCTTCAACTAATCGGACGAGGCCCACCCACATGGTAGAGGGGGACCTGCTCTACTCCATGTCCGCTAACTGAATTATCAATCACATCTTCAAAACAAAACTCCACAGCAACATGTCGCCTGGTGTTTGAGAAGAAGCTGGGTACCGTGGCCTAGCCAAGCTGACACCTAAAACTAACCATGACAGGCAGCAACTGGAAAAGCTCGTCGCAGCATCTGTCAGCGTGCACGCTCTTCATTTACTCTCCCTCTCCTTCCCGCCTTTTCCCATCTGCCTATCTGGAATGCTTGCTACAATCTGGAACCATGAGACCAAACCCTTCGTGGGAGAAAACATAATAGAAGGAGCAGAGGCTTTTGTGAGAAGAGGAGCCATGCTATCCCTGGACTGCTTGTCTCCAAACTGTATTTACAAGAAAGAGAAATAAACTTCTGCTGTGTACTGGGCACTGTTATTTTAGGTTTTCTGGCGTGCACAACCAAGCCAAAATTGATACAGTCCAAGTCCTTCTTCTGTTTTCTGTTCATATTACTCCTATCCATTGTGTTCAGAGTGTCCTGAAGAGAGAGCAGAGAATACTGGCAAGAAACAGTAGCTGGTTTGCCTTATTGGACCTACTATATTTATGTTGATTTCCAGGTGTAGCAAGTGCATGAGCATCTAAACAAGGGTAGGAAAACCAGGGCTCATGGGCCAAACCTGGCCCCCTTCTTATTTTGTGAATAAAGTTTTATTGGAATGCAGCTAAGCCCATTTACTTATAGACTGTCTAATGGCTGCCTATGTACCACAACAGGAGAGGTGACAGGTTTGACAAAGGCCATGTAGCCGTAAAGTGTAAAATACTTATTACCTGGTTCTTGCAGAAAGAATTTGCCCACCCCTGGTCTACAGCAACTCTGTTGCAGGTCAAGTAAAGGTAGGTCATTTCACTCAGTACCACAATTCAATAAAAAAAAAATCTTCTGATATTAAAGTAGGCTATCCCTCACCCTCCAAATAGAAAAACAAAACAAAAAAAAAAAAACAGAATACATTTCACAATCAACCTAGCAGATATGCCTTTCAGGAATAAAGATGTTTACACTGCTTAAGGCAGTACACTTCCTACACGGCTTGTCAGCATGTATCTCCTTTCTTGTCTACCATGAACTGAGACTGACTGACAGATCCATCCATGGTTAAATGTGTGAACCCTAGCTGCATCCTCTCCAAATGCCACAGCAAGTTTCATCAAACAGGGCTCAGTATCCAATTCTAAGGAACTAGAATCTCCTACAGATTGGGGAAATGCTGAAAGCATTCAAAGAGTTCACCAAATCCATACCCACTATCACTTACAGTTAGTACTCAAATGTATGTGTTTGAATAAACAGGTGCATCATGTGGGGCCTTCAGGTTTCAGGGAATTCTAGTATACGTCACATGGGAAGGCTTTTCATCTTTTCTCTTCCTAAAAGGCACTTCCCTTACTCGTCATAAACCTTCATGACAAGATAACGGTAATCACAGTGCTGCCGTTAAGGCTGTCACTTTTCCTGGGAACCAAGGACACAGGAGGCTGGGCCTGAGCCCATGTGTCCAGCTGCCTGGGAAGCCAATGGCTTTGTGTTTACTGAGAAACTGCTATGTGCTAGCTGCTTTGTATATAAAGTCAGGAAATCTTCTCTCACTGTCTCACCGTCTAATAGAAGAGGGAAACTTGTAAATAAATGTCTTTTGGTCCTATCTTAAGAATTACAAGAAGATGGACTATGGGGATAGTGTGGAGGCAACCTGGGTGTCCATCCTTGTGGAACAGACTGGATGCAACCATGCAAGGCTAAGCAGCAATTAGAAGCAACGGCAGCCGGGCGCGGTGGCTCACGCCTGTCATCCCAGCACTTTGCGAGGCCGAGGCAGGCGGATCACAAGGTCACGAGATTGAGACCATCCTGGCTAACATGGTGAAACCCCGTCTTTACTAAAAAATACAAAAAATTAGCCAGCATGGTGGCAGGTGCCTGTAGTCTCAGCTGCTCGGGAGGCTGAGGCAGGAGAATGGCGTGAACCTGGGAGGTAGAGCTTGCAGTGAGCCGAGATAGCACCACTGCACTCCAGCCTGGGTGACAGAGAGAGACTCTGTCTCAAAAAAAAAAAAAAAAAAGAAGCAACTGTTTATGCATACACAGAGCAATAAGCAATCGATTATGTGTACACAGAGCAACAGGGAGGGAACATAGACACAGTACTTAAGAAAAAAGAGGAATCTAAATATAAATGTAAATACGCACAAAACACATAAGGCATCCATGTATAAACTCAAACCATTTAACAAATTAAAGAATACATTTCTACAAAGAATGTGTTTTGCCAAAATTATATACAAACCAAAAGCTACCCATCAAACATAATATCATGTGCACTGAGGGTAGGGAGGGGAAGGGGAGTGGATTATGAGGGAAATAAGGAAAAAGGAAGTGAAGGAAGGAGGAAGAAAGTACGACAGTTCTTGCTAGGATCATTGATGCTGGTATGCTATGAACTCCCCGTCTCTAAATCTGTTCCCTCACCTGTAAGTGAGGGCAGAGAAAGCCAAAATAAAATGTACTGAGGGCCCTCTGCAGCCCTGCATTATTACACATACTATCTTATCTAACCTTCACAAGGATCCTAGGAGGGAATTTACAGATATGAAAATTGGGGCTTAGAGGAAATGGATAAGTTGTCGAAGGTCACACAGATAGTGGTTTGATGGATAGCTTGGGTGTAAATCCCATCTCTAACTCTCAGTCTGAGTGATTTGTATGAACAACACACTCCCTAAATTCGGTGTTCAGGTTACCCTCCAGCTCATGTCTCACTCCAGCTTTGGGCTGGTGGCCTCCAGGCAATCATGAGAGGAGACCAGATGCAATACTAACCCTGCGACAGTTTGAAAATCATGTTTTAAAATGCTCATGTTTCACTCCAAAGTGGCTGGATTTCATTCAGGTTGTTTTGCTTCTCACGTCTGGCCCCTGCACAACTTCACATCCTTGAATGCATCTGCAGAGCAAGGGAGCGCCGGCACAGGCAGGTCTGCCCACAGGTTGGCCCTCGATGGCACGGCACCACCATGCTCCTCCTCGGTCACCTCCTGCCACCAGATGACCTTGGCGACGGCAGCGTGACAGATGCCTTGTTTATGTTTTTTTAACGGCTCCAGGTGACATTTCTGGGGCTGTCTGCTCAGCCAGAATTTGGTGCCAGCTGTGGAACAAGCCCACAGATTGTCGGGGGAACACACACCAGGGTGGGTGATGCAGATGTTTCCACTGCCGTGCTGTCTTCAGTGGCCTGTAGGGAAAGGTATCCCCAAGAAACCCTCTGGAGTTGTCCCCTGTCTGGGGCTCCAAGTCCTCTTCTTGTTTCCCAGAAACTCTGCTCCCCTCCATGCCTTCTGGGCTAGACCTCGCTGTTTAGCAACAGGATTGGAGTCAGGAAAGATTTTCATGCCTACATAGGAGAATGTCTTATGTAAAATATCCCCCAAACCTTCACGTGCCCATACTTTATTCTCAACATGAAATACATGAACTAACAGACCCATGCAGAAAATCTCCAGAGAAGGCTCAGTTCATACAATCCCTGTTGGCCAACTTTGCAACACAGATATGATTTGGCCTTGGGGAGTGGTGTAAATGACAATATAAATGACATTCAAGTAGGCCACTAAAAACTGGAGATAAGTATAAGCAATGGAAATCTAAAACACTTGGCATCTTCCCCTAGAAGGCATTAGCAAAGACACCAGCTCCAGCCCCACTCCCAACTCCTTCCACCTGATGAGCTCCTAATCATCCTTTAGTGCCCCGTGCAAATGTCACCTCCTACCCCAGGCTTATGGGAAGTGCTTGTTACCTTAGAGCATCACTGACCACTTCTCTGCCCGGCCCTGCCTGTGAGTTTCTCCGTGGCAGGGACCAGGTAAGATAAAGGGTTGCCCATCAGTGAAAGGAATGAGCGTTGAAGTCAGAATAATTTCTTGTTTGCAAATCCCGGGTCCTTTCGCTTACTGGCTATGTGCACCAAAGTTAATGAGATAGAAACTATGTAAAGCAATGGACATCTAGTAGGGACTCCATAACTGGCTCTCGTCATGGCTAGGCTGAGGGCTCCGTAAGGGAAGGTCTTATTCATCTTTGCATCCTGTGTGCGCTTAGCACACAGGAAACAATGAAATAATGTGTGTATCAGGGAGAGAACTTTTGGAAAACCTGAGTGTCACCTAGACTGAAATCAAGAGACAAGAGCATCTCCATGTGATACACTTAGATAGGTCAGAACCAGTTCATTCATTTTAGGCAACTCATCATCTGCAAAGCAATGCAGACAGAATTGCAACACACAGAGCTTCTCATAGAACCTCACAGGGTAGTAGGGTCACAGTTCATGAATAACTGAAAGATGTCAACATGAACTAGAAAACATTTATGTATGTCGCCCTGGGAGAATGCAAATGAATTCAGCAGAAAGAAAATGTGGGCCAAAATGACTCAGCCAGATGTTTCCAAATTGTGCTAGAGTAACCTTTCCTAGGCTGCCAGGATGAAGGAGTTGATGGGGGGAGGCTTGTCTAGAACTTGGGGCTCCATTTCCCCCCTCTCCCCTTCTCATCCTTCAGCCCACACAGCTCCACTTTTATCTCCTTTATGTGAATTACAAGCATCGGAACAAAGAGCTCTGCAGCTTAAAACACTTGGGGATCACTGAATCCTACGCTACAGATGAACACTTCTGAAAGGAGCAAGGACGAAAAAGGAGGAGAGATGACCACTAAAGTGAAGGCTTCTTACATGTTAGAAGTCAAAGATGAAATACCAGCGGAAGCTAGATTCCGTCATTCATCAGACAGGCCTAAGTATTACCTATGACTTATATCTTAAGTGTTTCTTTTGCTGAAAATTAAAACTAGGTGAAAGTCATTAGGAAATAGACCTCAGCCTATCAAATTAAAAAAAGAGTATTTCCTAAATGAAGTAATAAATGAGATATGGAATGGGAAGTCAGAATTGCCAGCAACCCCCACAAGAAACAGCAAAGATAACTACTTAGGGAACATAAAACACCAAATGAAGACAATTACCTTTCTAAGATAATTTTTAAAGCCCAAGATTTCTATTATGAAATTAATTTAATCTGTCCCTTATTATGTAAATCAGTGTTAAAAGAGAGAAGGTAGAATAAAATTTAAAAAGTGGATAAATATATTTTAGGTATTTCCTATTAGAACATAAACTCCTCAGAAAGGTATTGTTTTGTGTAACTTTTGTGAAACGCGATTTCCTATGAGCTATTGGAACTCCACTGTGCTAAGTTCCCTAGGAAATCAAAAACGAGACTCTGCCTGCCTGTGGACACAGGATTCCTTTTATTCTAAAGCATTTCTCTTCCTTTTAAGAATGTTCAGATCCCTTAGCTTCTCCAGATGACCTTCTGAAGTTGACACCAGAGCCAAGTCCTTCAGAAACCTCAGGTTCCAACAGTTGTTAACTTCCCATTTTCGACATATTTATTTGTATAATATACCAAACTGCCAAATCAACCCGGGGCTTTGGTGCAATGGGAAAAAGCACATCTGAAATGAATTGGTTTCATAGTGAATTATGTGTCTTTACAAACATGCTCAGACGAATGCTGACAGATTGCCCTTGTACTGAACATAGTATGCTGGGAAATTAGCCACGTTTGAGCCAGATCCCAGAAAAGATGCAAGACTGAAACTCACAAGAGGATTGATGAGTTCTCAAAGCCCACCCTGCGTGGGATGACAGAGAACAGTCACTAGGGTGAAACTTGTGGGGGACCAGAAAATCTGGTATATATATATTTTCCTTGCCTAATCGCAGTTAGGTTTTTATCCTTTGTCGGTGGTGCCATTCATAAAACTATTGATAACAGATACAGCTGACACAAGACGTAAGAGTGCCATATCTCTATATTGACCTGGTTTTGAGAATCTGTCAATGGATCAACTTGACAGAGAGTAAGGACTAAATTGACGAGATCCAGGAACATAGTTCAGAGGTTCAGGGCTACCTTCTTCCTTTCCTCTCCTCATCTGCTTTCAGACGTCCCCCTCATCCTTCAGATTAACTGGCCCCCTGATGTGTATAGATTCCTGCTGTACCTCTGAAAAGGAATGAAGCTGATACGCTCCTTTATTCTGAGGTATTAAGATGGAATATGCTTTTCTTCTCTGAAGTGTTTATGTTTAATAGGAAATTCCTAAATGTCCATGCCTAGGTTCATTCTGGTCAGTAACTCACCTCTGTGCAACCTTCTAAGGACAAGATGAGAATATGGTAAAACATGGTCAATTGGACCGGGGTTTGTGGCCTGACCAAACAACAGCCAATCTGTAGCCAAAAATTCCACATGAAGAAATGAGTCAGGTCAATCTTATTTTCCATTGTAGGAACCTGAACTTAGAAATTCAGGAGTCTGTTAGTGGCTAGCAGGGCAGACTGAAGCTTCAAAGCTCAGGAGAGAGAGTCTAGGCTATGAGGACGCAGCCATTACAAAGCAGCTCTGACAGCAATGCACATTCCAGAGGTAGAGAGAGGAGAAGCCGTGAGTGAGCATGGAATCCAGTTGTTAAGAAGCAAGAAGGAAGCAAGGCCTCGCTGATGCAAGAACTGGACCTTGGAGTGGTCTTGGTTCCTGGAGACTTGCCAGTTTTCACTTCTAGGGGTAGGGGCTGTGTCCTTACCATCACAAGTTTTATTCAGAGATAACTGGAATGCAACTTCCCTTTTTGCAATGAAACCAATCTGAGCCTGCATTTTGGGGTTCATGCAAACTCAGAGGCCTCCATTTCAAGCCCAAGTTGGTTTCTAATGTAATGTTAGGGTGGTGGTGATGGGCAAGTAAAAGGTCCCAATAGGTCCTAACAGGGATTTCCAAGGCCAGGATCCACCTCAGTGACCCTCTCATCTCAGGGGTCAGAAGGAATTCTTATGGGATTGTTTTTGGAGGGGAGCGGTGGCTGCAAACTAGGTCAGGTTCTGAAGCCCAGTATTTTCAACTTCCTGAGAGTTTCCACTTCTCCTGAAATGAGAGATGGTTACTGGATTCCAGATTGGTCCCTACTTTTGTTTTGTCTCTTGTTTAATTTTTATTGAACATCTATCATATCCCAGTTCCTATTTAGACACTGGGGAAGGTCTATCCATATGGGACAGCCCTTGGCTTTGAAGGGCTCCAAGTCTGGTAAGAAGGCAAACAGGGAAACAAACAGACTCTCTCCAGATAAACACAGGCATGTGCAGAGGAAGAGCAAGGGACCTGCGATTCTAGAATGGCTCATGTAAGAAGCCCCGCGGGAACACCAGGGGCCAGTGGACTAGAGGAAAATGGCTGCCAAGTGGAACATCACATACAAATGAGTCATGAGCAAGAGGGAATTTTTTTTTTTTTTTTGGAGACAGAGTTTTGCTCTTGTCACACAGGCTACAGTGCGTTCAATGGTGCAATCTCGGCTCACTGCAACCTCCACCTCCCGGGTCCAAGGGATTCTCCTGCCTCAGCCTCCCTAAGATTTTGAGGAATTTTCATGAATGTGCATGCCTGGAGTGCAAGGCAGGGGGGTGGCAGGGAGCAGGGCGAAGGCTCAGATTGCCAAGGAGCCCATCCACGAAGGGAAAAAATCGACTCTGCAAAAATAAAACCAAAGGTATTTTTTCAGAGCGTAGAAGATGGACTGGGGCCGAGATACCAGTTTAGGACATTTTTGGAATGGTCCAAGAAAGAAATAAGAAGTGCCTGAAGTAAAACATTAGAGATGAATAAAAACTTAAAATTAAAATGATGTATCAAGGTATCATTGAGAGAACATGTTGACCAATTACAATTTGATCATTTTCTTTAGAGACGTTTGGCTGCAGCAACATAAATAATTCTCTTCCAGACTCAAAACAAGGTACTGGCAACATGAGCAACATTTGTCCCTTGTTTTTACCTTTCATTTGTACTTTTCCTTGGCACTGCAGTGTGTCCATGTGTAACTTAATAATAAATGATTTCGTAATGATGGGAATGAATTGCAATGATCACACCTCATTTATTTTTCAACATCCTCGCCCATCTGGTCATTCCAGCAAGCATCACATTTTCTTCCAAACCTTGTATTTCAACCTATGGGCTCCTTGGTTCCTTGTTTGATTAGCCTCATCACCCTGGCTCATGGGATGAGACTCGGTCAGGATTCAGGGAATCTAGCCTCAGTACCCTACCCATGGCATAACGCCAGGACTGCCATCCCCATCAGACGCTGGGGTTGGGATGTTAGGCAATGACAAATAAATACATCAAAATTCAATGTGTAAAAATTAAGTTATGCTCTCTGAAGTTGTGCAGAGAAGGTGGTCCTGCCTAGGTGTTACCACAAGGCCTGCTACTGGCACACGCAGTTTATTTATGAGTTGCAGAATCACCCTCACCTTCCAGGATCACATTTTGTCCCACACTGGGTTTCATTGGGGAAGGGACCTGCCATCCTAGTTCACTGCTATATTCCTGACACCTTATTTAGGGCTTAGCATATAGGATGTGCTCCCTAAATATCTCCAGCCACTGAAGGCATGAGAGGATTGAACTAGCTGAGTGGGTCCTAGTCCTTCTGACTTTCACCCTGGATTCAATGTTGCTGGGGCCTCACAAGCCATAGGTCAAAGTCAGGATCAGATGGGAAGGGCTCTTCATAATTAGATCAGTTACCCTGTGCCTGCTGTGTTACGCATCCCACACTGACAGCCTCT
This sequence comes from Homo sapiens, assembly GCF_000001405.40. Classification (NCBI taxonomy): domain Eukaryota; kingdom Metazoa; phylum Chordata; class Mammalia; order Primates; family Hominidae; genus Homo; species Homo sapiens. The sequence goes on along the minus strand of NC_000007.14, from coordinate 154,289,310 downwards.
GCTCATCCTGCAAAGGATCCCACGCAACCCTGGGAGTGAGCAGCCAGGGTCCGGATGACTTATCAAGTCTCGGAAATATTTTTCCATCATAGTTGATGACTGCTTTTTATTTTCAACCTAGGCGATTCTATTTGAAATCTACCTCTCCACTAACATTTTACCTTCACCAGCATCCCCCTTCTCTCATGGTATTTTTTTCTCTTTCTTTCATCAGCTTCCGTTTAGTATTATCGTCTGCCCAGAAATGACTTTTGCTGCAACTCTGCAAGCCGTCCTTTTCAAACAGGGCTGCACTCTGGGCACATTGTATTCTCTGAACTTAACCAGGACAAAGAGATGGTGAGACAATAGTTAGTCAATCTCAGGATGGCAGAGTCTGGCATTTTAAAAATAAACCATTCTGAAATTGACATTTGTGCTAAAGTATAACTTTCCCTTTCATTTTGCTCTATCCACATGGAACTAGATCTCTTTAAATGTCCTCTAGAATGTCAGCGTAACAAAGGCAGGTATTTGCATCTGTTTTTTTTTACCAGCATATCAGAAGTGCTTAAAACAGCGCCTGATTATTTATAGTAGGTGCTCAATAAATATGGGTTTGAACATTTATTGACACAGAACCTTGCAAGGAGCAAAACTTGGAGAGATTCATTGTATAAATCAAATTGCTTTATATGAATCATGGCCTCCATGCAGACAACAGCTTATTTTAAAAAATGCTTTTACACATGATGACATTGTTCAACACTGCCTTAAGAAGTGGGTAAGGCATAAATCGTCTCTCCTCTCCTAAGGAAGAATTGACACAGATGTCAGATGTGCAGAGAGATTGCACTCCTGGTCTGAGGTCACACAGCTGGTCAGTAGCAGAAAGTGGGATCCGAGTTTTTCCTGGAGTCCTCTGGACACTGGTGGCTTCCTTACAGTGGGAACCCTGGGTAGCTGAGGCATCTCAGTGGACTCTGTCTCTCCCACATATATTCCCTCGGTCCTGATGCACAGGTCTTATCTTCCAGTGTCTTGTCTTCTGCTCACCTGCTGCCTCCTCTCATCCCTGTCCTTGTCTCTGGGCAGAAAGTTCACACAGCAGAGCTCAGCAGGCTCCCCTGCCAGGCTGCACTGGAGGAGGAATCAGGAATGACCCTCTCTCCAACAGTAACTAGTAAGAAAACCAGAGGAAGTTTTCTGTGGCTCTAAGGACTTCAATTCAGGGAGGTATGTGACTGCGGGGAACAACCAGATCTTCTAGGTGCCCACTCTCTGGGGCACCCCTCGGTAGGGGGACACATATGTCTCATTCCTCTGGGTGGGAGTAACTTTTGCCCCATTTTTACCGGACTTATTTTCTGTAGAAGAAAGACTATTGCAGTGATGGTCAAATCTTCCAAAACTCTCCGGACACATTCAGGATGGATCCTGCCCCATCGCCTCTAGTATCATCCCGCTTTTGGGGACAAAAATGGCAGGAACATCTCAGGACAACCTTCCCTCCAGGATGCAGGCCTCACCTCTCCTCCCTGGATTTTCTACTCTGCCAGACATTCCTGTTCCGGTTTAATCAGGGAAAGTGGGATTTGACAAGAGCCCCTTCTGCTGGCCCATCAGGGAGTCCTAATCTCAGAAGTGTGGCCGAGCTGGTCGTCTCCACAAGCCAAGCAGATGGCCGCTGTGGGGAACACACCGAGTCCTGGCCCTCTGCAGCTCGCAGCTCCCATCTATTCCTCAGCTCCCCTGTTGATCTGTTTTTCTTCTCATTGAGACAGAATTCTTGGAGAATAGATGGCAATGACAGAGAACAGGGCCCACGTGGGATCTGTCCAGCAGCATAACAAGCTGACATTTACCTAAAGCAGCCAGCAGGGACTGTTACCTTGGGAGATGCTTTGCACTGAGCAGGATTTGTCCAAACCCCGGCAACCTGCCCAGCATGAAGAATGAAACCCGTTGTATCTAGAAAGGCAGGGTCATCCACTTAGAAACAGAAAACATTTGAGTGTCAGCAAAGTTTGCTTTTTTGTTCTCCTTCCCTCTGTGGTCATTTTAAACATGGTCACATGTGAACCCTGGCATTAACTAAGCACGTTTCCCCTTCTAAGTGAGCTTGCATCTCTCCTGCGTTTGTAAGATGTCTTCCTGTTGGGAGCCACAGCTTTGCTCAGAAGTCAGACACTGCATGCTTTCTTTTCTGAAGTAAAGCAATCACAGGCATAGGCCAGGCACGGTGGCTCACACCTGTAATCCCAGCAGTTTAAGGCCGAGGTGGGTGGGTCACTTGAGGTCAGGAGTTTAGGACCAGTCTGGCCAACATGGTGAACCCCTGTCTCTACTAAACATACAAAAATTAGCCGGGCATGGTAGTGCATGCTTGTGATTCCAGCTACTCGGGAGGCTGAGGCAGAATTCCTTGAACCCAGGAGGTGGAGGTCGCAATGAGCCAAGATAGCTCCACTGCACTTCAGCCTGGGTGACAGAGTGAGACTGTCTCAAAAGAAAAAAAAAAAAAAAAGAAGAAATCATAGGCATGGGACTGGTGCTGGTGTTAACAATGGGATACTGGCCCCAGGGAGGCCAGGAAGAGTGAGGGGAGAAGAGCTGGAGCTGCTCCCTCAACACTATGGAGAGGGCTGGACAGTCCCCCAAGGTCACAGTGAAGCTCCATGGCCCTGGAGAGGAATGGAGCCACCTGATGTCTGGACTCAAAGGTCAACTGGCTACAAACAACCATTTGGAAAGCTTTGCATTAAAATTCAGGTCTTCTCAATAAATACTCTTGCCTACAGGGGAATGTGCAATGAACATTTCAAGTCCCCTGATAGATGAAGGCTGGCTATGGAGTGGACAAACGCTCCTGCTTGCCTACCTAAGCAAGCTCTTGGTTGCTGCATTCTCTGGTCTGAATGTCCCATGATGGCTGGTGCCACCTACAGCCTGACCCTAAGCCTCAATGTCTGTCCTGAATGCACATGAGTTGCAGACCGTGAGTTCAGTGCCACAAAATGATCTTGCTCGTGGCTACACCGAGATATAGGAAGCTGATGAAATTGCCCAGGGCTGTTGGCTAAGCTGGGATCTCGGGGTCAATTTTTCTTTTCCTCAGCTCTGGACAAAACCATGTCCCTTCTCAGGGTACCCACATCCCACTCCTTAAAATCTCAGTGCGCTGCTCAGTTCCACAGTTTGGGAAAATGGAATCTCTTCTTTTCTAATGAACAACACACAAACTATGAAATATTTAGTAGACTGATCAAGAGAATCTATGTTTTTAAAATACTGAGAAATTACCGATATTTTCTTAGAGGTATATTTCAGTATGACAGGGAAAAATGGATGACAAATGGTTCTTGAGAGTGTAAGGATAACAAGTTTACAAAAGTAGTACCTCATCTTTCTTATCACCAGTCAAGTTGTCAGAATGAAAAACACGCCGGAGTTTTCCTGCAGAAAGTTAAATTGCTATCTCTTTTCAGATTCTGTCTTTCCCGTATTCGAAACACATCAGTACTCTGCCTGATTGTAATAAATGCACAGCAGTAATAGTGCTGAAATTAAAATAAGATCACCTCTGCATTGTGATATCAATACCTTTTCTCAGGGAAATAGAATAAGCTTTCACGCTTCTCAAAATGTATAAATTTCCTTAGGTGGCCATGTGGCCTGCTCTCATATTTTTAAACCGTTTCCTCACAGGAAGTTACTATGGCTGTGATTTTATAATAACCTAAAATGATATAATAAAACTAGTAGGAGGGTGGGAGCAGTGGCTCATGCCCGTAATCCTAGCTTTTTGTGAGGCCAAGGTGGGCAGATCACCTGAAGTCAGGAGTTTGAGACCAGCCTGGCCAACACGGTGAAACCCCGTCTCTACTAATAATGCAAACATTAGCCAAGTGTGGTGGCGGGTGCCTGTTATCCAAGCTACTTGGGAGGCTGAGGCAGGAGAATCGCTTGAACCTGGGAGGTGGAGGTTGCAATGAGCCAAGACTGCGCCACTGCACTCCAGCCTGGGTGACAAGAGCAAAACTCCATCTCAAAACAACAACAACAACAACAAACTAGTATGATATATGATAAAACTAGTAAAAAGCAGTTTTAATTCAGTGTATAATTAAAATAAACTAGTTAAAAGCAGTTTTATTTCAGTGTATAATTAAAATATAAAAGCAGTTTTAATTCAGTGTTTAATTCAGTGGCAATAAATGCATTCACAATATTGTGCAACCATTGCCAACATCTATATTCAAAACTTTTCCTCACACCAAACAGCAATTTTGTAGTCATTAAGCAATACATGTCTATTTCTCCTCCCTCTGGCCTCTGGTAACCTCTAATCTATTTTCTGTCTCTATGAGGTTAGCTAACCTAGATGTTTCACATAAATGGATTCATACAGTATTTGTCCTTTTTGTTCAGTTTATGTCATTTGGCATAATGTTTTTGTTTTGTTTTGTTTTGTTTTGAGATGAAGTCTCGCTCTGTCACCCAGGCTGGAGTGCAGTGGCCCAGTCTTTGCTCACTGCAACCTCCACCTCCTGTGTTCAAGCAATTCTCCTGCCTTGGCCTCCCAAGTAGCTGGGGTTACAGGTGCACACCACCACGCCCGGCTAATTTTTGTATTTTTAGTAGAGACAGGGTTTCACCATCTTGGTCAGGCTGGTCTTGAACTCCTGACCTCAAGTGATCAGCCTGTCTCGGCCTCCCAAAGTGCTGGGATTACGGGCGTAAGCCAACGCGCCCAGTCTCTGGCATAGTGTTTTCAAGATTGATCCATGTTGTAACATGTATCAGAACTTCATTTCTTTTTAAGGCTGAATAATATTCCATTGTACGGATATACCACATTTTATTGATCCATCCATCAGTTGATAGACACTTGGGTTGTTTCCCCCTTTTGGTTATTGTTAATGCTGCAAAGAACATAGGCATATAAGTATCTGAGTCCTTGTTTCCAATTCTTTTGTGTTCTTTACCTACTTTTAATTTCAGAAACATAACTAATTTGTTAAAATTTGCATGACTCATCTGCTTTTTCGTCCTGCAGATTGTTTCATAGTTCTGGTAGCATCCAGCAACAATTAGTCCATTGAGTCTATAAATCAGCAAAGACTCACCTACACAGGCATCTCACAGTCCCCTCAACCAAGAGCTCACCCAGAAGACAGAAGACCCAGTGGGGTTCCAGGTCTCACTCGCCTCTCTTTAGTGACCATGATGAGGCAGCTCCCCCTGACTCAGCTTCCCCGTTTATCAAACAGGGAAGTAATTCTCACCACGCTTATCTAACATGGATGTCATGAGGCCAACATGAGGCAATGTTTGAAAGCAACTTGTAAAGCGAAAAGCCATATACGGCATGATGTATAATTTTTGAATTCTGAAACAGCTGCTTTCATGCTATGCATCTGCAAAGAGCCCTGAAATGATTCGTGTCCAGAAGCACTGGTTTTCTGTTCTTATGATGTCAGAATAAGGAGCAAATGTCCCACAGAGAGTGCGATATCCAATACTGTGTATGGATGGCAGGCTAATATCTGCCCATCGTGCTTTCATATGCTTGGAATTGCTTGGAGTAAAGTCTGAGTCTTACTTGCCCATCCAAGCTTCAATTTAGCAAGATCGTCGAGATCATCAACGATGCACAAGTTCTGTCTACATAGGACGACTCCTTGTTACTGGAATTCCTACAGTGCCTTGTGCTAAAAGAGCTCTCTTTATTGTTTGTCTCAAATAAAGAGTAAGTTTCTCAAAGAACAGAGCCCTGCCTAGTTTATTGCTGTGTACCCCATGAGCCTCGGATATTGCTTAGCCTTTACAGGTACTCATCAAATTCTTGATGATGATGATGATAATGACTATGATGATGACAATGAATAACTCTTACTAACAAGTACCGTGTTCTAGGCATTCTAATAGTTACTTACATATTAACTATTTTTAAAATAGCCCTATGAAGTAGATCATTTGTATCCTCACTTTACAGATAGGTAAACTGAGGCACACAGAGTTGCAATAACTTGCTCAAGTTTACACAGCTGTGTCAAGTCCAGGATTCAAAGCAACCCTGTGGCTGCAGAGTTCATGCTTACAGCCTCTACTCGCTTCTGTCTCTCAAATGAGTGACCTAGGACAAGACAACGGGGATCCCAGTGTTCAGAAGGTGAACAGATTGCATTACTGGGGCCCACGGGTAATAAGCTGAGATGAGACTGGTCCCGATTCAGAAAGGGCTCACTCAATATCACTCTGAGCTTCACAGTGGGGTAGGAACTGGAGATAGGAGGTAAGGTATCCTGATTCCACAGATATGTATGGGTATTGTCCCTGAGTCCAGAGAGAGACGTGTTCTGATGTCTGATGCCCTTGAGTCCAGAGCTAGGCATCAGACATGTTGTGACCCTTGGACTGAGCAGGATGTCAAGGGAACTTCTGGCATTCAGATGTGGCTCCAAAGAGTGGCAATCTCTCCTTCAACCTCTTGTTATAAATGGGCCTATTTGTGGTTATTTCTAAACCCTTTAGGAATCAACCCTATATTTATCTACCCAAATATACATACTTTTTTTAAATTTGTTTGTTATACTGAAAGTCTGGGAGAACAATGGTCTTTTTGATGCCTAACTAGTATAAACAAACCACTCTGTGCAAATTCCTTTCAAGTAAGCATGCAACATATGCGATTTGATAGCAACTCAAAGGAGACAGCTCCTGAGAAAATGCCATGGGCAGGGAGGCCCTGGGCTGCATCCCATCCCCTTCCCACCATTGAGTCTAACAGAAGACCTGTGCCCAGGATACAGCGTGTCTTTCTTCCAGTGTGCCACACTCTCCCAAGGGGCGTAGGGAACAAAAGGAGGTCCTAAAAATTACACAGTACCAATCAGTACATTGCACAGTGCTAATCAGCACCCCAGGTACGGCTGCCTCTGCTCAGTTAACAGTGCACTGTGTAAGAAAGTCTTCTGTAGGCCACAAAGGACACGTGTATCCAGAGGCCACCTGAGAAGCATGTCCCTGCATGCAGGCTATTGAATTGTACAACAGGGAAACCACTGCCTGGCTAAAGCTGCCACCATCAATGAAAACCACAGATTGGAGTCTTCTCTATGGGGCCACAGAGAGAATGGAATAGGGAGGGGAAAAAAGAATAAAATTATAGATGGTTAGAACATGCCAGGCACTGTGCCAGCCCTGTCCCCACCCCTCAACACACATCATTACACTTGGTTCTCAGGACACTCTCTCAGGTGAGGTCAATCTCCCCATTGGACAGGGGAGGAAACAGAGGTGTTGAAAGGTTAAGTCACTAAGCTAGAGTCACAAAGACCCATGTCTCAAATCAATTTTTGGCTCCAAACCCCCCATACCATATCATCTTCTTCCCTGTACTGGATGCTGAGCATCTGGGAGAGGCTCTTTTCAGGCCAAGATGAGGGTGGTTTGTATCTTTCTCAGGTAGCAAGATGCAGTCTACTGCATCAGAGAAAGTTCAAATTCTAAATATGTGGTATGACCATAAAGAAGAGGCTACTGGTATAAATCAATTCTGATGCTGAAATCCGTCTGCGTGGCCCCTTGCAAAGTAGGCCCTATTCAAATCACACAAAATTGCACACCAGAGATCTTATACTAAGATACAAAATGCCTTTGAAATACCACTTAGCATAATATCCTAAGATCTCCTAGTGCCTTCTCTTACATAGTCAGTGGTGGTAAATCTTTGTACTTTGTTGCTATATTTGATTTTTTAAAAATGAGTCACAAGGTATGTAAATTTACAACAAACAGTGGTGGTGTTAAGTTTTGCAATACTGTTTGTGTTCATAAATCAGCTGTGACAATGGAGATAGGAAACAGAGGCGTGGGACTTATCAATGATTCTGAAGACAATTCAAGGAAGACACAGTCACAGCCCAGGGAGAGCCCACCACATCCTGGGCCTTGTAGAGGATGCACCCATTTTATTTAGAGGTATGAATCCTGGCATTTAAAATTGTGTTCTTAGGCTGGGCGCAGCGGCTTATGCCTGTAATCCTGGCATTAGGGGAGGTCGAAGCGGGCGGATCACTTGAGGTCAGGAGTTTAAGAGCCGCCTGGCCAACATAGTGAAACCCCGTCTCTACTAAAAATACTAAAATTAGCTGGCCGTGGTGGTGCACGCCTGTAATCCCAGCTCCTTGGGAAGCTGAGGCAGGAGAATTGCTTGAACCTGGGAGGCGGAGGTTGCAGTGAGCCAAGATTGTGCCACTGTGTGCCAGCCTGGGTGACAGAGCAAGACTCTGTCTCCAAAAAATAAATAAATAAATAAATAAATAAATAAATAAATAAATAAAATAAGAAATAAAATTGTGTTCTTGTTACTTAACAGTTATATATCTCTACCACTTACCAGCTTTCATCAAGTGTCTTAACCTACCACAGTGTCCTCACGTGGAAAAATGGGATAACAATGGTTACCTCGTGGGATGGCTACGATAATTGCATATGTTAATATTTTCAGAGTGCTTAGAACAGAGCTTGGCACAAAGTGAGTGATCTATTAAGGTTGATTCTTACACTGCGTTATTGGTAGAAGAAAATGTTAAGAAAAGATAAATATGTCAACACGGTGATTTTCCTGGGAGTGATGTTTTAGCCTGCAAATATGTTCTTATTAGAGTGACAATAAACCCACTTATTACTATTATTAATTAAATCCAAGTGTAAATTGAATTAATAGCTAATTATTAATAGTCATATTTGTGACCATCATTTATTAAATAGCTCTAATAAAACCAAGCTCTGCGCTGGATATGTTGTCCCCAGTCCCTACAGCCACCAGCATTATTGTGGCTGTTCCCCAAATAAAGAAGTCGAAGATGGAAGGGGGAGGCTGCAGGTTCAGTGAGTGGGGAGTTTGGGTATGAGCCAAGGTCTGCTGCCTGCAAAGCCATGTGCTCCTGCAGTCTTGCTACCAACAGGCTTGGGGTCAGAGTGTATTCTAAGAGAGGAGTTTCTTGGGGAGATTCACTTCCTGAGCACCTACCTCAAATCTTCATGAAGCCCAAAGGAATAGATTTACAAGTGACGTTTGCATTTTAGTCCAATACTCAAGAACACTGTAATAGAAACCTTTTTTTATAAAAAAACAGTAAAAACATTAAATATGCTGCTTGCAGTAGTGACAGTCCTGTTAGTTACACTTTCATGAATTTCAGAGTGACTTCTGCTATTGGCCCATCTGAATGCAGTTATCGGGGATAAACAATTGTTTAACTGTCATCTAGGTTAACTGTAACTTTTCTTTCAAAATGTCCTGCTGATTACTCTCAACATTTACTTCAAGTTATATCCTAATAAGCCCTGAATAGGATATCAGCATTGTAATTCAAAACTATGGTGTAATATCCTTCTTTATCTCAATGGGTAAAAAAACCCAATCTACTCCAGAGGTTTTGGAATTTTTCTGAGAAGGGTCATCCCCTGTGCAGTAATTGTGTGTGGGTTTTTGATTTAGAGCTAAATCCAGAGAGGAAAAAATAGCCAGAGAGTTAGACAAAATCACGGGAACTGCCAAGACATTCTTTAAAAAGGCAACGCATTCAATCCACAGTACGATTAAGTTAGGTTTCCATTCAGCACCTTCCCCATTTCTGGGGGACACATCAACACCCTTTTCCAACAACTGGGTTCAAAAATCAAACTAATGAGACTTTGCAACGTGAACGTAATGATCATCAGTACCACAGGAAGAAAGGCTCACGTTCACATGAGGACTTTTGAAAGGCCCACAGGCATGGCGTGCTACTCTACATATTGCTGTACTGAGATGCCTATGTTCCAGCAAGTGACACGCTTCCAAGGCGTTGTCTCAGAAAGCCACATTTTTATCCCCATGATACCACCACCAAGGGTAGTCCTAGAATATACTGGCCAGAATCAGTCTTTGGACCAATAAGAAAATCAATCACAAAATTTATAATCATTTTTTAACCCTACACCAAACTACCTAGATGGATTCACCATACTTGTTTCCAAATGATTTGTTCTTCATACACACACAAACCCCCACGTGCCTCACATGCATGCCACACACACATATATGCACACAATTATGCATACACCATATACTCACATACTCACACATGTCCATATACATATGCACACCACACATGCATCCCCAAACTGCACACACACATAGATACACACACATGCCCAGACACATATACACAATGCACACACATGCATCCCCACACACACATCAGCTGCACACACACATATATACACACACATGCCCATACATACACATACCACACAACAAGCACAGGTATCCCCCAAACACATCAACTGCACACACACATATATACACACACATGCCCATATACATACCACACAACAAACACACATACATACACATACATACACATGCAATTGCACACACATATACACACATACTCACACATGCTCATATACACACACCAAACACACACGTGCATCCCCACTCCCACACATGCAACTGCACACACACATACATACACTCATACACATACAAGAGTGCACACATATCATTCCTTAAAGGACTGTGATTTAATGAGGTTAAAGATATTAAACAATGTGGTTAATACATTAAAATACTTCCAAAATGTTTTCCACTACAACATTACTAGAGCAAGCATAAAACTCCATAGGCCACCCTGTGCAAAGTGAAAACACATATTTGGATGTGTAAGTTCTAGAACAACTGTTAAAAGTTGCACCACCTATAGCCAAATATTTTTATTTGCATGTATTTTTCATTCGAGGGAACAGACCCACATGCTCAATTCATGATAGATATGATGTACATGCTTCTATATTTCCATCGTCATTTTGCATCGTCAAGATGCAGTTACAGCAGCAGCTGGAGTTCCATAGTTCCTGCCTGAGTTTCCTTCAAGCTGCTTATGAAAACAAAGCAGCAAGCAAAGTCTTCCACGAGGGCATGTGAACCAACAGCAAATGAAAGTCATTTAGAATTTTCTGGAGTGTGAAAACTGTTCCTCAGTCAAAGGGTTCTGAGTTAGATTTTTTTGACTTAGCAAGTTGGTCGCTGGCCATGGTGTGTCAGTGCTGGACTTCATACAGCATGGAGTCGGGACTCCTCTCAACTTACTGTGGAGTTGTAAGTTGTTGGTGAAAAACGCTCCCTGTCTCTCCCTCCCAGGTCCACAGAACAGACTGCCTCTTAATGAAACAAAGTGGTCACTGAATTTCGTTATACAGAGGGCCTGGCTTTTTATTTTGCAGTGGCTGAACCACATCTGTCGCCCGCATGACGGGAAGAGTCCCATGGTCCTTCCTCACTTGAGTGTGGGCAAAGCCGTGCACCTGCCTGATTATTCAGCATGGCTCAGAATATGTGGAAGAACTCTCACTGGGGAGAGTTTCAGCACAGTATGCACTGTTAAGGTCACTACCCATTTGCACAGGAAAAGCAAGAACATCAAGAAACTACACAAAGGTGATTCAGAACTGCTGGAGCAAGAGAGAGAAGACTACTTTCCTCTTCTCCTTCTTTTAGTTTTTTATTTTTGGAGACAGAATCTCACCCTATGGCCCAAGTTAGAGCACAGTGCTGTGATCCTGGCTCACTGCAACCTCTGCCTCCCAGGCTCAAGCAATTCTCCTGCCTCAGCCTCCCAAGTAGCTGGGATTGCAGGCATGAGCCACCATGCCTGGCTAATCTTTTGTATTTTTAGTAGAGATGGGGTTTCACCATGTTGGCCAGGCTGGTCTCGAACTCCTGACCTGAAGTGATCTGCCCACCTCAGCCTCCCAAAGTGCTGGGATTACAGGCGTGAGCCTCCATGCCCAGCCTTCCATCTTTTAAAATTTATTTTTAATTAAATAAACAGGCAGATCTTCCCAAGCTAATTGTTCCTTCTATTTGTGTACGAATGGAGATTACCTTTGGTCTGATTGACAATTGTTTTTTTTGTTGTTGTTGTTTTTACTAGCTCAGATGAATCCAGTAGATTTGTCAATGGGCAATGTGCTAATGCTAACAGAGGTGATCCTTATTATTCATGGATGCAATATTTGCAGATCGACCTACTCCTAAAATTTATGTGTAACTTGCAAATCAATACTCATGGTGCTTTCCAGGTCTTTTGCAGTCATGTACACAGTGGAAAAAAAAGTGAGTTGCCTGACACACATGTTCCTAGCTGGGTCTGAACATGACGGCACTCTGCCTTCTTGCTTTAGCTCATACTATAAACAAGTGTCCTCTTCATGGTCTATTTAGTTCCACATTTTTGTATTTTTTGTTGGTGATTTTGCTGTTTAAAATGGCCCCCAAGTGCGTGCTGAAGTGCTGTGTAGGGTTCCCAAGCACAAGAATACCGTGATGTGCCTTATGGAGAAGAATATGTGTGTTGGAAAAGCTTCATGCAGGCATGTGTTATAGTACCGTTGGCCATGAAATCAGTGTTAATGAATGAAGACTATATATGTAATACAATGTTTTTAAACAGAAATGCTCACTTAAGAAACTTATGTGTGGATCTGTGGATGAAAATGTTGTGACCCGAGGCTTGAAGGAACCTAACCTTACATTTCCACTAGGAGCAACAGCTCAGTATTAGTTAATTCTGCCTTTGTGGCAACCTTATAGAGCATGACTACTGTGAACAGCAAGAACTGACTGCATCTCCAGGGCTCACCATCACTATTCTGTCTTGCTCCTCACTTAAAGCTGAGCAGAGGTCCCATTCTCTACCCTAGAGGTCAGAATAACACTCTTAATTTCCCATTTGCATTCTTGACCTTATCATTGCCATTTCCTAATCAATTCTATTGTGAGGTCAGAATAATACTCTAATTTCCCATTTGAATTATTGACCTTATCAATGCCATTTGCTAAACGATTCTATTCTGGCTGTCAAAAGGGAAATGTTCTTTCCTCAACTTCACGTATGTCACACCCACTGTGACTCTAAGGCATTTTATGATTGAGAGGCCTACGGGGCATTAACATCAAGTAGCACAGAATCTGATTTCAGAATCTGACACTTTTACTGGGGTGACCTTGGGAAAAATCAGTTAGCAATTCAATGTCAAAGTGGCTTTTTTTCTAAAATGGGATTATTAACTACGCATGGGGTTTTAACAGGTATTTGTAAGATAATATCCATAAGCTTAAAACAAAATAGACCCACCCTCAGTAAAGAAGCATTGTATTGTTTTAGCAAAATTGTCCTCATTCTCATGCACAGCGTAGCCTGGAGTGCTGGCCTCACTCTTCCAAAGTGACGGCTATGCTAGGTTAAATAGATAACTTCAAGGCACTGGCAAGGTCTTACTATCTCAAATACAAGATCCACAGAGAAGAGCCTTGATTCCCAAGTTTTCAAATTGCATTCTGAATTCAGAGCTATTTGATTTGGAGCCGGAGGGGCTGGTGCAGTGGGAAGGAAAGAGTGGGGTGAGAATGGCCATGGATATCTCCATGTCTGGCTTCTTGGCCATTAAGTTCTTGGCCTTTAAGGCCATTAAGGTTGTACCACTCTCTCCTCCTCTTGAGGGATCCAGTACTTTTATTTGTAGATTTAAATGCTGCCTTCCCCACAACGTCTCACAGAGTATGGAGCACTGAGGAGGGAGCTGATTAAACTGTCCTCACATCTGCAGGGGACAATCCTGGTGCAGACTCCCAGGCTCCTGGCATACCAGGGGTGAATTTCTTCAATTTTTAAAGAGCAAGCCATTGTAAATCTGGTCTGAAATCATTTGGAAAACCTGCAACATAGTTTGCTTTTTGTCTTCTCAATTTGGAACAAGGACATCTTTAAACTCTGTTTGGAAAAAAGAGATATCCTTAAAGGAGAGGCCCCGAGACCTGGTGTCCATAGGCTACAACTCCCCAGGGTTCCGGCTCTTTGTTCCGCTCTTTGGGCCAAGGTGTTGGGTTATGAGAAGGAGGCTTAAATGTGTATTCTAGGTAAGTGATTTTATAAGATGTGTTTCAAGGGAAACCCATGGGGAGGGGACACAGAGGGAAGGAGGTCACACAGGTAGAACTGTGCCTCAGCCCTGCAGAGGACTCTAGGAGCAGGTAGGCCATCCTTCAGAGCTGCTGCTGGGGAAAGGAGGCTGGAATATATTTCCCCACATCTGGCAGTCCTTGGCTGAGGCTGCCCAAAGGGGCAAAATCCCCAGGCATTTCCAGCCACCAGGCCAGGCGGGCAGTAAGAGCTCTGGCAGCGTGCCGGAAGTGCCAATGAAAGGACACAGGTGCTGCCCTGAGCATGACAGTGCACCTGCAGCAGGTGTGCAAGGACAGCTGAGGGTCCAGAGGCATGGGGGCAGAGCCTGTGCCAACTGCACAAGGATCCCATCAGCCAGAAATGTAGCTCCCGGCCTGTGATTATGACAGAGCCTGGGAGGAGTGATGGAGATGAAGGGCTCGTATTTAAAAGAAGGTTCCACTTCATTTTCAAAAAATTATTCCTGACATTTCATTGTGAAATACAAGAGAAACAGTGACTTCAGAACTTGCTAGGTCTAAAATTATACTCATGACCTCCCAGAGCCAGGTTTAGAGCCTAATATACACATAGGCACTGCAGTGCTTTTAAAAGAAGGTACATTAAAAATAGACAGACTTGCAGATTTTGGTAACTAGTGCCAAAGAACAAGAAAAAAAACGTATTTTGCATATTTAACAGGAGAATTCTTCTTGCAGAAGAATCAAATCTTCTAAAGTGCATGGAAGCATCTCCATTCAGCAAATGCTAAAATTCAAGGTCTAACACTTCTGGTTGCCAAGAGGTGAAGGACTCACCTCGTCAGCGTGTTAGCGTGGTCAGTGGCCATGTTGACAGGCAGGGGCGGGTGTATGGATCTGAGCTCTTAGAATCAGCTGACTTTATGTAGATCAACTCCAGTGTGAAATGGCTCACATATTCTATTGCAGGAAAACTGGGGGTTGTATTTGCATTTGTAATAATTGTATTGGTATCACCATGATAAGAATAGTGATATGACTGAGGAACTATAGAATCCCAATCAAAATGCTGCTCAGAACTTAGAACCTGACAATACGGTTTCCATTTTGCAATGAGAAGCCTTGGATAAAAGAAGGAACAGAGACAGGACTACAGAATTCCACAGCAGCAAAGGTCACTGGAGATGAATTAACACTGACCCATGTGTTTTCTGTTGAGGACCTCAATTTCTCAGGACTCCTCTAAATCAGTGAGAGAGCAAATAACAGAAGCACCACCTGATGCTGGTGCAGGGCTCACAGTTCCCATATGGTACAGCCAACCCTCAACAAGACACTGTTGTCTGGCTTCCTGGCTTTATGAAAAGGTGTGGCAGGTGCAGTCCAGGCAGGGACACGCATTTGATACAGTGATTATCTGTACGAATGATTGCTTTCACACTCTGCACCTGTCTCACACAAAGTGTTGATAGCATTTATAGTGAGACGCCTAGCATTGTTTCACTTGGAGTCCAATTTTTCTCCTAATTGTTGGTGCTGCTGTAACTGTTTCTTTGCTTGTGCCAGTCTGACTATAATGTCCTCGCTACATCTCAGGGAAACTCATTCTAAGGAATAAACCCTTTTTTTCTGATCTCTTTACACTTAAAGAAACAACCAATGCAGACATTTGACTTTGAAATTGTAGTTTAAAATATACTGCCCATTAACAAAATGGGGCACAATCAAGTAATCTACAGAACGTGAATTGTTTTCTCTCCTGTTTGGTCATCTTGCAGAATGATGTGCATTGTTACACAGAAAATAACCCATCCATAAGACTGTATTTTGCTTCAGTATAAAAAGTGTATCACCGCAATATATGGGTAATTGTCACTTGACAATTTTAAAGCTAATGATGATCCTAATGGTGAGAGTAAGCGTGTCTTGTTGCACAGAATAAACACCTTGCTAGGGGAGCTGGCTGTAACGCAGGTTGTATTTTGTCATTATTTCCATGATCTTTAGGGGATGTGTGCCTGTGGTCCTGATCCTCCATCTGAAGCTTTTTCTGTCTCTCATGCCAGAAGCTCTTCCTTTCCTATTCTGCCTCCTTCACCATAGTGTCGGGCCTCACAGTTAGCAGGACAGATGCTGAGACAAAGAGGCAGCTCTCTACATTATTGGGAATTGCAAATTGATTGCACTCAAATCAATTCCTGGGGACAAAAGCAAGTACAGGCACTGAGCAGCAGCTGTATTCATGGTGTCCACACATCCATTAAATTCTTCTACACTAGAAAATTAGTTTAAATATCCCCAGAATCATTTGTGAGGGAAGTGATAAAAGAGACTCCAGTGGGAACAAAATGAAATGGGTGACTTTTCTTGATAATGTGTGAATCCCACTGTCATTCTGGGTTGGGGAAAGCTGTCTTGGAAAGTAGACTTTTGTGAGGAGCTCCATGCAACAGGAAACTCCACAGATGTGGAGACAGGATGGATTTCAGGATTGGCTGTGAGGGTGAACAGAAGATTGATATGCAAGGAGGTTTGACACAGCATGAGAACACGCACCAGCTCATCATCCTCTGGGCTGGGAGTCAGTCCTTATCATGACCATGTCTCCACCTCCTCAGCAGCCATCTCAGGCTCTATTGAGGCCCCCGTGGTCTAAGGACTTTAATGGCCTCACTCATTTACGTTTCCCCTCAACACTCCTGGGGCTAATGGAGTCCCCCTACACTGCCCTCTCATAATGGGATTTTAAAAATGAACCTCATTCAGTGAAATTCTTGACATCCCCCAATTTTCAAAATTGAATTCCAAGTGAGAAAAGGAAAATTTGCCCAAGTGCTTTGCAATGAGTCTTTAGGTGAAATTTTAGTAGCAAGTACAGTACTGGTAATGCCACCTTCATATAATTTCCATCCAGGCGGTGCACAAAATGCTTCCCCTCGGATTGTCTTTTTCAATTATGCTAATAAAGTCTATGAAACTAAATCCACAGCTGTCCCAAAAGGACCATAAGAAGTAACAGAGGTGTGTTCTCTGTAGTCTGAGGTAATGTACTAAGTGAAGCATGTTTTTCACTTTGATGAATATTCCATTTAATTAAAAGCAAATATTAGGAAAGAGTCCTGTTAAAAATGGATGGAGCAGGCAGGTCTCTTTTAGCAGAAGATACAGATGCTTAGGTAGAAGCTCAGTTCAGTTCAAGGCACTGTGCTGGCAGCCAGGGAATTGAAAGTGAACAATTCAGGGTACTTGTTCTCAAGAAGCTAATTGTCTATCCAGGGAGGTAGATACATTGATTATTTCAGGATGCAAAATGTAGAGAGAGTTTTGAGAACTTTTTCCTTGAAACCAGGAAGCTGGCTATAGTTATCCATCCACATAGCTAAGAGTTTTGGTTACAGACTTTCATCAAAGCATCTCATTCATAAATCTTTCTATAAGGCAACATCTTCCTGTAAGGCAGGAAACCCCGGAGATAAAGGTATAGCAAGGCCTCCCTGAATAATACTGTCCTCCTTCACTGGATCCTTTTCCTTCAGAATATGTTGATTTTACTTTCAGATCCAATATTGGAGACAAGAATGTTTGTGTCCCTGGATGAGAGTGGCAGCCTGATGCCTTGTATCTAGCTTTGACCCCCAGGCTTTCTCTGTGACCCCCTTATCACTGCAAAGGAAGGTGCACTCTTTCTTTTGATGACTGTCACAGTATGGCCACATGGTGCTTGCTGGTCCCACTGAGCAGGTACACTCTTTTCAAACAGAACAGCCTATTTCATTTATCTCCAGTGCCAAAGGTAAGATGGAGGGAATTGTGCTGTTTAAAAATGATAAGGGCCTCCTGTCCATGCTGGGACTTCTCTTCAGTCCTCATTACCACTGCTGGCCTCTGTCTTTGCAGTTCTGGTTGTCCTTGCTCTGTATGATGGAAAATAGCAAATCACAGTAGAACTCAACACCTGCCCACGTCTGATTTCAATAGGCTCTTCCTCTTTGCAACAATATATGTGTTCGCAACCACAACCAATAGTAGAGCTGTCATTTTTGTCCCCTCTGAGTTTGCTACCCCAGAGAGAGACACCTCTGGTACCTGTCTGATTGGATCGACACATAAATGGGGTATCACTGAATCTTTAAACTCAGTAGAGACAAAATAAATGGACAATAGTCAGTTTACATAGACTATTACCAGAGCTTAAAATTTTGCATTGTCTTCTCTCTGATTAATGAAGACACAGTCTTCTGAGTGGGATTCACAGAAACAGACATCCTGGAATCCTAGAAACTTCCAATGAAAGTGCTTGTGATGTGGAACATCAACCCAGTCTTTGATCACAGCTTATTATTGTTGCAGTATCTCTTTGTCACTTAACTTAATAAACAACCTTGCTTTTAGAAGTGAAGGCTTTTGAGAAAAAGGAGAGTTGACCCACACGGACTGGGGCAGTGTTGTAGGAGGTGAAGGGGGAAGACACAGGGGCTGAGGCGTGGAAAGCCCCATTCTTAGGACTGTGTGCTTTGGAATCAGACTGAGCCCCAGAACCAGGGCAGAATTTCCCCATAGGCACACCCAGAGACCAGGCACTTGTACTCTTGTTTTCAGAGGAAAAGTCATCCCCTGTTCTGCAGGAGCTACTGGTATTGAGTCTGGTAATAAGTGACCTACTCACTACCTGACTTGTCCTTTTGATGCCTTAGTACACACTTTGCCGCCTTAAGGGTGGATCTTAGCTACTTCCTTTATTAGGAAAGGAGACCCATGTGCTTCTGAACAGATTGGCCATTTCAGCCTTAGACCTGAGCATCCTCTGGGGGACATGGCACCTGGACACATCACTTCACATTCTGGTACTTGGTGAGCTGGAGCCCATGGTTTCTCAGACCCTTACGAGCTTCTAGATTCTATGATTCATGTTGTTACTCTGCCAACGACATGTTTTCTTTTGCTTTTCTTTAGAAAAATGATATTTTCCTTCTATCCATTCTAAATGGTTTTTTCTATATTATCAGTTCATAAACAGTAATGATCATATTTTCTAAATTGATGTGAGACATTGTTTATGCATAGCAACCTGGCATAACCAGATTAACAATTACGGCACATGCTGCAAAACCGGGTGGTAACACTTCATTTTTAACTCAATAACCACGATTAAATACGCTTAATGATTATACAACATGGTGAATATGGAAAACTAACAATGGAAGAACCAAGGCATCTTACTCTTCCCACATGTTAAACTCAATCCTCCCCCTTTAACTCGATGGGAAAATGAGAATTAGAATCATGAGAAGCATGAAATGAAGGTCTTAGTTTAAATATACCCTCACATGGCTGCTGGGTCCGTCATTCCTTCTATTGACTATCAGGAAACATATTTCCTTTGCATTATTTCCCATTATTTAGGGTTTGACACCAGATGAAGAAAGTCATTTTATAGCATGAATTTTATACCTAAGAAGTACGGTATACGGCAGCTATACTTTACTGTTTTTCTTATACATCACATTTCCTTAATGACAATGTAGATTTCCAAATTTGTACCTCTGAGATTCAGAGAAAATGTTCAAATAGCACAGTTTCATTATTTTGGGGAACTCCTAAGCTTGTCACAAAAATCTCAGCAATAGTACAGATCTATAAGGTAGAAAATCTATAGATCTGATGGTAATCTTGTCCAAATTCATCCTTTTACAGAAAAGAAAGCCAAAGCCCAGAGAAGCGGAGGAACTTGTCCATGATCAGGAGGATAGGTAATAGCAAAGTCAGGACAGCAAATCAATTGTCAAATACATGGACAGCATATCTAAGTGCAAAGCTTGTTCTCATGGGCTCTGTGTGGCTAAACCTACTGGGATGGTACAATACAGCTCTACAAAGCACTGTGGCCCAGGAGAAGGGCAGGACAAGGGGAACCAAGGCTGAGTGACCACTGACTACGTACCTGACATCGCACTAGGCTATCACAGGCTTCACTTTATTCAACTATTGCAAGAACTCTTAAGAGCTGACCATCAAAATAATAGGAAAATAATCACTAGCTTTAGAATCAGACAGCTTAGATCAAAGTTATAAGTTCAATTTAAGTGGAACTCCTTTCCACTTACCAGTTGTGTGGTTTTAGCCATGATTCAATTCTTTGATCTTCGGTTTCCCCATTTATAGAGAATGAAAATTACGTTATCTCAGCATGTTGTTTTGAGAATTGATGAATTATACAAAGTGTCTTTTGGATCACATGGGATATCACAGGGGCTTAAAAATGACAGCTAACATCCTGATATTACAGATTGAAAAAAAAACATATACTTAGGAGACTTACTCAGAGTCCTTTAATCAATAGATAGAAGTGGTTGAGTCCATTTTCACCCCCAGGCTGACCAATCTAAGATGGGCATTTTTATCTGCAAATTTACATAGTCTAGTGAGATGACAGGATCTTGTGTTAAAACAATCAGTAAACAAGGCAATTTACAAGGTTCTAATATAGTAATTCAAAGTCACCAGGTCCAGTTTTGTGAGATTAAAAATCAGGTTATTGAGATAAAAATTGGTTTCAATAGAAAGTTTCTGAATAAAGGACAGCAGCATTTTGTGGAACAAACACTGTTCAGAGCAGGCCACGTGTCATCGCAGGGAAAATCATTGAGGCAAATGCAGAAGTCACTTTCCCCAAAACCATCTCCTCACAGTTCTCCTAGTTTGAACTACACAATTTAGAACTTGATTGTAGGCTGTCACTGTGGTCTGAATGCATGCATCCATCCAAAATCCCTATGTCAGAATCCTAACCTTCAATGTGATGGTGTTAGGAGGCAAGGCCTCCGGAAGGGGTTAGGTCATGAATGTTACCTCCTGAATAGGATTAATGCCCTTATAAAGGAAATCCCAGAGGGAGACCTCTAGTCCCATCCACCATATGAGAATACAGCAAGATGACTGTCAATGAGGAACGGGCCCTCACCAGATGCTGAATCTGTTTCCACTTTGATCTTGGACTTCCAAGTTCCAGAACCGTGAGCAATACATTTCTCTTGTTTATAAGCCACCCAGTTTACGGTATTTTGTTGTGGGAGCTAGAAAGAACTAAGAAAAGTAGCTAATCCATCATGTTGATGTAGATAAGCTTTGTCTCCCTAACAGTGTTGTAGACAGTGTTGATGGTGAGACAATCACTTTTATTCCTCATAGAAACAGCAAGTGCTGGGCATTTTTTAGAACCATAAACTTTCAGACCTAGGAGCTGTTAAGGTAATTCAGTGGCTTTCAGACATGTTGGTCTCAGAAACCCTTTGCACCTTTAGAAGCTATTGAGGACCCCAAAGAGCTTTTGTTCGTAAGGGATAAATATATACATGCACATAAATATGTATGTGCGCATATACGTGTGTATATGTGTTTATAAGGGATAAATATATACACACACATAAATATGTATGTGTGCATATACGTGTGTATATGTGTTTATAAGGGATAAATATATACACACACATATATATGTATGTGTGCATATACGTGTGTATATGTGTTTATAAGGGATAAATATATACACACACATATATATGTATGTGTGCATATACGTGTGTATATGTGTTTATAAGGGATAAATATATACACACACATATATATGTATGTGTGCATATACGTGTGTATATGTGTTTATAAGGGATAAATATATACACACACATATATATGTATGTGTGCATATATGTGTGCATGTATATGTGTGTATATGTAAGGGATATATACATGCACATATATATGTATGTGCACATATGTGTGTGTACATGTGTGTATATGTGTTTATAAGGGATAAATATGTACACGCATATATAAGTATGTGTGCATATATGTGTGTGTGTACACATGTGTATGTGTTTATAAGAGATAAATATATACACACATTATATATGTATGTGCATGTATATGTATATGTGTATAAGGGATATATATAAAATATATATAAGGGATAAATATATATATAATTTGTTACAGTAAATATATAATTTTATTGTAAATATATATTATATATTGTAATATATTATTGTGAATTATTGTATATTTACAATAATAAAATGAAAAAATGTTGAATATTTAAGTATTCAAAATGAAAATCTATTATATCTTACTATAATCAGCACATTTTATGCAAAATTATTTTCAAAAAAATTTGGTGAGCAGAGTGGCATTGTTTTAGATTTCTACAAATCTTAGTAACCTTGACTTTAATAGAAGAAGGAAAACAATAGAAAACAGCCAGATTCCAACATCTGCTTTTGCTTTCAATTTGTTGCAATATATTACTCTTGGTTTAAGTATATAAAAGAAATCTAGTCTCACAAAAATATGTAGTTGGAAAAGGAGGATGTTTTAATTGCTTTATCAGATAACTGCGAATATTTTTATTTGATACTATATCAAAACCTGACAAGGTTAGTTGTAATGTGCACTCTGAAACCAAATTGATTAATTTTTCATACTCATGAGAGAATGAAAGTACAAAAGGCAAATAACATCTTGATATCATTATGAAAATAGTTTTGACTTTCTAGATGTCCTAAGAAAGGTGCTGGGTACCCCCAGGGTCCTCAGATACACTTTGAGAACCTCTGGTGGAATCATTTCATTGAACAGATATGTAATCATATTGATTGATTTATATGAACTTATGTGATAAAACCCAGTAAGCACTGTTAGTTAACCAATGAATTTCAGTCAAAAACATCTCTGGCCAAGTGTACAGAATGAACAAATATTCTTCTTTGTCCTTTATTTGGGACAGAATCTCGCTCTGTCACCCAGGCTGGAGTGCAATGGCTTAATCTCCACTCACTGCAACCTCTGCCTCCCAGGTTCAAGTGATTCTCATGCCTCAGCTTCCCGAGTAGCTGGGATTACAGGTGTGCACCACCACACCCAGCTAATTTTTGTATTTTTAGTAGAGATGGGGTCACTTTGGGAGGCCAAGGCTGGCGGATCACCTGAGGTCAGGTGTCCCTTCTTTCAAAGCCTGCGCCAGATCTTGGTGAATAAGACTGTAACCCTTCCTAGTTCCTTCATAAGACAGATTGATTTCAAGCATCTCCCCAAATTGAGGACACCCCTGATATGGTTTCATTTGTTCTTTTATATGTTCATTCATTTATTCAACCAGTGTACACAGTGTAGCACTGGAGGAGTTCCCAGTCTGATCGGTTTAGTTAATCACCTATAGATACTCAGAAGGAAACGACAACAGTATCTCTCATAGAGATATGAGAGAAATCTCATCATAGACCAGATCTCCAGGAGCATGGGATGGGAGGTCAAGTCCATAATGGGAGGGGGATGAGTCTACAATGTCTCACCATGGTTTGCTAGTTCCAGATGCTTACCTCACATGTGGACACCCAAGTTATTTCTAGACTGTGCAGTTGTACATGTTGCATTTTTAGATAATTGTCTTTTCTTCCCTTTATTTTGTCTGATCTTTTGCTAGTTAAAAATAGGACCAAAGTAACAGCCAGTCAAGTAACAATGAAAGGCCAGGGTGAAAAAGTCTAAGGTTTGAGAGAATACTCACTTGTATATTTTTTTAAAAAGAAATACAATAAAACCTATTTAATATACTACAATATAATAAAATATTTTTCTTTTCCTCATCTCCCTCTACTGACCCAAGAAAATTCTTTGACCAAAACAGTAATCTTAAGTTTATTTTGTGTAAGTCGGCTACATTATCATTTAAGGATTTTTTTGATGCTTGCTAATACAATCAATGGTGCAGCAGCATTGAATACTATGATTGAACAATTTATTAAAAGTTACAACATGATTGTCTACTTCTATATCTCCTGATCCTGCATTATGTAAGGGAGTATTAAACGGTGCATTTCTGTAAAATACATTCAGCTAACTTTCATTTCTTATTACAAAGCATCCCAAGGACTTGAGTGGCACAAGCTACAGCAGAAACATGTCCTGAGAGGCCTTCTTTTTGCCCAATGATCTAAGAAGGCTGCACCACATTTCATTTCAGAGAGACTTGGTTCAGTTTAACATTATCAGCATCAGAAGCATCACCATCATCATCATTATGACCATCATCATCATCGCCATTAACACCATCAACATCATCACTGTCACCATCATTATCATCATCACCATTAACACCATCATCACTATCACTATCATTATCATCACCATCATTATCACCATCACCATCATTATCACCATCACCATTAACACCATCATCACTATCACTATCATTATCATCACCATCATCATCACCATCATCATCACCATTAACACCATCATGATCACCATCATTATCACCATCACCATTAACACCATCATCACTATCACTATCATTATCATCACCATTATCACCATCATCATCAACACCATCATCAGGATCACCATCATTATCACTATCATCATTAACATCATTAACACCATCATCACTATCACTATCATTATCATCACCATTATCACCATCATCAGGATCACCATCATTATCACTATCATCATTAACACCATCATCACTATCACTATCATTATCAACACCATTATCACCAGCATCAACACCATCATCAGGATCATCATCATTATCACTATCATCATTAACATCATTAACACCATTGTCACTATCACTATCATTATCATCACCATTATCACCATCATCATCAACACCATCATCAGGATCACCATCATTATCACTATCATCATTAACATCATTAACATCATCATCACCATCACCACCATCATCATCACAGATACCAATGCGGGCCCTCTTCACTCTATACCAAGCACTATACTCAGCTTTTGATAATACAATTTTCATCTTTACAGTAATCCTACAAGACAGACATTGTTATTACCCATTTTTTTCAAGTGGAAATAGGCTTAAGAGAGAGTAATTGTCCAAAGTAACAGCCAATTAAAAGTTGAGCAAGGATTAAACTCAAGCCTTTGTGACTGGAGCCATTGTTCTTAATCGTTATGTGACACCAAATAACTCTACTACAAAGAACTCGGAGTGTGCTTCTCTGTCCTACCATGAAATATTTCATAGCTTGAAAGCTTTGTTATGAATTGTATGCATGTCATGTTGTGGTTTCAATATTCTATGTCTTTTCACAGTAAATGCATTACACATAATGAGAATTAGGGATACTTGAACTCAGTGCAAATATATGTGAATAAAATGCACCTCTCACACTCTTTGAAAAGGCCACTTTGCAGCACAACATAACCTTAATGAGCTTTAATTGTGTTAAAGAAGAGGGTTTTTCAGAACTCTAGTTGGCCATGTAAGTTATTTTCTTTATAGTGTACCACCTTCATACCAGTTCCCACAGACCTCCAAGAAAAGAACATAACAAGGTTGGGTGCAGTGGCTCACGCCTATAATTTCAGCACTTTGGGAGACTGAGGCAGGTGGATTACCTGAGGTCGGGAGTTCAAGACCAGCCTGGCAAACATGGCGAAACCTCATATCTACTAAAAATACAAAAATTAGCCGTGTGTGGTAGTGGGCACCTGTAATCCCAGCTACTCAGGAGGCTGAGGCAGGAGAATCACTTGAACCTGGTAGGTTGCAGAGCTTGCAGGGAGCCGAGATCGTGCCATTGCACTCCAGCCTGGGTGACAGAGTGAGACTTTGTCTCAAAAATAATAATAATAATAATAATAAAAAGAACATAACAGAGGACTGTTTGGAATGCAGTCGTGTTTGGTCTGAGGCTGGCTCAAAAGAGATATTGTAGGAGGAAGTGCAGAAATAGGTGTGTAGACAAGAATGAATGAAGCACCCACTTCTCATGGAAACCTGTTAGTGAAAATATTGTGGGATTCCACATCTCAGGATCAATTTCCTTCCATCCAATATTCTAAAGCTGCAGCTTGTGGGAGGTTGATCTAGCTTCTGTCATTGAGGCGATGATTACTCAGATTTTTCTTCTAAAATGGCTATGGAATTAAAAACTGCTCATATATAAACAGAAGCTAACCTGTTCTAATCAGCTCCCTAATCTTGATCTTAAAAGTGAAGAATTTGTCCTGGCAAGAGAAGAGAGATCCTGATTTACTCCTGAGCTGATTTTCTTTGCTCCTTTCAGGAGACTAAGCTATGTCACATTACAGTTTCTGTTGAGTCTTTCCCCTTTGTTCTTCCAATCTGTTTTCTCCTGTAATAGGCAATCACTGCTAGAAAGGGAGTGGGGTAGGTTTCTTACTCTAGACTTTCTGTTGGTTATCTATATCATGGTTATTTTCCTTAAGCAAGTTCCTGTGTTTGCCCGACTCCTTCTCAAACTGGGAACAGATTTTATTGAAGTATTACGGAGTCAGTAACGCTATAATTCCTAGCTATATTTCCTTTTCATTGGTGAGCAGATTCATGGACTAGACTAAGGAGAAAGTTTCCCCACTGTCGTAACCTAATAAATCGGAAACGTGCATAGACTACTGTGTCTCTTTGATCCACTGACCTTAGCCAGTAACAGTGCGTGAAAAATACAGTTAAACCATAAGGGTATCTCGAGAAGCTATCCTCAGCTGGGCCACAAAAAAATTACTAAAACGTATTTAGTACAAAATCAGAGAAGCTGCATTATTGCCTACAAATATCACTTTTATCCCCAACAAAATGATTTGCTGTCCTTGGGTCTCTTATGTAAGCTTAACCTAGAGTCTCTAGTCTTTTTTTTTTTTTTTTTGAACTTCATTTGACACTTTCTAACATATTTAAAATAAAGCCCCCTTGAGTTCTCTCTTTCCACAAACTTAGTGGCTTAAGTAACAGGAGTTTATTTTCTCACAGTTCTGGAGGCCGAAAGCCCGAGATCAAGGAGCCGGCTGGGCTGGATTCCTCTGAGGCCTCTCTCCCTGGCTTGCAGACGGCACCTTCTCACTGTGTCCTCACATGATCTTTTCTCTGTGGCAGTGCATTCCTGGTGTCTCACTGTGGGTCCAAATGTTCTCTTCTCATAAGGACACCAGTCATATTAGAGTAAGTTCCACCTCTATGGCCTCATTTTAACCTAATTACCTCTTTAAAGGCCCGATTTGCAGAGACAGTCACATTCTGAGGTCCTCACAACCAATTAGCTCTTCAACATATGAATCTGGGGTGGGGAGTCCACACAACACTCCGCCCTCCCAGTCATCCACATCGCAGTAAATTAGATCTCCATCTACTCAGTTCTGGGGAAGGGGGCAGAGCTGAAGTTATCCTCAATTTTCACTTTCCTTCATATTTCACGAGCAGTCTATTAGTGCACCCTGTGGGCTTTAACTTCAAAACACTGAATCCAGCTCTCTTCTTTCTCCTTCCTCCCTCTCTCCCTCTCTCCCTCTCTCCCTCCCTTCCTTCCTTCCTTCCCTGCTTACATCCACCACCCAGGTCCAAGCCACCATCAACTCTCCCATACCTCCTCTTTGTGTTTCCAGTTTTTTCCCCTAGAGCTTCTCCAAGTATAAGCAAAATTATCTTTTAAAAAATGTGAATCATTCTTGCAGGAGTAAGATGGTATCTCATTGTAGTTTTGATTTGCATTTCCCTGATCATTAATGATGTTGAGCATTTTTTCATATGTTTGTTGGCCATTTGTATATCTTCTTTTGGGAATTGTCTATTCATGTCCTTAGCTCACTTTTCGATGGGATTGTTTGTTTTTTTCTTGCTAATTTGTTTGAGTTCATTGTAGAGTCTGGATATTAGTCCTCTGTCAGATGTATAGATTGTGAAGATTTTCCCCCACTCTGTGGGTTTTCTGTTTATTCTGCTGACCTTACCTTTTGCCCCGCAAAAGCTCTTTAGTTTAATTAAGTCCCAGCTATTAATCTTTGTTTTTATTGCACTTACTTTTGGGTTCTTAGTCATGAAATTCTTGCCTAAGCCAATGTCTAGAAGGGTTTTTATGATGTTATCTTCTAGAATTTTTATAGTTTCAGGTCTTAGACTTAAGTCCTTGATCCATCTTGAATTGATTTCTGTATAAGGTGAGAGATGAGGATCCAGTTTCGTTCTCCTACATGTAGCTTGCCAATTATCCCAGCAAATAAATGTTGGCGTGCATGCAGTGAACTGGGAATACTTCTACACTGCTGGTGAAAATGTAAACTAGTGCAACCACTATGGAAAACAGTGTGGAGATTCCTTAAAAAACTAAAAGAATTGGCTGGGCGTGGCAGCTCATGCCTGTAATCCCAGCACTTTGGGAGGCTGAGGCAGGCGGAACACAAGGTCAGGAGTTCAAGACCAGCCTGGCCAATACGGTGAAACCCTGTCTCTACTAAAAATACAAAAATTACCCAGGCGTGGTGGCATGTGCCTGCAGTTCCAACTACTTGGGAGGCTGAGGCAGGAGAATCACTTGAACCCAGGAGGCGGAGATTACGGTGAGCTGAGATCACACCATTGCACTCCAGCCTGGGCAACAGAGTGAGACTCCATCTAAACAAACAAACAAACAACAAAATACACCAAAAGAACTACCATTTGATCTAGCAATCCCACTACTAGGTATTTACCAAGAAGAAAATAAGTAATTATATGAAAAAGATACCTGCACACACATGTTTATAGCAGCACAATTCACAATTGCAAGAATATATATAATATATATATTATACATATATATGTATTTTATATATACATAATATATATAATATATATTATACATATATATGTATTATATATATATACGAAGGAATACTACTCAGCCATAAAAAAGGAATGAATTAATGGCATTTGTAGCAACCTAGGTGAGATTGGAGACTATTATTCTAGATGAAGTAACTCAGGAATGGAAAACTAACCATCATATGTTCTCACTCATAAATGGGAGCTAAGCTATGAGGATGCAAAGGCATAAGAATGACACAATGGCACAACGGACTTTGGGGACTCAGGAGGAAAGAGTGGAAAGGGGTGAGGAATAAAAGACTATAAATTGAGTGCAGTGTATACTGCTTGGGCGATAGGTGCACCAAAATCCCACGAATAACCACTAAAGAACTTACTTGTGTAACCAACCACTACCTGTTCCCCAATAACCTATGGAAATAAAATAATTTTTTAAAAAGTGAATCCGATCACAACACACTCCTGCTCAACATGACCTGGCAGCTTTCCACGGAACTGAGGATAAAGCCCCAACTCCTACCCATGGACTCCAGCCCACATCCTCTCCTACCGCTCCCACCCCACAGACTTGTGGCTGCCTCTCCACATGTCAGATTTTTCCATCCATTGCTTCCCCTGCCTGGGACCAACTTTTTGAGACCTGCTCCCACTCCTTTTGGGCACCTCGGGATTCACATGTCAATTCTCTAGAGAGGACCTCTCTGGCCACCCTCTCTGAGACAGCCATCTTCCTCCACGGCTCATCCTTCCCTGACTCCTGATTCTGCCTCATGCCGCAGCCCTGGCTGCTTTTTGAGCTCACTGGGTGCCCGTCTCCTTAACCAGCAGCCACGTGCCTGCTCTGCTAGGATGTCCACTCCTTACGGTAGATGCTTCACCCGTTGTGTTCACAGCTGAATCCACAGTTGTGAACGCGTTTGGCATACAACAGAAACTCAATAAATATTATTGAATGAGAAATGAACAGAATGGGCTGTAAGATACAGAACGATGACAGCAATTCTGTAAAATATTCATTCCCTCAGTCTGTGCTACAGACTTGATTTACACCCAAACATTAAAAAACACCTCCTTTGCAGTGACATTCCAGTGACATTCCTCAGTATTTATCACAGCCAGCCCAGCTTCTGCTCAAACCTGTTTCTCATTCACCCCTGAGCAGCTGTCCTCTCTGTCCTCTACCTCTTCCTCTCTTTTCTCCCATCACAATTACCTCCACTTCTCTGACTTTGCTTAGGTCATTTCTTCCGGAATTGCCTCTTGCAACAAACTTCTTTGACTGCCCCAGCGGCCCCTCCCTTTCCAAAACACCTGCATATTAGTTTGGCACTTACGAATCCAGTATTTCCTATTTGTCCATATTTTATTCTGAAGGAGACTGTAAGCTCCGTAGAGGGAGGACCTAGGTGCAGTCACTTCTGTTAAAATGCTTGCTTTGAAAATGTGACTTTGTTTCAATGTAATTGATAGATTAGAGAACAATTTGAGCATCAGGTTAATTTCCTGTTCGCATATGTGTGATTTGGTCTGGGAGAAGCACTAAGTGAATGCAGAAAAACTGCTTGCAGCCCAGGAATTGAGTCTGTAGAAATTCATAAAACACATGGCTGCACACCATCAAGCTGCCACTGCCTGGGTTCTCCGCGTGTGACAGGCCACACGCATCCATGTCTGGTGTTACTTCCGTCCGATTTCAACACCTTTGCTTCTACCTCTTCCCAAACACTCACAACTATAGCCTTTTCAGCTCTTACTCCTCCGAGTGAACTCTGGGGCTTTTTTCAAGGTGAAGTGCCATATATCTTGTAGTTTCAATGTATTTCTTAACCATATAACTTGTGTGAAACTATGCTACCGATTTTTACTATGTTCCTTTTATTTTTCACTGACAACATATTTAAATGTTGTGTCCATAACCCCATTTCTCTCATTACTGTTGTGTTTTTATTGGTGTGATTTTGTATAATGTGGTGGTTTTTAAGGAATACACGTTTTCTTAGAGCAGAACTCTGTATATTTCTTAACTATGCACCCCTGTTCCAGGGGCCCTGAGGGAGCCAGCACTCCCAGATACATTTTACTGATTGTTTACTTATTTTGTTAAAACGCACTTGGGTATGATCCTATTCCTTTGCACTGTCCTATACCATTTATTTGTTGCTTTTGCTATTGGTTGTGGAGCATGATAAAACACCAACAAAACCCCTTGAACTAATAGGTAAAATGCACACACTCCTATAACAACGTCAGCCTCCCTGGTCTGCTCTCCTTCCACGGGATCTCAGTTACTGTTCAGGTTCTGTGGTGAATTTGCTGTGATTTTTGGTGGGGAGCATAAATCTCACTGAGTCTTGTTTTTTCATCTCTCAAACAGGTATGATAAAGCCAGAAACTGAATTGTTATGGGGATAAAACAAGATATGTATGAAAGCAATTTAACATCTGTTTGTTTTACTGCATTTCACTAAAACACAATCTGAATGTACTTAGAATCTGGAAGAGTCACTTGGATAGGTATGAAAAGTGGGGCAGCACCTGGCAGCAATTCATCCTCTCCTCCCCTCCCCTCCCCTCGCCTCCCCTCCCCTCGCCTCGCCTCATCTCTCCTCTCCTCCTCATGCTCACTTTCTTTAAGTTCCACGTGTTGCCCCACAATATATGTAATTTCTAGTGGTGCCTTTGGCTTTTCAGGCTTTAAAACTACTGCATTGGGAAATGACAGCTAGAAATGATGTCAAGTGGTTTGCCCTTTGATATTTGGGGACAAAGGAGAGGAAAAGCTAAGATTCAAGAAAACAAATGGATCTGGCTGATGCCAAGGATCTCTGCTAACCAACAGAAGCCAAACAAGGTCATGTGGCCGTGCCATTTACTCCACTAAATTGCACAAGCCATTTGTCCCCATGTGGCTGTCTTACTCAAATAGTGGGAACCATTACCTTCTATCTTATTTGATGGCCTTCCTCATTTGGGTTTGGAGTTGAATTTGCATATTCTGTTTATTATTTATTTATTTGTTTATTTTTGAAATGGAGTTTTCACTCTTGTTGCCCAGGCTGGAGTGCAGTGGCGCCATCTTGGCTCACTGCAATCTCTGCCTCCCAGGTTCAGAAAATTCTTCTGCCTCAGCCTACCAAGTAGCTGGGATTACAGGTACATGCCACCACAACCACTAATTTTTTTGTATTTTTTAGTAGAGATGGAGTTTTGCCATGTTAGCCAGGCTGGTCTTGAACTCCTGACCTCAGGTGATCCACCTGCCTCAGCCTCCCAAAGTGCTGGGATTACAGGTATGAGCCACCCGCACCAGACCGCTTTTGAATATCCTAAATGGGAGACCTGCCTTCATAGGCCGAAGGGAATCCACATCCCCAGAGGGCAGATGAGAAGATGCTGATGGGGAGGGTGTGGTTGGAGAGGAGAGCAAATCGAGAAGTTTCATTACAACAGGTAGGAATAGCCTCTGGAATTCTGCTAAAGAACCCAAGCAGGAAGATCCCTTTTGGGCAGGAGCACGAGACCAGCCTGGGCAACATAGCAAGAACTCATCTCTACAAAAAAATGTTTTTAAAAATTAACTGGGCATAGTGGCACATGCTACTCAGGAGGCTGAGGTGGGAGGATCGTTTGAGTCCAGGAGATTGAGGCTGCAGTGAGCTATGATCACACCACTGCTTTCCAACCCAGGCAACAGAGTGACACACTGTCTCCAAAAAAAAAAAAAAAGAAGAAGAAGAAAAAGAAAAAGAAAAAAGAACCCAAGGGGGTATTTCATGCTGTCACTCTAAAGCCTGGCATTTTCTAGATGCACTTGACCTCTCTAAAGTGAGGCTGAGAAGGAACTATGGTGGCAATTCCCAGCTGGAGCACTTCCTAACATCTTACCAGAATCTCAGGCTGACATCTGAAATGCACAAAACCTTGCTCCAGTAAATGAATGCCTTGGGGTTAGCAAGTGTTCATCAAGAACGACCTACTGAGAATCAAGAATCTAAGTTTCTCTCCTTTCCACAATGACGATTCTCAAAGGGGACTTACCACAGTGTAGGAGCATCACAGCTGCTTCCTTTGTTATTTGGTTATGATCTGAGAGTTTGGAAAAAATATTTAAGAACAAAAGAAGGCAGAGCCACTGGGAAACAAACCCAAATTCTGTCATGATTCTGTTCATAATTTGGAGGCTACAGATAGGTGGGTGAGCTCTGGTTCAGAAATCTTTAAAGATATTTGGAAGAAACGTGTTTTCAAATGTCAGGCTTCCTTTCCATGCGCCCGTCATGCAGACTGATCGTTTTCCGTGACGGCGTCCAGTTTCCATTTGGTTCCACAGCTGTGATAAAAGGCAGTGGGCCACTGTGCTGCCCTCTGCAGAGCTGGAGGTGCCTGCCTTCTGCAGGGGCCCCTGCATGGTGTACTTACTAAATGGATCAATATTTTGCACACTGTAGTTTATGAAACCTTTCCACTAATCAAGATAAATTACGGCCACTACTGGACTTTTTTAAAAGCCAATCCAATAATTTATTCCTTAAATTGGGTCTCATAATTCATCAGGAAGTGGTTTCTCCTCTTATAGTCAGACTTTAATCAAATCATGTTCGAGTCTACAGTGGAATATATCTTCCCTCTATCCATTCTTAGATTTCAGACACAATTACAGTTTTGCTTCATTCTTACAAAAATAATGCTATAGGTTATAAAGCATTTTGTGCTTTTCATAGTGTGTTTTCACATATTTATCTCATGTGGTCTTCAGGAAAACTGGTAAAGAGCGCAGATATTACTCTTCTTATTTTATAGGTGTTGAAACAAGGAGAAGTTAAGAGGGGTGAGTAAAATAAAACACCAAGTATTTATTGGACATAGTAACCAGGTCTTCTAAGTCATTTATTTGACAGACAATTTTTCCTATTATTTTAAGTGTCTACTATGTAGTATTGTCTTCTAAGTGTCAAAGCATTGTGAAACAATAGAACATTCAAGCGCTGTGGCATAAAAATTCTGGAAACATCTAGTTTCTGTTCTATGACAGGATTGACCGACCATGTACTAGTCAGGGAGGGCGGACTGAAGACAAAAGGAAAGAAAAAGGCAGAGGGGGACTATGCTCTTCCCACAGGGCAGGAGGAGGGGAGAGATGAGACGCCTGGGCCTCCCCCACGTCTGCCTGGTTCAAGGGTAACACCTGCTCCCTCCTGGCTTCCAGGTGTGCTCTGCCATTCCCGCACCGCAGAATTCAAAGAGCCACCTCCTTTCCCCCAGTGCTGGGAGTGGCTCAGCCTCTCCAAATTTCACATTTCACTGGCGCTTCCTCTCCACACTGCTGGAGTGTAATTCATCTAAGCCTGCTGCCTTGTCAACCTTCAGATAACTCTAATTGTCTAACTATCCTCTCTGGCATAACATAAAACCTTTTAACATTTCACACTGCCCCTAGGAAAGTGGATTTCTGTTTCCAGAATGTGACCTTCAGTTCTTCTTTCTTGACACAGAGGCAGGCAGCTCACTGGACCTCAGCCCCAGCACCCCTCCACCACAGCCGCCTGTGCCTCCACCCCTCGGACGGACCCTGTAACTCTCTGTCTGAATAGACTAGCTGCCCTAAGCAAACTGCTGGCACATGCCTTTATTCATTTGTTAACATCATCCAGAATTGTCTACATCTTTATTTTTTTGCCCATGTGGTTCTCTTCATCACTCTCCTTTTCTTTCGTTTTGCAATTCTCTTTAGTTTTGCAAAAGGAAAATTTGCAAATTTTCCTTTGCAAATTGCAAAGGAAATACAATTTGCGTTTCCTTTTCCCTAATAATGTATTCCTCCTACACTTATTCCTCTCCTTAGCTTTCAACATGCTCATTGTCCTACCTTTGAATCTTGCAATTGAACCTTACTTCAGACAGTCTCTTGCTCTCATGATCATTAAAATAGGCCATGTATGTTCCTTCTCTCATTGAAGCTCGTATTTTTGTTTTAAAATTCCTAACCCAGTGAAAATGTGACAATTTCCTCTAACCTCCCTGTTCTTAAGTCTTCTAGTAATCCACTTACTACCCATACACATCAAGTCAAGCCCTGTCTCCCTCCTTGGTGAAATCACTCATTACATTAAGAACCAAGCCCACTGCCCACCCCACTACATACACAAAATAGCCCAAGGAGGCAGCTAATGTAATTAAGATTGTGCATCTCCATCTCAGAACTCCTGCTTACCCGCTTGGATTTTTCTCAGAAGCTCAGTACAGCCACAGTGTTTTCATTCGAAATTCATGATGGGCTATGACACATGCTATCACTTCATGGATTTTAAATTGCAAACTAAATCTATAAATAAACAAAGTAAGCCTACCTCTAATTACACCTACTATGCATATTATTACAGTGAAATTCTTTAGATTTGGCTTTGTAATACAACAAAATCAAACAACAATATAAAAGAAATTTTCAACTTCAAGCAAAATAAGGGCAAAGCTATGGCCTTGATGGTACATGGATAGATTGGGCAAAGCTCTATCATCTTGGGCAATTTGTTAAACCCCCATTTCTTCATCTATATAGAACAGGGATAATAATAGCTGCTGTGATAAATAAATGTGGTTGATACAGTTTGGCTGTGTGTCCCCACCCAAATTTCATCAAATTGTAATCCCTATGCGTTAGAAGAGGGGCCCGGCGGGAGGTGACTGAATCATCAAGACAGACTTCCTTCTTGCCGTTCTTGTGATAGTGAGTTTTCATGAGACCTGGTTGCTTTAAAGTTTGCAGCACCTCCTGCTTTGCGCTTGCTCTCTCTCGCTCTCCCTCTCACCTGCCACCATGTGAAGACACAGTTGCTTCCCCTTTACCTCCCACCATAATTGTGTTTCCTAAGGCCCCCTGGCCATGCTTCCTGTTAAGCCTGTGGATCTGTGACTCAATTAAACCTCTTTTCTTCATAAATTATCCAGTCTCAGGTAGTTATCACAGTGTGAGAATGGACTAATTCAGTAGCAGTATGTTAAAATATCTGGAATATTGTTCCTTTTTCTAGAGAGCACATTATCATTATCATCATTGTCATCATCAATCATCATTATCTTCATCATCATCATCATGTTTACCAGTATGGTTTATACCATATAAGTTTAGTCATATACATATTCTTAGAAAATTGCAAATATTTTTAAAAATCGTGATATGTGAAATCACGTCTAGTCAAGTCATTTCTAACTCACAAACAGGATGCAAAGGTGAGACTTTTAAAAATACTAATCCATAAGGTTAGTGTGTAGGTAGTATGTATCAAGCATTATTTAATTTGAGTACCTTCTTGCTGCAAGGGCTTTCTTGACAGGCTTTCCCCTGCAGGTAGGGAAGACTGTCCCCTCACCCCCCACACCTGTATCACCTGCATTCACTTTTGCTTATTTCAGCCTGCTCCAGGTACCTACCAGGGAAGGTGTGAAGTGT
The DNA here is from genome assembly GCF_000001405.40 of Homo sapiens. Classification (NCBI taxonomy): domain Eukaryota; kingdom Metazoa; phylum Chordata; class Mammalia; order Primates; family Hominidae; genus Homo; species Homo sapiens. The sequence goes on along the minus strand of NC_000007.14, from coordinate 154,253,277 downwards.
CTCATTAACACATGTCCCACTCACCAACAACCTCTCTAAGGGAAGCTGACTTGTTGCCCTCTTTTCTTTTCACAGTCAACTAATCTAGAGAAGAATATGAGACTGTTGCCTTTTTTCTTGGCAGAGAATGGTTCCTCAGACAATGATGTGATCGCTCTATGTCACTCACTCCCTTTGGCCTTGGAATTAATTGTATATACATGCGTTTACTCTGCACAGAATGTTTAAGATTATTTTACTGCTTATTACAGGCAGCCCTTCTTTCCATGTTTACCCAATATTCCTTGCATTATCTTCTAATTTGTCTTAGTAGAGATTTTTAAATTTTTATTTTTATTCTGGCAGACTAGACTTCTCTTAAACAGCAAGGAAAGCTTTCAAAGGAGCTGCCACGTAGACTCTTCCCATGAGTTAAGGTTTTTATAGTTATGTCTAGGGACAGATGGATCTCAAGAACAATTTTGACAGTAGTTGCTGTTGACTCTGCCCATGGGGCAGTGAAATTGGCAAAGACAATTCACTTTTATTCTAGATTTGTTAGTCTTACTTTTCCAACTCATTTGGACATTCTGCAAGCATAAATCTAAGTCTCTCATGTAGTTTTTGTTTTTTTAAGCTGCCATAATCCATACATCCTAATGATTCTCCTGCTTTGATAACACAGCCACAACTGATCAGGAATTAACAATGACATTTGTTCATATGCTATTCCCAGAGGCAGTGTGGGGTGGAGGTAGAACAGGGTTGGTGGTGGGATCAGTCTGCCCAGGGGTGAGAAATAAGACAGTACATTATCTATAGAGAATTTAAAACAATAATAGATCTGACTAAGGGTCAGTCTGCTTTGTGTTCGTATCATAGCCAGCAGTTCTAAACAAGGTGAGTGACCAAATGCCCTCCTTGCCTGGGAAGGCAGCTCCCCTGGTCTCTGTCTCCAATCCTGGTTCACCACTGAACAGGAGGAATTTTATCAAAGATTAGCTTTATCTCAAATATTCTTCCTCCATTTCATCACAACCACCACCACCGTGCGCATGCGCGCACACACACACACACACACACACGTGACATTGTGAGGCCATGATTTTCAATTTAGCTGAAGTAAATAAATGTGCTCACCCTGTTATAGAATACAACCAATAGGATGTGTTAATTGAATATCTTCATTTTTATGCAAGAATGAGTCTCTCTACCATGAAAGGCCACTGCTAGACTGTACATTGCAAGCCTTGGCTTCTACATATGTTATTTCACAAGGTGCTCTTGTTCTTATTTGAACCACACTATTTCCATCTGTAAATGATTAATATTAACTGTCAGCTTGACTGGAATGAAGGATGCAAAGTATTGTTTCTGGTGTGTCTGTGAGGGTGCTGCCAAAGGAGATTAACATTTGAGTCAGTGGACTGGGAGAGGTAGACCCACCCTCAATGTGGGTGGGCACCATTGGATGTAATCAACTGCCAGCATGGCAGTAAGGCAGGCAGGAGAAGGTGGGAGAAGCCGACTTGCTGAGACTTCCGGCCTTCATCTTTCTCCCATGCTGGATGCTTCCTGTCCTCAAACATCAGACTCCAAGTTCTTTGGCTTTTGAACTCTTAGACTTACACCAGTGGCTCTTGGGCCTTCGGCCACAGACTGAAGGCTGCACTGTCGGTTTCCCTACTTTTGAGGTTTTGGGACTCGAACTGAGCCACTACTGGCTTCCTTGCTCCTCAACTTGCAGATGGCCCACCGTGGGACTTTATCTTGTGATGGTGTGAGTCAGTTCTCCTTAATTAACTCCCTTTTATATATGCATATATCCTATTAGTTCTGTCCCTCTAGAGAACCCTGACTAATATGCCATCTTATCTCCCTAGGAGACCTGCACAGCCTTGTTGACTCTGTCTTTTAGGTGGTCAGTTCCTTAATGGCTTCACGGCTTTGCTAGTTTCTCCCATATCTGTTTTTCCATCATTCTCAGAGCATAGCATTCACCAAAGCTCATCATCTTCCAAACCATCTGTAGCTCTTCCTCTGAAATAAGTAGCTCCCGTGAAACATCCTAATGTTAATTTGGGCAGATACAGTACACCTTTCTTTGATAACTTTCTCCCAGGCTGCTATAAGTCTCTAATTATTCTTGATCGTTAAGGGAAGAGAAACTCAAAAATAACAGCATTCCCGCAGTCAGCCAGACTCTTATAAACATTTTCTCATTTGCTCTGCAAAATACTTTGTGTGATTATTCCCATCCACAAATGGAGAAACTGAGGCTCAGACAGGTACCATAATTTCGGGAAGTCCATTCACTTGGGTGGGGCTCGTCTTTGGGACTAGGGACGCCCCTTTTGAATCTCAGCACTGCCCACATTGCTTCTCAATACTCCTAGATGTTGTTCTTTACACAGCCAAGCTTTGGAATTTTGGATCTGATGGACTAGCCTATGTGCCTCCAGGCAACGATTACCCTCAGCACGCACCCCACCCCCAGCACGATGCCTTCAATCCTGGCTCTTCTAGCCTCTTTTCTCACTTCTCTCTTTTCCTTCGTCTTGACGGGGACTTCATTCAGTCAAGAGACTAATTTTTCTCTTTGCCAGGTATAAGCCACCAGGGAAGAATGCATTTAGAAACAGGCAAGACATTTTTTTCCATTAAATAAAGCTGTCTGAATTCATCTTTGGGAAAAGCATTTCTTTCTAACTAGGGAGAAACACCCATTTTTCTACAGTTCCTACACAGGATCAGAAAAAGTAAGGAAATCCATTTGTCTCCTACTTGAATTCACAGACAGAAAATGAAGCCAACCGTGCCTTTGTCAAAGACTTCTGAGATAAACTCTCTGGGCAATGCACACCAGTAGCCAGCCCCAGCGCACGCACCCACACGCCCTCCCAAATGCAGGCCCACACTGCAGGTGTTGACATGGGGAGATCATTCCTGTTTCCATTAGAGGAGATGGCATGAAAAATGAGAACCAAGGCTGCCCATCTGTAGCAGGACGAGCCACAGACAAAACCCCTCAGACACCGAGTTGAAGAAGGAAGGGCTTTATTCGGCTGGGAGCATCAGCAAGACTCACGTCTCAAAAACCAAGCTCCCGAGTGAGCAATTCCTGTCCCTTTTAAGGGCTCACAACTCTAAGGGAGTCCGCTTGAGAGGGTCGTGATCAATTGAGCAAGCAGGGGGTATGTGACTGGGGGCTGCATGCACCGGTAATTAGAACGGAACAGAACAGGACAGGGATTTTCACAGTGCATTTTCACAATGTCTGTAATCTATAGATAACATAACCGATTAGGTCAGGGGTTGATTTTTAACTACCAGGCCCCGGGTGTGGTACCAGGCTGTCTGCCTGTGGATTTCATTTCTGCCTTTTAGTTTTTACTTCTTCTTTCTTTGGAGGCAGAAATTGGGCATAAGACAGTATGAAGGGTGGTCTCCTCCCTTACATCCAGCCTCCATCATCTAGACTCTAGAGGATCTGAGACAAAATTCTAGCAGCCCACCAAGCTTCTGAAATCATATGCAAGATTGTGTGCATATGTGTATAGTCACATGGAAATGCATCTGGGGACAGGCTCCGTGGCATTGTACACATTCTCAAGAAGCCATGACCTACAAAAGGCTGTGAGTAGCATACTTTTACCTGGAATCACACAAAAGCTCCCCTCCTCCCCACTGCCAAGACAAGCACAAAACAAAATCCCTGAAACACTGAAGCATGATTTTTATAACAGCTGAAGAAAATACTCATGAAATAATCAGGATTCTTTGATATTTAAACTCTCTCAAGTATCTTAGAGAGAAAGGCAGAACACCGGATGTTTGCAAGAGTAATTATTTGTGCAGTTGTCAGGTAATCTTTTCAAAAGCAATTTTATTATCTCCCAGGCTAATAGTTTCTCCGGGTTAATTAATAGGTTAATTGATATTTTTCATTCGCTATAAAATTAAAGTTCCTTTCCTAAAGAAAGTTAGATGTGATTTCTAAAAACAAATAGGATGCTTGTCTTTGTGCTTGACGCACAAAACCAGAAAATGGCCTCCTGCTAATATGTTGAAAGAGAGAGCTGCATTTTTGACTAAGCTATTTACCCTTTACTCCCATTAGTTTCCTGATGAACACCAGTGCTTTGTCATAATCTGAAATGGTAACAAAAAAGCAGATTATAATCATTGTCAGCCCCACCGTGAGTTTTCAACACCCGTAAGTCCCCAGATTCTTATCTATGGCTCTTACAGCTACCCTATTCATAGCCATATTCTAGGATCTGGGTAACCCAGTTTTATAATTAATAGGCTTAAGAAAGGAGGCACATGCCAAGACATGTCCCCTTTTTCTTTCCTTGAAGTAAAATTTATATACATTGAAATGCACAGATTTTAAATGTACAGTTCAATGCCTTTTCTTTTTTTTTTTTCCTGAGACGGAGTCTCCCTCTGTTGCTGAGGCTGGAGTGCAGTGGCGCAATCTCGGCTCACTGCAACCTCCGTCTCCTGGGTTCAAACGATTCTCCTGCTGCAGCCTCCTGAGTAGCTGGAATTACAGGTGCACACCACCACATCCGGCTAGCTTTTGTATTTTTAGTAGAGATGGGATTTCCCCATCTTGGCCAGATTGCTCTCAGACTCCTGATGTCAAGTGATCCACCTGCCTCGGCCTCCCAAAGTGCTGGGATTACAGGTGTGAGCCACGGCGCCCAGCCTAATTCAATGACTTTTGACAAACATACATGATCATTTGGTGCATACCCTCAAATGTATATATTCCAATTAAGACAGAAGACATTTTCTCATTTCCCAATGTATGTGATTTCCCCTGACAAGTCAATTCCACCCCCACCCTCCCATAATAATCACTGTTCTGACTTCTCTCCCTGCTCTGGGGCTTCTTACATACTGAATTACAGAGCACGTCCTTTTTGCCTGGCTTCCTTCATGCCAGGTGTGAAATTCACGTCTAAGACTCATCCCTGCTGTGACATGTATTAGAAGCGCAGCCTTCTTTCTTGTTCACTTTAATGGTCTGAAAGTTTGTGCCCCATCAAAATTCCTAGGTTAAAGTCCTAACCCCCATTGTGATGGTATTTGGAGGTGGGGTCTTTGAAAGCTGTTAGATCAAGGAGGGGGAGCCTTTGTGAATGGGATGAGTGCACTTACAAAGGGGCCCCAGAGAGCTCTCTTGCCCTCTTTCTGCCATGTGAGAACACCGTGAGAAGGCAGCCTACAACCTGGTAGAGGGCCCTCATCAGAACCCAACCATGCTGACACCCTGGTCTCGAACTTCCAGCCTACGAAATGGTGAGAAATACATTTCTTTTGTTTATAAGCCACCCAGTCTATGGCACTTTGTTATATAGCAGCCCAAACCGACTAACACAATAACAGTTCACTGTATGAATAGATCACAATTATTTATTATCTGGTTGAAAGATACCTGGCTTCTTTCTAGTTTGAAGGTATTATGAGTAGGGCTGCTATAAACTTTCCTGTACAAGTCTTTTCATGGACATGTTTTCATTGCTGTTGGGTAAATACCTAAGAGTGCAGTAGACTGCAGTCGGGCACTATATACTGGGCTTTAGAAGAAACTTTCAAACAATTATCCAAGTAGTTGTACTTGTTGTAGAGCTCTCTCCCACCAAGAATGTATGAGCGTTTGTGTTGTTTTACATCCCTGCCAATATTTGGTGCTGTCAACCTTTTTGATTATAACCATTCCAGTGGGTTTTAAAATGTTCCCTCAGTATGGTTTTAGCTGGCATTTCCTGGTGAGTAATAATTTTAGGCACCATTTCATGTGCTTATTGACCATTTAGATATCTTCTTTGGTAAAGTGCCTGTTCAAGTCTTTTGTCCATTATAAATTATTGATTTGTAGGAATATTTATATATTGTAGATACAAGTCCTTTGTCACACAAATGGAATTGAATATAATTTTTCTAATATGTTACTTGACGATTCTTTTTCTTTTTTGAGACTGAGTCTCACTCTGTCGCCCAGGCTGGAGTGCAGTACTGCAATCTTGGCTCACTGCAACCTCCACCTCCCAGGTTTAAGGGATTCTCCTGCCTCAGCCTCCCATGTAGCTGAAACTACAGGCACACACCACCACTCCTGGCTCATCTTTGTATTTTTAGTAGAGATGGGGTATCACCATGTTGGCCAGGCTGGTCTCAAACTCCTGACCTCAAATGATCCGCTGACCTCGGCCCCCCAAAATGCTGGGATTACAGGCGTGAGCCACTGCACCTGGCCCTTGATGATTCATTTTAGCAATGTCTTTTGATGAGCAGAAATTTTTATCTTGATAAAGTCCAATTGATCAATTTTTTTATGGTAGGAACTTTTTCGGTTCTACTTGAGAAGTCTTTACCAGCACAAAAGTTGTAACATTTTCCATTATTTTCTTCCACATGCTTCCTAGTTTTAGCTTTTATATTTAGATATATGATCCATCTAAAATTAATTATTGTGAGGTAGAGGTTAAAGTTCATTTTTCCCCATAATTTCATCTAGGCCTTCCTACTTTATCAAAAATCAATGGTTGTATATGTGTATGTCTAATTCTGGACTCTTCAGAAATGAGTTCCGTTGATTATTTGTCTTTTCTTATGCTAATGCCACACTTTATTGCTGTAACTTCATAGTAAATCTTGAAAATAGGTTGTGGAAGTTATTGAAATTTGTTCTTTTTTTCAAGACTGTTTCAGCTATTCTAGGATCACTTAATTCCTATGCAAATTTTAGAATCTGCTTGTCAATTTCTACCACCTTGTTGGAATTTTCGTTGACCTTGTATTAATCCCATAAATCAATTGCTGGAGAACTGATATCTTGATAATATCGAATCTCTTCATTTATGTAAGTTGTCACCATTATTTGTCAGTTTTCTATTTTATTTTTTCTTTCACATTTTCTTCTCTACTTTCTAGAGGTTTTGTATTTCTTTTTCCAACTTCTTGAAGAAAAAATTTAAATAATTGATTTTATCCTTTTTTTCCCTATTTAAACAATGAAAGCTTTAATTTCTCAACAAGCACTACTTTAGCTGTATCCAGAAAGCCTTGACATATTGTTCTTTTATTACAGTTTAGCTTAAAATATGTATTAACTTACCCCTGTACTTTCTTTGACCCATGAGTTAGGAGAGTACTGCTTATTTTCTAAACATGTTATGCTTTTTCTAAATATCTTATTGTTTTGGATTTCTAATTTAATTTTCTTGTGGTTAAAGGACATAATCTTTAAGATTTAATACTTGTTATATTATGTGTCAACATAATGTGAGTTCTACTTGCACTTTAAAAATATATATTCTGCAATTATTGGAGTAATCTGTAAATGTCAATTAAGTCACAATGACTATGTTCTTTATTCTATATACTTACTGAAATTATGCCTAATTGTTCTAACAGTTACTGAGTGAGAATGTTAGAATATCCAAATATCTGCGAATTTATTGAGTTCTGTCAGTTTTTTACTTCAGGTATTTCAAAGCTCAGCTACTATATACATAGATGTTTATATCTTTCTAATAAGTTAACCATTTTATTATTATCAGATATCTCTCTTTTCCTCTAACAGCATTCCTTATCTCGAAGTCTACATTTTCTGATATTAACATAGCCATAGCTTTTTTTTTTTTTTTTTGAGACAGTCTTACTCTTGTTGCCCAGGCCTGGAGTGCAGTGGCACAATCTCAGCTCACTGCAACCTCCACCTCCCAGGTTCAAACAATTCTCCTGCCTCAGCCTCCCAAGTAGCTGGGATTATAGGCCACCCGCCACCATGCCTGGCTAATTTTTGTATTTTTAGTAGAGACAGGGTTTCACCATGTTGGCCAGGCTTGTCTCAAACTCCTGACCTCAGGTGATCCACCCACCTCGGCCTCCAAAAGTGCTGGGATTGCAGACCTGAGCCACCATGCCTGGCCAGCCATAGCTTTTTTATGCTTACTGTTTTATGGTTTATCTTTTACTATTCTTTCCTTTTCAACCTATCTGTGTCTCTGTATTTAAAGTGAGTCCCTTGTAGGCCTGGTGCAGTGGCTCACACCTGTAATCTCAGCAATTTGGGAGGCCGAGGCGGGAGGATCACTTGAGGTCAGGAGTTCAAGACCAGCCTGGCCAACATGTTGAAACCCCATCTCTACCAAAAAAATACAAAAATTAGCTGGGCATGGTGGTGCATGCCTGTAAGCCCAGCTACTCGGGAGGCTGAGGCAGGAGAATCACTTGAACCTGGGAGGCAGAGGTTGTGGTGAGCCAAGATTGTGCCATTGTACTCCAGCCTGGGTGATAGAGCAAGACCCTAACTCAAAAAAAAAAAAAAAAAGTCCCTTTAGATATACAGTTATGTCTTCAATTTTTAAATCTAAAACTGATTATTCACTGGGGATGTTTAATTAATTTGCATCTAGTGAAATTATTGAAAAGTTTAGTTTTAAGTTTCCTATACTCATATATTTCTGTGTATCCTATTTAATCTCTATTTCTCTATTCCTCTTGTTCTAATTTCTCTGGGGATAATCAAAGAATTTTATCCTTCCATTTTCAATTCCCTTATTAGGTTTTTAGATATACCTCTTTGCATTATTTTTTAATTTGTTACTCTAGGGATTACAATGTGCATCCTTACCTACTCATAGTTTATATACAGTCAATATTATATCAATTTACATAAACTTAAAACATTTATAACAGTTTAATTCCAGTTACTTGTATCCTCTATGTTGTTATTGTCATACATTTTACAGTCAGGTGTCTTCAAGAAAATTAAGAAACAAACACACATAGATTTTCTAATTATTAGCATATTTACTATTTTTGGTATCCTTCATGTCATACTGTAATTATCATTTTCTGGTTTCATTTTCTTTCCTCTGAAAGCTTCTTTTGAATATGTCTTGCAGTATAGGTCTGCTGACTCTTAATTTTATTGTTTTTCACTTATCTGAAAATGTCTTTATTTTACCCACAGTAGAGGATATTTTTGCTTTATATAAAATTTAGGGTCAATAGATTTGTATTTTTTTCTTCTTTTGGCACTCTAAAATATTATTCTGCATCTTCTTACAAGAAATCCACTATTAATTAGAACTGTTTCCTTGTATATAACGTGTCTTTTCTCTCTAACTGCTTTGACAGTTTTCTCTTTGGGTTAGATTTTCAGTAATTTGGTTATCTTGGGGCATAGGAGTGGTTCTCTTTGTTTTTATACCAGTGGGGTTTCTTGAAATTTTAAAATAAGCATTTTAATTTTTTTCACTAAATATTAGAAAAGTTTTATTATTTTACAATTTTTTTCTCTCCTCTGTCCTGTTGAGACGCAACTTACATGTATTTTGACCACATGGATGCTGTCCTGCTAGTTCACTGAGATACGGTTTGTTTGATTTTTTTTTTAATCTCTGCTTTTCAGGTCAAATAATTCTCTTGATCTGCCTGCAGTTTGGCTAGCATTTCTTCTGCCACTCTTTTCTTTTTTTTTTGAGATGGAGTCTTGCACTGTCGCCCAGGCTGGAGTGCAGTGGCGTGATCTCGGCTCACTGCAAGCTCTGGCCTCCTGGGTTCACATCATTCTCCTGCCTCAGCCTCCTGAGTAGCTGGGACTACAGGCACCCGCCACCATGCCCGGCTAATTTTTTGTACTTTTAGTAGAGACGGGGTTTCAGTGTGTTAGCCAGGATGGTCTCAATCTCCTGACCTCGTGATCTGCCCACCTTGGCCTCCCAAAGTGCTGGGATTACAGGCACGAGCCACTGTGCCCCGGCCTCTTCTGCCATTCTTAACTATTATTATACCCATCTACTACATATTTTCAGTTCTAAAATTTTATTTTTTACAGTTATAATTTCTCTACTGCAACTTTCCCTCTGTTTACTCATTATGACCATGTTTTCCTTTAATTCCTTGGCTATATTTATAACTGCCTTAAAATCCTTGTCTGAAAATTTCAACATCAAAGGCATTTAATCTCAGGGCTTGTTTCTATTGACTGTTGTTTTCCTTGATCATGGGTCTTATATTCATGTTTCTTTGAAACTCTAGCAATTTTTTAAAAAAATTTTATTCTGGATACTATAGACAAAATGTTTTCATGATTCTAGATAATCTCTTTTTAAATTAGAAGTGCTCTGAGTTTTGTTTTGGCAGCAGGGAAATTACCAACTGATCTTTTTGGTCATACCAGGCTTCATGTCTTTCCTTTCATGGACATGAACTTATTCTAGTTATGGGCTAAGGTGTGGCCCTTATTTGAGGGTATAGCTTTTACTGCTATGGTGTGGACTTTCTGAGGTTTCAACTGAATGCCTGACTGAGATGCTCAATGAGTTCTCTCCATTCTGGCTGAGCTGGAGCTCCAGCATCTCCTGGTGGTGCATAGCAATAATGCCTTCATTCATTCCCAGCCCTGCAGAAGGCAACCACTGCTAGGCCCTGTGTACTGCCTGCCATGGTGTGGGCAGCCTTCAGCCAAAAACCAGCAATGAGTCTTCATCAAGACTTCTGGAAACCCTTGTCCTCAGCTTCTGCTCTTGCACTTGGCTCCCCAAATCTCAGCTGCTTCTGAGACCACAGCTCCAATCTCCTCCTCAGGTCAGTGAGGCCACAGTTCTGCTGGAGATGTGCAGGAAACGGTCCCAGGCAGAGCACTGGGGCAAACTGAGCCTCACCTCTCATGTTTCCTTTCTCTCAAGAATTACAGTTCTGTGCTGCCTGTTGTTTAATGCCTTAAAACATTTGTCATGCACATTTTACCAGCTTTAGAGTTGTTTATGCCAGGAGGAAATGCCCAATGCCAGTCACTCTATCAGAGCTAGAGGAAAAGTTCACTGTCAGTTTTCATTTGCTAGCCTATGGGAATATATATATACTCACACACATACACACACACACACACACTCATTGCCTCTTAAAGTCAGTGTTACCAGAGATTACATTCTACAAAGTCTGTCAGTTGATCTGATCTCTGCTTCACACTATTAGTTATTTATGGAGTACGGTGGATGTATGCAATATTCCATAAGCCTGAGTGAAGTCAACAGACCTGCTCCAGGGTGTGTACATGTCAACGTCAGACAAATCAGAAATGGTAGGTAGCAAGACTGGATAACATTTCAAAGGTGCCAGTCGGGGGTATGCACAAATGACAGGTCCCTTTGTTGTTTCAGAGAGCTCCTCAAAGAGGGAACTGACAGCACTTTCTAAGGAATGAAACACAAATATTGAAAATCCAAGAGTGACTTCTGAACCTATGAACAGCTCCTTCCTGTGTTCTATTACACTGCCTTCCCCTTTTCAAGTTAAAAGAGACTGAGCAATCACATGCAAAGAATTTGATTAACATCTACTAGAAACTCAGCCCTCTGTGAATGCCAGAGGAAGGTAAGTAGGATGAGTGTTGGGGTAGGGGTGGGTGGAAAAGCAGAGATGACACAGGGCTATGTTTTAGAGAAATGGAAGAAATGGCTCTTTTCTGTAGTTTTGACATAAACTTTTTCGGTCGGCAGACAATCTTTTTAAACTTAAAACATAATATGGGAAACAGGTTAGACACGTGTTAGCTTCGGGAAATTTCAAGATGTGATAAGTGCCGGTTTGTATGATATTGAGTCAGAAAGTAATATAATTTTGAGGAAGAATACATTAATCAATATAAGAATAAATAGGGAGGCATTTTGGAGTAGATGGGGATGGAATTGGATCTTTTTTTTGTTTTGTTTTGAGACAGGGTCTCACTTTGTTACTCAGGCTGCAGTGCAGTGGAGTGACCACAACTCACTGCAACCTCCTTCTCCTGGGTTCAAGCGATTCTCCTGCCTCCGCCTCCCAAATAGCCAGGACTACAGGTGCTCACCTCCACGCCAGGTGTGAGTCACCATGACCTGCCAGAATGGGATCTTTAAAAACACTGAGAATTTGGATAAAACAGGGAAACACAGGAAGGTACTCTCCTATTTAGTACATTTTAATGGAAAACATACTTTAATGGAAAACATAGTTATGAATATGTTTGTCTTCCTAAATGGATAAAAGTGTCTCTCTCTCTCTCTATATATATATACACACACACACACACACACACACACACACACACATATTGATATTGAATTACCTACTGTGCAGCAATATGTTTATATTTGTGCCCAATCATTGGTGCAAAGCAGTATGTGGTTACATGGTAAGAAAAAAGGTTTTCATCAATTTATTTATCAACGGAACTTCACAATATTCCAACAAATCACATAATGACTGAGAATGAGCTGGCCTACTATTCTTAGGTTGAATTCCTTAAATCACACCTTTTGACCCAAAGTATATTGGTCCAGGCCACCAATAAATCATGAAAATACCAAGTATATGATATCATGTCAAGGTGGAAGTATTGCTCATTTCAAATGAATCAAGTGGTCAAACCTCACTGTCTATCCTACATAAAATCCACTGAGAGCAATTAAGAAACTGTCATTGTTGATATTCCGAGGAGAGAATGCTGGAATTACCACCGTACACATTAGCAGGACTTGAGGAAATGAGGTGAATCCCCAAAGAAATCAGGTGGAAAACTGAATATGAATATCAGGTTACATCCTTTCCCTCTGCAGCTTGGACTATATCACCAAACTGGGAATACTCAGGGAACATTTGTAGGAAACACCATTAAACATTAAGGATGCAGGATTCCAACATCTCTGACATACACTCTATGTTCATGATTTTACAGGAGATAGTTATTTATAATAGCTTAGCAGTTATTTCACTCTTTCTTGCCTTGGCTGAGGCATGGGATGGAAGATGGAGAACTTAGTGGTCATTTTCTATTCCTATTCTTATTATAGAAGGAAAAGCTCATAGAAAGACAAAAGCCTGTGGACTGTATTGAGATAAAATCAGTGTGCACAGTCAGGGAAGGCTGGTCAGTTCAGGAAAGAGCAGATTTTTTCATCCTTACTGCTTGATTTTGATGCATGCAGCATTCTCCAGAGGCATCCGGTGGTAACAGAGACAATCTACGCTGGCAGTATCTTAAAATATGGTTAGAATTACCCCATTGGACATAAACTTAGCTAAATACAGAGATGAAAATAACGAAGAGTTGATCCTTTTCCTTAAAACCTACAACAAAGATAATAATTACAACTCTGAACAATTTTACAAAATTCATAGACAATTAGTTCTTGAACAATGCAAAAGTTTAAGGTATTGAACCTTGAACCTCCGAGCAGCTGAAAATCCTTGTATCACTTTTTTTTTTTTTTTTTTTTTTTTTTTTTTTTTTTTTTTTTTTTTTAAAGACAGCATCTTACTCTGTCTCCCAGGCTGGAGTGCAGTGGCACGATCTTGGCTTACTGCAACCTCCGCCTCCTGGGTTCAAGTGATTCTCCTGCCTCAGCCACCTCAGTAGCTAGGATTACAGGTGTGAAACACCATGCCTGGCTTTTCTTTTTCTTTTTTTTTTTTTTTTGTAGTTTTAGTAGAGACAGGATTTTACCATGTTGGCCAGGCTGGTCTCAAACTCCTGACTTCAAGTGATCCACCTGCCTTGGCCTCCCAAACTGTTGGGATTACAGGCATGAGCCATTGAGCCCAGCCCAGCCCTTGTGTAACTTTTGATTCACCACAACATAACTAGTAATAGCCTACTGCTGACAGGAAGCCTTACCAATGATATAAACAGTCGATGAACACACATTTTCTGTGTATGTATACTGTGATCTTACAATAAAGTGATCTTACAATAAAGTGACTGCTAGAGGAAAGAAATGTTATTAAAAAATCCTAAGGAAGAGAAAATATTATTCATTAAGTGGAAGTGGGTCACCATAAAGATCTTTATCCTCCTCATCTTCATGTTGAGTAGGATGAGGAGGAGGAAGAGGAAGGGCTGGTCTTGCTGTTTCAGGGGTGGCAGAGGCAGAAGAAAATCCACATATAAGTGGAACTGCTCCGTTCAAACCCGTGTTGTTCAAGGGTCAACTGTATAAGGAAGCTACTAAGAGCTACGACACTAGAAAGACATGTTTTTGGAGTTGTTTTGCCATTTTTCTTGAAAATGCAAGACCTCAATTCCATACGGGAAATCAGAGGGAGTACAAATGGTGGACAGAAAGTGTCTGAAGCTCGGTACCATGAAAGAATTGGCCCTGACCATTTTCCCCTTCCCCTAAGAACTTAGGTAAAACATTCTTGTGGAGCTTGCTAGCAAAATGCTGGCTACGCCTCCACATGCATTTCCTTTACCATCCCAGCCACCCAGAAGCACAAACAGTGTAGCTTATCTTTCAAATGGATCAACTGTTTCTTTCAATAATGACAATAATGGTAATAATTTTGTGTTGCTCAAATCAAAGAGATACATGTATTTGAGTGAGGTGATTTATATTTGAAGCCCGATCTGTTGTTAACTTCCAATATGGCATTGAGGAAAATCGTTTAATGTCTCTGGGCCTTGGGTTTTTAACTTGTAAAACTGGGATAGTAGTATTTGTCCTGTGTATCTCAAATAATTTTCATGAGGATCAAGAGAGAATAGTTTTAAATGTAGAAAGAAATATTGAAGGTATCTATAGCATAATAATAAGAGAATCCATTCCCATGTAGGTGCAAATAAAGACAGAGTATAATGATTCACAGCGTGGACTCTGGAACCAGTGTGCTTGAGTTCAAATCCCAGCTCTGCTACTTCCTAGCCCCGTGGCAGTGGCTATCTTGGTTTGCTGGTCTGAATCATGGGAACAATAGTGCTGCTGTGCTTCCTTGTTAGGCTATCGTGTTACTTAAATCAGACAGTCTAATCCGACTCTGACTTAACCTCTTAATCCACGCTAGCCAGTTATTGCTATTATCACCTCATATTGTCCTCGATTTCATTTTTAAGGAGAAAAATTTTACACCCCTTCTGAATTGTTAAGGTTTCAGAATACATCTTACTCTTTAATATGTGTCAATATTATTTCACAACCCAGAGTTCAGACCTCAGGAAAAGTACGTATCTTTATATTTGATAAGAAAATAATATTCTTGGGCTCAGCCATCAAACACTGCCTGAGCATGATAACAGAGCAAATGAAAATGTTATTTATAATCCCAAATATCAAACTGTTCCCCAAAGTGACAAGATCAATATTGCAATTCGGAGCTTTCCTCTCACTGGCAGATGGTGTTATTAAAAATACCAAATAACACATCTCTTTGGTGAGGAAAAGGATCCGTTAGACATCTTCGATGTCCTCCTGGAATCTGAAGTGTTCCCTTCTGCTTAGAGGGGAAACTCAGTACCAGCACGTCCCTGGGATCCTCTCTCAGACACGAGCTGGCAGAGGGTGTCCTCAGACATCTCATTCTCTCTGCATGTCAACAGCTGCATCTCTGGTCAGCTTCCCTGCCCAGAGATGGACTTACACGCTCCCAGGGCTCCCCTCAGCAGGGATATGACCTTCTTTCTTTAACAAGGTATTATTTCAAGATGTACTGAGGGATCATCCACTGTGGACCCAACACTTCTATTTGTCTTTAGTGAGTATCTGAGCATTTAGGAACAGAATGCAGATCCCTGAAGCATCTGCTGGGCCAGGACTACATTAATTTCTATTTTAGGAGCTGGAAGGAGGAGAAGGAAAAGAGAAAAAAAGAAGAAGGAGATGAGGGTTTCTAGATGAAATGGTGTGACTCTTTGGTAAGTGGACAGTGGAGGGGGAAGCCTGGTCCAGGGAAGGTGGGACAGTGAATGAGACCCCAGGTGAGGTCAACAGGGGGCCAGGCACCTGGCTGAGGATCTGCTGTTCACTTAGTTGTTTTCTAAGCTCATTGGGGCCCAGATGAATGGCCCACAGCACACTGTAAACCTAACACTGGGTGTCAGACCCCTGAAGGTGAAAACAGGGCACTCTGTATTTCAGAATTTAGTTATAAAGACTTTTGAACTGACCCCCTAAAACTGTTAAAAGTAGCTACCTTAAAGTGGTTTGGTTCATTCCCCCTTCATTTTATTTCCAGATAACTTGTTTGTGTCATCACCTGTAAACAAGATACTAAGGGATTATTCAAGATGTCAGAACCAGCCACATCCAAGGCAGGTTTAAGGACTATAGGACAAAACACTGCCCCTAAACTCTGCCCCTCCTCTGGCTGCTGTTGGAAATCCTGCCATCAGCTTCAAATTAGCTTTATCTCAAGGTATGGGCCTTCCCTCACGCCCAGTCGTAAGATTTTAAACCATCACTAGTTGTTTGGACCTCAATGGGAAGGACTCTGAGAATGTCTAAGTGTGGGTTTTGACAGAGAGGAAAGTGGATGAGACACAGGGGGTGAGTAAAGGGGTTGGAAATTGTGATGGGGCGGGGCTGTGTGGAGGGAGGTTGTGCAATGGAGGCTGGGGAGCACCGGGGAAACCCTCCAGGACACACAATATCCTGTTTCCTTATTTTTTTACTGGTCTTTCCAATTTCTCTGCCATGGAGCTTTTGTGTAAGTGCAGCAGAATAGAGAACAATAGAAAGCAAAGTTATTAGGGATGTAAAGCAATTTAATATGGCCCAGCAATACCGACGTCAGGGAAACACATATGGCTACAGATTTCTTTAAATCTGATTATAGGCTGAGGCTTTCCATGAGTCCACATAAGGAATGGATTGGCCAAACATTCAGGCTCACTGTGGGCTGCCTCACCCATGCACAGGTCATGGTTTAGTGAGAAATAAACGGCTATATCTTCCCTAGAAGTACAATTACACTGATCATTCAAAAGAATGAAGAGAATCTTTCATCAGGGGCTAAGAAATTATCCTAAGAATTTAAACTACTTTGAGATCATTGGTATAAATCCCAATTTTTGTTGCGTAAAATTATAGGGGAAATTGTTTACCTGAGCTTTCTGGCCATTTAGGTTCGTAATAAATTGAAGTGTTAAGTAACATTAAGGATGAAATGCCTCTATAGGCATGCTGATATATTGTGTGACCTATTTATATTAAAAAGCAGAATATGATATATAATATTTAGCTTTTAAGGGTGTTTAAAATGTACCAGGTATAGTTTCATGTGATTTAATGGCTTACCAAATTATTAAATTTAACAACATTCCTATTAGGTTTGGTATTATTATTAATCTCATTTTAAAGATAATAAAACTGGCTGGACACAGTGGCTCACATCTGTAATCCCAGCACTTTGGGAGGCCAAGGCAGGCAGATCACCTGACGTCAGGAATTCCAGACCAGCCTGGCCAACATGGTGAAACCCCATCTTTATTACAAATACAAAAATTAGCCGGGAGTAGTGGCGCACGCACATAATCCCAGATAGCTGGGAGACTGAGGCAAGAGAATCTCTTAAACCCGGGAGACAGAGGCTGTAGTGAGCCAAGATTGCACCACCGCACTCCAGCCTGGGCAACAGGGTGAGACTTTGTCTCAAAATAAATAAATAAATAAAATAAAGATAAGAAAACTGAGGTAACAAGGTGTTAGTAGTTGCCCAGGTAATACACCTAAGAAATGGCATGGCAAATTTTGAATCTAGGCAGATTAAATTCAAAGCTCACACTTTTAATTATCACTTCGAGTTGGTTTGTGCAGTAAGGGGAAAAAAAGAAAAACAGGGATTCTAGCTTTTGGAACAGCAAACTGGGCAAATCGCAATCCATCCAAGCACACTGGTGATACTAACCTATGTGGAAAGGGGCTTTAAAACACTGTGTAGTTATTTGACAATAGAAAGGAACAAAGTGCTGATTAAATTCAAAGCTCACGCTTTTAATTATCACTTAGAGTTGGTTTGTATAGTAAGAGGAAAAAAGAAAAAAAGGAATTCTCTAGCTTTTGGAACAGCAAACTGGGCAAACTGCAATTCATCCAAGCACACTGGTGATACTAACCTATGTGGAAAGGGGTTGTAAAACACTGTGTCGTTATTTGACAATAGAAAGGCATGAAGCACTGTCACAGGCTACCACCTGGATGAGCCTTGAAAACATGACGCTCAGGGAAGAAGTCAGATGAAGAAAACACACACGATATGATACCATGTGGATGAGCTGACCAGAACAGGTGCATCCACAGAGTGATCACAGATGCCTGGGTGCCAGGGGTTGGGGACAGAGGATGCAGAGTGACTGCTAAGGGGCACAGTTTCCTTCGGGGGTGATAAAAATGTCCTAAAATCGATTGTGGTGATGATTACACAATTCTGTGCATAGGCTAAACAACGTTTAATTGTATGCTTTAAATGGGTAAATTGTATGGTAAAAACTACATCTCAATAAAGCTGTCACCAAAACAAAACAGAACAAAACCCATCATACAATGGCCATCTGCTGTGTCCTTTGTGTGTCCGGTATCAAGATTTTGGAAGAGGGGCTGAAGGGAGGCACGGGGATCCCAGGCCTCCCAGGGCCGGCTCTGTTCCATGCAGGGGCTGTGTGAGGTGGGAAGAGCAGAGGCCCAGCACACAGGAACCAGGCCTGGACGGGAAAGGAGATGGCCATCTCCACCCAGCCCATACTGAGTGCACACCTGATTGCATGGCACCTGTTGGACCCTCATGGCAAGTCCAGATGAGCTCATTTCATAAATGAGAAAACTCATCTTCAGAAAGTGTGTGTGCATGTGTGTGTTGGGTGTTTGCGTGTTGAGTGTTGATTCTGTGTATGTGTGTGTCTGTGTGTGTGTTGGGTATGTGTGGGTGTGTGTGTTTAACTGGATGGTTTGTCCACCTAAGTGATAATATCTAAGCCCCTCAAGTCCAAAGGTAGGATCCAAACCCAGAAATAAGAGGCTTGGAGCAAAGTCTACGGAGAAAATGCCTGGCTGTTGGGGTCCTGAAGGAGATGTTGGTGCTGGCTATTTCTGGATAATGTTTAGCAAGTTAACCATAGAGAGAGATGTTAAAGGCCAGTTGTCCTTGGAATTTTCTGGGAAACACCCAGCTCAGAGATGGGAGTGTCTTATCATCACTGAAATCTGATTACCTCCCACATCCCAAGATATCAAATACTACTCATAGGCTGTTTCCCAGGATTCTCTTATACAACCAGTGGGCAAAGCACCAAAGCTACCTGAATGAGGAAGAGACTCATTTTCAAGTTGTCACCTTTTTCCTGCTGTTTCCTCTATCTGAACCTGCCTTCCTGTTGAGAGGCTACATGGGCCACATTGTCCTAACTTAATTCACTGCTTCATCACCTAGCACTGTACTTGGCATCTTCTAGCCACCCCAAATATGCTTTCCATAGCTGACTGAATAGTAAGGGTATGAAATATGATTCTCCTTTTCTATTCTTTCTCTTCAGACCAACCCCACACTCAATTAAACATTCACCTCAATTTTTCTATGAGGCTGAGCCAGAGTAATCCAACCCACAGCCTTTCTCACTGTCTGTAGTCATGAGCATCATCATACCTGTTGTGCATGCAAGTTTTGCTTCGCTTCTCTTTTTACTTTTTCTAAAGTATTTGTTTACTAGGGCTGCTGTAACAAAGTCCTACAGATCAGGTGGCTTAAACAACAGAAAAGTTATCATCTCATGGTTCTGGAGACAAGACGTCTGAGATCAAGGTGTCATCAGGGTTGGTTTCTTCTGAGGCTGTGTAAGAGAATCTGTCCTATGCCCTTCTCCAAGTTTTTGGTGGGTTTGCTGGTAATCTCTGGTGCCCCTTGGCTTGTCGGAACAGCACCATGATCTCTGCCTCCATCTCACATGGCATTCTCCCTGTGGGTGTCTGTGTCCAAATTTCCTCTTTTCATAAGGACACCAGTCATATTAGATTGGACCCACCCTAATGACCTCATTTTAACTTGATTACCTTGGTAAAGACCCCTAGTCAAATACAGTCACCGGGGGTTAGGACTTCAACATATGAATTTCGGGTGGGCACCATTTAACCCACACATAACACACCTAACATTTCATTTGCTTATAAGCTCCTTAGCCACTGATGCTGTGTTCTGTAAATATTTTGTGTCACTGCACTGATGAACAGATTATTATTGAATGAGCAAATGCACGAAAGCTTGCAGAAGTCCCTTCCCTCACAGCTACATCGAATTTATAAAGACATCCTACTGTTAACCTTGGCAGAAGTGCTTCCCTTTCTATTCCAGCTTTTCTCAAAAAAGAAAATGTCTGAATTCGACTCTCACAAACTACTCTAATTCACAGCTGGTAAGACTTACTATCTACACAGTTTATTCCTTAGAGTCAACAGTTTCATTTGTGAGCTTCTAAGTGAAATAATTTTAAGCATGATTCTTTCTTCAAAACACAGCAACTGGCAATGACTTATTTTTGACACGAGCAGGAAATCTGTAATCTGTGATATAAATAGTGAGATGAGCTTGAGAACCTCCTTGCAGACTTTAGCACTTCGTGGCTCCTTGCTTCTTCAAACTCCCATGCCATCTATTTCCATCTGCGTTCCTCCCGCATTGTATGTCATTTATCTCAGCTGTTTTCTGCTGACTTTTGGCTTCTCCCTGCCTTCCCTATGCTTGGCAGCATCAAGATACAAACACAAATATAGCTAGAGGAACAGATATAGATACCCTGATGTGAGCTCCGCAGGTAGAATGTGTGAAGTCCATTAAATGCCTGGCAGGACAAAAGGCTTTGTCAAAATAGAACATGCTAACATGGAGACCTGCTGCAAAGGGTCTGAATGTGGGATGAGCTGCCCAGTGTCCACCCTTTCTAACAGGGCCATTGGTTCTCCATACACAGCCTCTAGGATTCACAACCAACCTCATGGAAGGTAAGAGTCACTTAAGCAGGAATAACATATCAAGATGCCCTTAACACCATTCCAATCCAGACAGAGTTTCTTGTTCTGATGGTACTTATCTACTTTCCAGGGATTGAGGTCCTGACACCAAAGCCCTCCCTGGTGACTAGGATTTTGCTATCAGTAGATGATCACTCCAGAGGAGAAGTCTGCCTCCCTGAGCTTCCAAATGTGCCTACCTGCAGAGTCCCTGTTTCTGGGCTCTTGTGTTTGCTGGGACACCCTGTTTCTGGGCCAAGGAATCTTGATTGCTGTTTCTTGGCCTACACTTGACTGGATAGTACCCTACCCATTAAAGAGCATGCCTGCCTGTTAGATAGCCTGATTTTGTTCAGTACCTGCCCCTTTGTCATCTCACCTCACCCCACTCACCCTATCAGCTTGTCCTATCCTCTTAGGTTCCCTCCCAAGTCCTGATTGCTATTGCTCTCCACTGGCCCAAAGGTAAGCATTTGTCCCTGTAGTGCTGCACCATGAAACACGAGGCTGTTTGAGGGTAAGTCCCTGCCCAGGTGGCTCCTATCACACGGCAACCCTGTAGCCTCTGGATGCGAAGCAGCACCATGGACAGTTCCTCCCTGGCTGGTAGAGTAGAATGGCCATCTCCAAGGAAGCCGGTTGACCTCAAGGGCTACAAGTATGCTCAAATACTTGAAAATCATCAATACACTGCTGACAACCTTTCAGAGAAGCACGTGGGGGAAGCCCGCAGTGGTGGCTGTTTCCTGGAGCCTTTAGGCTGTAATCAGTCACTGAAAGGTCCTCTCTCATCTGTGGCTCGCAAGTGCTCCAGGAGAGAGACAACAGGTAGTCTTCACTGCAGGCATAGAGACACAGAAGGGAGACAGAAGCTGCCTGCCTGTCTGATTTGCATTTTGCTGGCTTCTGGGTTCCCAGTTATGATGTTAAGCCCACTCCTTGCACCAGTATTATTATTCCATGCCGACACCTCCCAGTGCTTATACTTGCTGTGACCACCTCCTGTTTTATGCTATTAGACCCAGCAACAGACTCTCATGCCCGATGTTATCCTGACACTTACATCGTGGTTCTAATCATACTGCCTGATGCACTGAAGGAAGTACTCGTATTCCTAGGGAGGCTCCTGATGTCCTCACACAAAACTTGGACTGAATGCCCAAAACTGGGATGCTCAGCGTGCCTGTAAGAACTCTCATTTCCCATTCACAATAGCCCAGTATTTCTCAGCCTCCTCTCATGCCACAAGGAAAGGCACAGACAACAAATCAAAGTCATGCTAGCCATCTCTATCCATGTCAAAGACATCATTTCCAAGATACGAGACAGGGTGATCCAGATCAAACCTGTGATCCCAAGATCTTGAGTAAAGAGGACCCTGTCAAGAATGTGGGAGGGTTCTATACTGATTCAAGTTTAAAGCAGAGTAGAAAATAATGAAACAGCTCAATATGCAAGAAGAATCAGTCACTAGATGCAGCATTCAAATTCTATCTTTCAAGAAGTCTTACAAATGTCAAAAATAAGTAATTGCCAATTACAGTGCTCTGAATGGAACTGGTGACATGAAATACTTTTCTTTACAGTGATGCAAAAATGCATATTATCATTTTATGCACTTACAGGTAGAATAGTTTGGACTGATTTTATGTTATAATTGTCTTTGTTTTACTTTAATTCTACTCTTCACACAGTAGTCTATAGGTTAGAACAGTATCCGGCACTCAGGGCTCATTCAGTCAATGTTTTTGAGTGGCAAAAAGACATGAATCAGAAAATCTGCAAGGCCACTTTTGGATAAACCACAGTGTTTGTCTTTTGGTGAGGAGGTGAGAGAAGCACCAGGAATGAGTGACAGATGGCTGAGGCTCAGACAGCTTTTGGGCTAGCCCCAATCTTTACATCTAACTCAGGGGGACACTGGGAAAGTCCCTTCACCAGCCCCTCAACTGTAAAATGAGGTGGTTGAACCAGAAGACACTCAAGTCCCTTGTGGCTCTCATGGGCTATGACCCAGGTTCACAGCTGGGAGGAGCTTTTAGCTGGAATCCAAAGGCACAAGACCCACGTGGAAATGAAGCTGCATCAGTCCCTTAAAGATGAAGAAGTCACAGCAACAGGGGGAAAGAAGGCAAGAGAAACTCATCTCTAATGACAGTTCTCTGCATCTAATCAAGGTCTAGCTTATCTCTTCTTTTTAAGAACTGAGAAATAGTTTGTTGATTATCATTCCTTGCAGAGCAAATCTTTACCTACTTCCTATTAAGAGTGGGGGCCATAGCTTATTCCTCTTGTCTTTCCACAGAATTTTCCATGTGCTTCGTGCATACCATCAGATCCATATCTGTGTGGGAGGATGGGGAGAGGATAGGAGGGAGGGGTTGGAGGAGGGTGCGGAGGAGGGTGCAGAGAAGGAAATGTGGATAATGTAGCTGCTTCTCAGGTGGCCAGTTCAGATCTTGCAAACTCTAACTTTCCTTTATGATGTTCAATTCCCAAACCAGAAATATTTTTTCTCTAATCTTTTTATAAGGCTAAAACATTTTAAAATATATATAAACCACTATTGAAATATTATATGTAAGTTCTTCAAAAAGTTCATGAAAAAATGTGTATTATAAAAACCAACTATGCATGGGTTTCACAAAATATTTTGCACCAAATAAGCTTGTACTAATTTGTTATAACATGTCTGAACAGGATCTAGTTTGATGCATTAAAAAAGATAAGACCTCAGTTTGAAAAAAAAGCCTCCATCAGAGCAACATGAATTCTGATAAAATTGCAGCAAGAACAAACATCAAATTTATGGTGAAGCTTGGACGGAAGAATGGTGTAATAATTGATGCTTTATAAAAAGTTTATGGAAGAAATGCCCCTCAAAAATCAGGAGTTTACAAATAAAAAAACTTGTTTTAATAGGAGACAAGATGATGCTGAAGATGAAGCCCTCAGTGGTAATCCATCCACATCAATTTGTGAGGAAAAACATCATCTTGTTCATGCTCTAAGTGAAGAGGACCAATAATTAACAGCAAAAACAAAAGCCAACACTATAGCTATCTCAATTGCTTCAACTTCTGGTGGAAAAATTAAAGTTGAATAAACATTCCACTCAATGGGTGCCAAAACCCTTGCACTCAGATTAGCTGCAGACAAGAGCAGAGCTTTCAATGGAAATTTTCAACAAATAGGGTCAAGATCCTGAAGCATTTCCTCAAAGAATTGCAATAGGAGAGGAAATATGTCTTTACCAGTACCATCCTGAACACAAAGTACAACCTTAGCAATGGCTACCAAGAGGTGGAAGTGGTCCAGTCAGAGCAAAAGTGGACCAATCAAGAGCAAGTTTTTTGGGATGCTCAAGGCATTTTGCTTGTTGGCTTTCTGGAGGGCCAAATAACTATAATGTGTTATTATGAGAGAGCCAAAGCTTTAGCAGAAAAAAAACGCCCAAGAAACCTTCACCACAGAGTGCTTCTCCACCAGGACAATGCTCCTACTCACTCCTCTCATCAAACAAGGGCAATTTTGTGAGAGTTTTAATGGAAAATCATTAGGCATTCACCTTACCATACTGATTTGGCTCCATTTGACCTCTTTTTGTTTCCTAATCTTACAAAATCTGTAAAGGGCACCTATTTTTCTTCAGTTAATAATGTAAAAAAGGTTACATTGAAATGGCTAAATTCCAGGGACCCTCAGTTCTTTAGGGATGGACTAAATGACTGACATCATTGCTTTAAAAAGTGTTTTGAACTTGATGGAGCTTATACTGAGAAATAAAGTTAATGTTTTTAATTTTATCTTTTAAGTCCACTTTTCCATGAACTTTAAAAGTTCCCTTATATATATTATTAAAAAATCATTTTTAATGCTAATTCAGATTCTCCTTCTGTCCCTGCAATTGTAAGCTTAGGACAATATCTTAGGTTCTTACTAAAATGAAGAGAAATAGATTCTTTCCCAGTTTCCATTTCTCTCTGATAGCCTGCCCATTTGTCTGTCTTCTGGCACCATTTGAACCCAAGCGGTATCTTTGACATTTATATATCAAGATAAAATAATGACCTATTTGAAACAAAATTTGTGTCAGCTACTTTTATCCCTAAGTACTGGTCTATTTTGTGGCTGGGGTGAAATAAATTGTAGATCAAGTAATAAAATTAGTTAAATGAGGACTTCGAGATGGTTTGATGAGCCAAGGACCCTTGCAGAAGGAAAGAATGGACTGATTAGTTGCAGTCTCTTCATTGTTGGGTTAAACCCATCAATTTTTAAACTATCAATTTGGCATCATTCATAGGGACAAAAGTCACTCCAAATTGTTTTTAAAATGAAGTGTCAGATTCACTTTGAAGTACACACTGGGAATTCCTGGAGTACAAAAAACAATTTGAGAATTATTGATCTCAGGATCCCATTTGATTATTAATTCTATTAAGCTTGGGCTATGGAGTTTATAACAGTATCTTTTAAATTTGCTGTTACCAGTGGAATAATGAAAAATAATCTCTAATGATATTTCTGAATGGGAGATTATTCATTATTATTGATTTCTCATCCACTGATTTTCCTCCTGAAATTTCTGAGCAGGTTAAATAAATTGTAGCTTTAGTGAATGAGAGCTCTGAATCATAGGATAAAAGGCAGGCATAGGGCAATTCCTGACACTTCCTCATTTTGCCTGATGATCCATTCAAATAGCAGGGGTTTCCACCCTCTGATCATGACAGTGTCTGGCACTCAGTACTCCTTCAGTTTTGAATGACAATCTCCCCAAATAAGTCTTACCCACCCTGAACCTGTCCTTGTGAAGCAGGCTGAGTAAAGTCCAGGAGGATGTCAACAGTGTAGGGGAGAGGAGCAGAGTGAGGGGCAGGGTGAGAGGAGGAAGACCTCTTAGATACATCTGCCATGGTGCTTGAAACTTTTGTTATTATTAATATTATTATTGTGATATAAACAGATAACATGAGATCTACTATCTTAAAATTTTCAGTGACTGTTCAATACTGTTAACTATATTCACAATGTTATACAACAGATTTTTAGAATTTATTCATTTTGCAATAACAAACTTTATAACCACAGCCCACTGAAGAGCAACTCCCCACTTTCCCTTCTCCCAACCCCCTGGCAACCACCATTCCGCTCTCATCTAAGTGGAATCATGTCATATCTGTCTTTCTGTGATTGGCTTATTTCACTTAGTATAATGTCCTCTAGGTTCATCCTTGTTGTAGCATATGGCGGAATTTCCTTCTTTTTTTAACACCCATTAATATTCCTAGGGGTGTGTGTGTGTGTGTCCCTCATTTTCTTTATCCACTCATCTGTCAATGGACTTTTAGGTGGTCTCCACATCTCAGCTATTGTGAATAGTGCTACAGCAAACCTAGGAGTACAGATATCTCTTTGACATCATAATTTCACTTCTCTTGGAGAAATACCCAGAAGTGGAATTATTGGAACATATTGTAATCTATTTTTGATTTTTTGACGGAACTCTGTACAGTTTTCTGTAGCAGCTGCACCATTTTACATTGCCACCAATAGCACAGGGCTCACTTTACCATCTATTATCTGACTGGATCCTTGAAACTGGTTGAAGGAAACTGTCATCCCATTCACTAGGTGTAAAAGAGAGATTCAAGGAGATAAGGAACTTCCTGGAAGTCAAGGGCACGTTACTGACAATTGACACCTGACTGTAAGCCCCATCTTTCTCTGACTCTGAAGATCACATACCACCAAAAATAAGCAAATAATTATTCCTCTCTACAAATGGCCACATTTGCCTTGACACTTGTTAAAACAGCATTAATTATGGATTTTTGACAGCAGAGCCTACTGAGGATGCCCATGTAGAGTCGATCCTGAAAAAATTGGTAATAGGATCACATGTCCACTGTCACATATTCTGGAGTTTGATAAAGTTCCCATACTACATGGATTGCAATACTGTACGAAGAAAGACACTTCAATTCTATTAAATGTTAAGACATTAGAAAGGCCCCCCGAAGAATCCCTGTGTCTTGGAGTAATCCCTTGACAGTGATGGGCACTGATGCTCCCCTATTTACTGATGCCTTTCACATTCTGTGAGCTGAAGGGTTCCTTCCTTTCTCTGCTCTTCTGCTGTGGTCAGGAACCCTGCTGTTTACATCTGAAACTATCATTTGACATTCATCAACTCACATCTGGCATAAGACAAAAATTGTCCAGATCGAACCTATCAAATGGTTTCTAGTTTCATTGGCAAGATGCTTTTGGATCTTACTGGAATTTCTGAAAGAGCACCTTGCAGACATGATGCCATTTGGTGAGGACTCCACCTTCCCTCTCATCTTCCTTCAGCCCCAGAACTCTGGCCATGGTTTCTCCTCCCCTGTTCCTCTTCCTCCCACTTCTCCATGGGCCTAATCTCCTGTGAGTCTCAAGGTTCAGCATCGTGTCATCAGGAAATGCATTTAATAGAGAGACAAGGTTCTAGTTGTGTCTCAGCCACTTGGTGGCTGCTGCTGGATCATCTTCAGTTGCTCATTCATCAAAAGTGGGTAACATGAATTGCCTTCCAATTTTAAGGGGTAGTGGGACCAAAACTGTGAGGTTGCTTTGAAGCATTGCTTGCTATACGAAGTTAAAGTATTACTGACTCCACAGAGAGAGGGTGGGCACTAGTGTATTGGTAGATGGGGGATTCTAATGACCCAGGAAAAGAATTTTGGTTTTGAAGCCAGAAATTCGTATGTTTACATCCTGCCTCCAGTAACTTTAGAAAAGTTAGTAAATGTCTCTGTTCTTTAAATATCAGGCTATTTATCGATAGAATAGGTAAAATGAAACATTCCCTACACAAGTGTTACAGGTGCTGAGATTACTAATAAGATATATACACATGCTCAAAGCCTGTCACAGAGTAGACTCCCAAACCAATGAGATTTTTTTTTCTCATTTTTTTTCTTCGATTAAGGGAAAAACACCAATGAATATTATTACTGGGTAAAGGAAGTGGGATTGAAAAAGTAGAATTAAACAATCGTAAAAGCCAAAACGAACCTGGATAACACGTAATTGGAGTATCCATTGTGAAAGAAGGCAAGGTCAAGAGAGGTAACATGATTTGCTCAAAATCATGTACCTGTTCTATAGATATATATTCTATTTTAAAATATATAGGCTGTATAATGTCTTCTGAAAGAAAACTCTTATCTTCTTAAATTTTTGCAGACTATTCTAAGAAAAGTGCATATTTTCTGAGCTTATTTTTCTAAAAATCAAAAGGGATTCGAGGTATAAAGGTAATTTCTTGTGTATGATATGCTTACTCTGAAATCAGTATGTTTTTATTTATTTATTTTTATTTACTTATTTATTTATTTTGAGACAGAGTCTCACTCTGTCACCCAGGCTGGAGTGCAGTGGCACAGTCTCGGCTCACTGCAACCTTCACCTCCCAGGTTCAAGCAATTCTCCTGCCTCAGCCTCCTGCGTAGCTGAAATCATAGGTATGTGCCACCATGCCTGGCTAATTTTTGTATTTTCAGTAGAGACGGGGTTCACCATGTTGGCCAGGTTGGTCTCAAACTCCTGGCCTCAAGTAATCTGCCCGCCTCTGCCTCCCAAAGTGCTGGGATTACAGGCATAAGCCACCATGCCCAGCCCTGATATCAGAATGTTTTTAAAATGTTAACAATGAAGGAACTGATCATATGTTGCAAAAGCCCTCTTACGTCATCAAATTGTGTTGCTGATGTTAATTTCCTGTGGACATTACTAGAAATCTTTTGTGCAATTGCCTAGTATTGGTAAATTTTAAAATCTAACTCTATACATTGGGGACAGTTGTGATTTCCATTTTGAAACCAAAAACAAATGAAGTGTCACACAGTTAAGGAATTTGGAAATGTTCACCACATATGGTATTTAATGTACACAGCAAACTTTAGAATATAGTTAAGTCTTCATTTAAGGTCATGTTTTATGAAAGATGAAGCTTTGCAGTTGATTGGAATGGCCTGGGAGACCAATGCAGAAACATTTAGAGTACACAGTTTCCTCAAAGTTGAGTTTCATTTTTATCCAGAGCACAGAACTTAGCAGTCATCCTTGATACCTCTCTTTTCCTAACAACCCAAAATCAGTGGGTCACCTTGCCACATGGATTTTATTTTATTGTATTATTTGATTTTTTTATATTTTTGAGACAGAGTCTCACTCTGTCACCCAGGCTGGAGTGCAGTGGCGCAATCTCAGCTCACTGCAATGTCCGCCTCCAAGTTGAAGCTATTCTCCTGGCTCACACATGGATTTTACATCATAGTATCTCTTAACGTTGTCCATTTCTCTCCACTCAACCATCACCATCATGGTTCAGGCTGCCTGTGTCTCTGCCTGGGCCACAGTGTCCTCCCAGGGAATGATCAGGCTGTGTGTCCCCTCCTGGGCTGCAGTGTCCTCCCAGGGATAGTCAGGCTGTGTGTCTCCTCCTGGGCCACAGTGTTCTCCTAGGAACAGTCAGGCTGTGTGTCCCTGTCTGGGCCACAGTGTCCTCCCAGTGACAGTGTGTGTGTCCTCCTGGGCCACAGTGTCTTCCCAGGGAATGGTCAGGTCATGTTTCCCCGGCTGGGCCACAGTGGCCTCTGAGTGTTCTATTCACCTCCATGCTCACTCCCCTCCTGCCTATTCTCCACTCTGAAGAGAAGAGGATTTTCCCTGTGTGCAAATGTGAAGTTGTCCTCACTCTACCCTCACCCCAAGAGCCTCTCCATGGGTTCCCGTTGCTTCTAGGAAGATGTGGCACACCACGCCCTGCAGGACTAGGGACATCTCCCACCTCTTCCTTCCTCTCATCTGCCCCCGCCCAACAGGACTTGGCCACATGTTTCTGCCTAGAATATTCTAACATTCTTTTCACCATTCTTCATCTTCTACTCATCCTTCGGATTTCAATTTGATCTCAGAGCCTCAGGGGGCTTGGCTGATCTTGCTGGCTTACACCCCACTATCAGAGGCTGTTACCAGCATCTCCCACCAACTCCTAGGTTTCAGAGAGTGTGTCCCCATTACATTTTTACATTTGCTTATGTAGTTACACTTGATTCTTATCTCTCTCTCTGACTGGGTATCATTAGTTCTATATTTGCCCATCATCAAATCCCTGGTGCCTAGCACTCAATGGATGCTTAAAGAATATTTGCAAAACGTGTTAATGGATGAATGAATAATGAATGAATGGGTAGTAAGCACACGTGTTTACCTACAATCTGTCATCTGAGTTGCACCCTGGTGCTGAGCTTCTGCTGGTAGAGACGGTCTGCAATGTTTTGCTTCTCCTTGGCCATACCATCTTTATGTCCAGTGATTCACCTGGGGTTTGTCATGGGATGGGGAACAGACTTTGTACATGCAAAAATGCCAAATGCCGACAGGAGTGGAAACCAAGACTCTCTCACCTGTAGCAGTCTGTTCTACCTCAACAATTTTCAATGCAGGTTCCACAGCCTCACTGGGTTGCTTTCCATTATCTCAAGGATTATCATTTTAACAATAATTACATTTACGGAAGGGGTGTCAGGGTCCTACATGAAGAACACCAACAACCACCAAAAAGCCTTCCCATGACCTGAAAGGCTGTGGCATCTCTGCTCCTGCCAATCACACCATTGGAGTTCCAGACTGAGCACTGGTGGTTCCACCCCATGCCTTGAAGACTGATCACCAAAGAGATGCAGGTACATGAGGAGGGGCTCATCAGGCAGACAAAATATGCAGGAAATGAGCTTCCGGATCTGGATATTTTACTGAAAGAGTTCTGTCTGTTGCAAAGCAGATTATTTAATTTATTTTATTTTATTTTATTTATTTTTGAGACAGAGTTTCACTCTTGTTGCCCAGGCTGGAGTACAATGGTGTGATCTCGGCTCACTGCAACCTCCACCTCCCGGGTTCAATTGATTCTCCTGCCTCAGCCTCCTGAGTAGCTGGGATTACAGGCGTGCGCCACCACGCCCGGCTAATTTTGTATTTTTAGTAGAGATGGGGTTTCTCCATGTTGGTCAGGCTAGTCTCGAACTCCTGACCTCAGGTGATCCGCCCACCTCGGCCTCCCAAAGTGCTGGGATTACAGGCGTGAGCCACTGCGCCTGGCTACAAAGCAGATTATTTTCATCTGCTCATTTCTTTTATGCCCACCTCAACTGTTAGGACCTGAGGAAGGCCAGAGGACAGGCTGTGTGTGGCTGTGGAGTTAGAGAAAGCACAGAGGCGGTGGGACTTGAGTTGTGCATTGGAAGATATGCTCAATTTGGGTGGCTGGGAGGATAGGGGTCAAAGGTAACAGATTAGGAGCAAAGGCTCAAAGATGAAAATGGGTTACAGAATATTCATGGGTTTGTGCTATTTGGATGCTGGGGCAGATTCATCAGGAAGAGCAAGTGGGCGACAAAACCAGGCATGTGAAGCAGAAGGTGAGGGCTCATGTGCCATGTCACAGAGGTTCTCCCGAAAAGATGTTCTATCCCCATGGTAACTGAATCAAGCAGAGTAAGGAGTCTTCATTTTTTTTTTCCTCACTCATCTAGAGAAAATTAAATTAAATTTTCAATTTACCATGAATTAATATGCCTTTTTTATAATGCAAAAGTGTTATATTTAAACTGGGGGTGCTATCATACAACTATTATCTCTGAAAAGCCCTCGGCCCACTTCCAACATTGTTCATCCGCTCCTGTTTTTAATTCAGCAGAGGTTAATAGCAATTCTCAGATGCCTTCACATAGCCAGCTTCCCTGGAATGAAGAGAAGATCTGGAAGCCTCAGAGAGTAATGAAGTCATTATTATAACCATTTTAATAAAATTTTCAATAGTTAAGCCACCTTCCTGTGATTTATTGTTAAAAAACTAAGCCACTGAGTTATAGGACTGAAAAGGTCAACCAATGAATAGGCTGCACTTAACAGAAGTAATAAAGGAAGAAGAGAGGCTGGGTGGGGAGGAGAGGGGCTATGTGAGAAGCTGTGCTAGGGTCTGATGCCCCCCAGATTCATATATTGAAACCTAATGAGGGTCGAGCACAGTGGTAGGCTGGGTGCAGTGGCTCATGCCTGTAATCCCAGCACTTTGGGAGGCCGAAGTGGGTGGATCATTTGAGGTCAGGAGTTTGAGACCAGCCTGGCCAACATGGTGAAACCCCACCTCTAATAAAAATACAAAAATTAGCTGGGCATGGTGGCAGGCACCTATAGTTCCATCTACTTGGGAGGCTGAGGCAGGAGAATTGCTTGAACCCGGGGGGTGGAAGTTGCAGTGAGCCGAGGTCGTACCACTGCACTCCAGCCTGGGTGATAGAACGAGACTCTGTCTTAAAACAATAACAATAAAAGGAAACCTAATGGCCAGAGTGACTTTGTTAAGAGGCCTTTAGTGGGTAATTAAATAACGAGGGTGAGGCCTAATACAAGCAGGAACCCCGTTTTTATGCCTGGCACCCAGCAAACGCTCTTCAAACTTGAGTTTCAATCAAGACCTGTACATGTTATCCACACATATGGTCAAACTCTGTTTATCACTAATTCAAGACTACCATGAAATAAGGAAGAAAGCAGCCCCCCAAAACCCACTCACAGAAGGGCCCCTGGAACTCCAGAAGAGCCACAGCAAAACTTGTTCGTGAAAGCCCTGACCTGTACTGTGCAGGAAGAGGACACAGGTATTTCTGCAGGACTTGGCAGCCCAGCTTATCATATGAGTTGTCTTAGTCCATTCATGCTGCTATAACAACATACCTGAAACTGGGTACTTTAGAAAAAACAGGAATGTATTTTTTCACAGTTCTGGAGGCTGGAATTCCAAGATCCAGGTGCCAACAGTCTCCATGTCTTACGAGATGTGGCATCTGGTGAGGGCTGCTTTCTGCTTCCCAGTGGCATTTTATTTTATTTATTTAACTTTTAATTTAGGCTCGGGGCACATGGGCAGGTTTGTTATAAAGGTACATCCATGTCACAGGGAGGTTGTGGTGCAGATTATTTCATCACCCAGGTACTAAGTCTAATGCCCAATAGTTGCTTTCTCTGCTCCTCTCTCTCCTCCCACCTTCCCCAGTTAGCTAGGTCTCAGGGTCTATTGTATCTTTTTTTGTGTCCTGAGTTCACATCACTTATCTCCCACTTATAAGTGAGGTGTTTGGTTTTATGTTCCTATGTTCATTAGCTAAGGTGTTTTCTTACTGTGTCCTCACATGACAGAAGGAATGGAAGAGCAGAAAGGGCCAGGCAGCTCTCTGAAGCCCCTTTTATAAGGGGCTTAATCCCATTAAGGATGGCAGAGCCCTCAGGACTTAATTACTTCCGCAAAGGACCCATCTCTTGATACTATCACATTAGGGTTTAAGTGCCAACATAGGCATTTTGAGGGAGAACATACATTTAAACCATAGCACAAGTCTAGCAAACCGGATTTTGGAACTCTAGTTCTTGAAATGTACAAGAATATAAAGCACAGGTGAAAGGCTGTGAGCTCCAAGGCAAGGCAACCAATGGTCTACAGGGACAGACAGCCACCACAATTCTCGGCAGAATCACAGAATCACAAATGAAATGGTTTGGCAGCCTTTGCTTAATAAAGTAGGCAAGCAGGCTGAGCACAGTGGCTCACAACTGCAATCCCAGCACTTTGGGAGGCCGAGGCAGGCAGATCACTTGAGGTCAGGAGTTCGAGACCAGCCTGGCCAACATGGTGAAACCATGTCTCTACTAAAAACACAAAAAATTAGCCAGGTGTGGTGGCAGGCACCTGTAATCCCAGCTACTTGGGAGGCTGAGGCAGGAGAATCACTTGAACCCAGGAGGTGGAGGTTGCAGGAGCCAAGATCATGCCACTGCACACCAGCCTGGGCAACAGAACGATAGTGGGAGACTCCGTCTCAAAGAAAAAAAAAAAGTAGGCAAGCAAATAATACAGTTCAGAAGGATTCCATTAAGACAGCTGCAATATTAAACAAAAAACTCTTCAATGGGTAAGCTTCAGTTACCCGGAAAGGTCTTCCTTCTTCAACAATGCCAGATGTTCATGAGCATGTGTGTGAAAATGGTTATCCACTATCACAGCTGAATCAGGTTCAGGGAGTAGAGAACCATGATGATGTGTATTGTTGGGCAAAGAAACAGTGACTGCTGAAAACCTTTCTGAAATATCTAACTCCCACTACTGCCTGAGTAGGCAGATTTGCTGGGTGGAATCTTATCCTTGGAGATGAAAAGCACTCACTACTGAGTCTAGATGTCCATCATCCTGAGCAAATGACTTCATTGTCTTGGCCTGGGGATGAAGGTCAAGAGGATGGCAGACAAGGGCTTCATATCATGCTAAACTGAGAATTTATACAGACCTTTTCTCCCCACCATCAAGTCTGTCTTGTGACTCTGCATGAGTGAATAATCTTAGGAAGTAAAATTTCAGAATGATAGAGATTCAGTGTACAAAATCTGCAGAATACACAGTTCCCAAAGACAGGCCCATTCTGGGAAACCTGTGTGTGTATATATATCTTCAATATGTGTACAGAAATGCAAATTTCTGATCTCAAGTCAAATCATTCATTCATTAAATTCTAGCACTAGCTTTTTTGACTATCCTTTAATTTTGGCTCATCTTCTGGGAATTGGAGATGGCTACATATATTTAAAGTACATATGTTTGCATTTTTAGCCCCGCTGTTTAATAGAAAAGTGATTTACAATTCTGGACTGGCAGAGATAGATTCTGTGGTGGTGCAGTGGAGCACTTCCAGATGAGCTGAAAGATAGTTTCTGAGCATGAATTATATGTCCGCATGTAAACAGGAAGACAAGGAAAATGATGAATCATCTCCTACCATGTCTTAGTGCAAAGCTGCAGACTATATAATTTAAAATTTACTGTACTGCCAGCAATACCCATATAATGTGATCATACACAAAGAGCCTATCAAATACATTAAGAAACTAAAGCAATATGAAGGTTTCCTGCAACCCAAAGAAAGCCTATGAATAATTCACATTCCCATGCATGAGGCCATCTAAAGGTGACAACGACATGTGCAGGGTACCTAACTCTGAGGGAAACTGATGAATTAGCCAAGTAATCTGATTTAATATCAAGATGATATTTTGGTTACCTTGAAAGATAAGCTGCCCCTTCACATCTTTGAAGGTACTCTGTAAGCCTGGGCAGTTCAGGGTGACAGGACTTGTTGTAAGGCTGGGTGAGGTTGTGTGGATTAGGGACCCCAGATTCTAGTGATCCTGGCACTTCCTGCATCTCTCCTACTGCCTTTAATGGTCTAATGGCTGCTTTACCAGGATCCCAACTCACCCTCTATTCAAAGACAGTGTCAATGCATAATCCATCTCAGCACATGCACAGCTGATAAAATGGGGGAAACGATGGTGGATGGATTTTAAATGCGAAGGGCTTCAGCCTCTCTTGATTTATTTGGCTTCTTTTTTTCATATGTTAATTATAGTCAGGATGCTGAGAGAAATAAGGTTTCAGAGACAGGAAACCACAGTAGAGGGAGGACGCAGAATCACAGGTCATTCACTCCCGCCAGCTGCTCCAGATCTGGCCCACAGGCGCTCTGGTCCTCAGCCCTGCCCTCTGAGACAGACCAGGCTTGGGCAGCGTGGAGGAACCAAGCCCTTCCCTCTCTCCCTCCTGGGTGGTCACAGCAGGGCTCTTTGGCTCCTCCACCCTGAGCTGGGCAGGACATGGAATGGACTAGGAAGTTCACTGTGCCCCTGTCAGAGTGAGAAAGGGATGAGATGGGACCACAGCCTCGTGGAAGGTTTGAGCATGACCTGTCCATTTCTTAATAGACACCTTATTTGCACTAGCCTGGATGAGTGAAAGCTGGCTAAAGATGTACTTTTTATGTTGTTACAACAATATGTCTGTTGATAGCTCATAGGCTTTTATTTTCTTTTAGAAAATATAATTTTGTAAGAAGAGGTCCACCCTACCTCCTAAATAATTAAGTTTATTTCTAATACACATGGAATCTTACTGCCCAATTTACACACTAACATCCCAGAGACATGTTATTTGCAGTTGACAAAAGCACTTAATACTTTAAATTTGAGTTTCTGTTCCATCCCATTTCATTCTTTTCATGTGGGTCAAATGATTTGTGCTTCCATGCAAACCAACGCTTGAAATTTCCAAGGACCACTCTTACTTAACATGTGCTAGACATAGCTTCAGAGCTCAAAGTTTCTTTCAGATGAAGTAACCCGCACCAATGCTCCCATGAAAACAAGAGTAAACCCTCAAACTGTCCTTGTCATGAGGTGACCACTCAACTCCTTTATCTGTTTACCTTTGTGCCTTTTCCAAAAAAAAATTTGAGTGCTGTATTTATCAATGGGTAATTTGAGAGTTCTTTAAAAAAAAAAAGTAATCTGTTTCCTTAAAGTGGAGGCTTGTGCGTAAAATTGGACAAGGTAAGCATTTCTCTCACCTTTTGTGGGAAGGGTGTCTAAATATGGAACATGCAATTAGGATTAGAATAAATCTCATATTTCTAGTTGTTTCCTAGGATCTTTTTTTTTTTTAGAGAGGTTTCACTTCCACAGTTAAATCTCTACATCAGATTGAATTTAAGCTTTAACATATATATGAGGTTTATAATTTGAAAAAAAAAAAAAAAAACAACAGTAACACAAAAAACATGACCTCTGCTCAAACAACAGCAATAACGAACTTGTAAAGTCCACTTTACCCAAGGGCACAATCACATATAGGACAGGTTCCCACGAATGAAGATGAGCTGTCTTCCTCCTGGGACTCAGTGCCTGGGGAGCTGGCACTGATTCCCTGGGTAATAGAAGAATTACCCAATGGTTCTGTAATTTGAAAGGGAGCCTTTTAGAAGAGAGGATCATCATACACCCTCCAACCTCCTTATGGATGAAGGTGGATTTGTAAGAATCTCTGGGCCATTTGCTACCAATCCTTCTCCTTTATCCCTCCTCAAAGCCACGAGCTCCTGAAGGCCCTGCCCTAGTCCTTGGACCAAGCATGAGCTCTATTCCTGGAACTGGCCCTTCCGCATACCTCAATCTTCCAAATCCCTATGTTATGATGGCTACATGACCACACCCTTGATTATGCATCCTCAAGTAAGGGTCACTGTCCAGTGCTTTTCCAGAGGGTATTTAGTAGGAGCCCTATGGTAAGATCTGTCATTGCCAAAAGCTGTGGCAGACAGTCTCTGGGCATGTCCGCCGGGGATGAATCCCAAGAGGCTTGCCCTGTCCCTGATTTCCCAGAGTTTGTATTTGTTGTGGTCTCCTCCCTGAGTTAGCTCAGCACTCAATGCGTCCCGTGGGGTCCCTGGAGCCAGGCTGCTCTGGGCTTCTCCTCTGTTCAGATGCTCAGAGATAAGCTCATTGCCAACTGGGCACGTGCTTACAGAACCTCAACACTGCTGTGGTTCCTGGCAGAGGAAGGGAAAAAGAGGACCGACCAGAATGCAGCTGTTCACTGGGCCCACGACTGCCCTCTCTGCAGCCTTTTAGAAGAAGCAGTACGTATCTAGTATAAGATAGATTCATGCTGTTGTTTGGTTGGCTGGTTGAAGAATTCAGCCTACTATTCAGAAAATTCCTCAAAAGTACCCTTGCCCTCCATATCAGTCAGCTGCAGAGACTTAATAAATCAAAGAACCTGGCGACCCAGAGAGGGGAAGGTGCTCTAGGCCAGTGTTTCTTTTCAAAGTGCAAGTAAACTATTTGGGGATCTCCTCATCATGTTGATTCTGGGCCAGCCTACTTAGGTGGAAGCTGAGATGCTGCATTTCCAAAAGACTGTCTGGTGACACCCAGATGCTGTTCCAGACACCACACTTTTGCATAGAAAGGATAGGAAAGGCCCTTTCTCCTCCTGCCATTATCAATCTACTGGGAGAGACAAGATAAAGTCTATCTCTTCCCTTTGAGTGTGACGATCTTAACTGGCTTCAAGGAAGGAACTCTGGTATTAGTATTCTTTGTTTTGTTTAACCTCCAAAACCATCCGCACACCACAGAGCCTCTCAACTGTTTCTCAGTTCTATAAATCCACTTGATATAACCTCCTCATGATATGGTTTGGCTCTGTGTCCCCACCCAAATCTCATCTTGAATTGTAATCCCCACCTGTGGAGGAGGGGACCTGGTGGGAGGTGACTGTATTACGGGGGAGGTTTCCCATATGCTGTTCTCATGATAGAAAGTTCTCATGCAATCTGATGGCTTCAAAATGTCAGTTTCCCCTGCATGCTTTGTCTCCTGCTGCCATGTAAAACATGCCTCGCTTCCCCTTTGCCTTCCACCTTCCGCCATCACTGTAACTTTCCTGAGACCTCCCCAGCCATGTAGAACTGTGAGTGAATTAAACCTGTTTTCTTCATAAATTACCCAGTCTCAGGTAGTACCTTTATAGCACTGTGAAAATGGGCTAATACACCCCATCTCTCTTTAAGTGGAAAGGCAACCGGGGGGCTAACATTTATTAGGCTGCTTCGGTACACTAGGAAAGAGTGCATCAAGGCTTACAACAACACTGCAAGACACATATTTTGTTTTGAGACTGGATCCCACTGTGTCACCCAGGCTACAGTGCAGCAGCACAGTCATGACTCACAGCATCCTTGACTTTCTGGACTCAAGCCATCCTCCCACCTGAGCCTCCTAACTAGCTAGGACTATAGGCACACACCCCCACACCTGGCTAATTTCTTTCTACTTTTGGTAAAGACGGGTCTCACTATGTTTCCCAGCCTGGTCTCGAACTCTTAGGCTCAAGCAATCCACCCACCTCAGCCTCCCAAAGTGTTGGAATTACAGGTGTGAGCCACCATGCCCAGTGAAGATACATATTTTTATCCCTAGTTTACTGATAAGGAAACACAAACTTGGAGTGTTTAAGCAATTTGCTAACAGTGTCCATCAGAAGTAGGCAGGCAAGGTGGCGTTTGGAGGTGGTGCTCTTTGAACCCAAGTGTGCCCAACTCTTTCCTCTCCACATCACAGTGGCTGTTTATTTAATAATTCATCATTCTTTCAGTTAACACAGCACCTGTGATGTGCCAGGCACTAGGCTGGTGAATTCTCTGCAGCAAAGACCTCAGAGGTCATGAGAACCCATGAGCACATCAAGTCCTTTTCTGGAGGCTCCACATCAAGAGCACATTTCTTACATCACTATTTCAAACAATCTGATGTAAAATAGATCCTGGCTTAATGCTTTGGTGAATAAATTGGGTTGCTGAAATTTTCGAGAGCCTTTGGTCTTGAAATCCCCATCATTCTGAACCTAAACACATATCTGAACTGTGTGAAGTGTGCTGATAGTGTCTGTCACCATCTCAAATAAACAGCGACTTTGCTCCTCATTAGTGGTTATGCCTGCAAAGCTTTGAAAGTTTCCAGCCAGCTGTCCTTGGGGGCTTCATGTTTCCTAAGAACTGCTACTTAGAGGCATGATGTCGTTGCTGGAAAAGGAGGAAGTCGATAACTCTCAAAGACCATCTTCCCATTTGCTCAGCCCTCATGTTACTGGTGAGCAGGGAGGAGAGTGGATTCTGTCTTGAAGCGAAGGCCGCTGGCTGGGAAGTTGTCTTCCTTCTGTCCCTGCTTTTCCAGGGTCTCCTCCCTGGCCTGTGTTCAGGCTGTCATGTATCATCTACCGAATGCATTTGTCTCAAGGGACCGCATGACGGGCACAGCTAAGACTGCTCCTATGATTTCAATTAATTCACCCAGGCTAAAGGGGAGGCTGTGGGGATCAGTCACAGGGTTGGGGGGTGGTGGGGTTCAAATCTTAATATGTGAAAGTGCCACAGGGCACACACAACTGTAGAGACAAACAGAATGCTCATCTTCTGGCAGGCACAGTGGTCAGACCTCAGATGGCCTCCCAGCTCTGTGTGCGAGGCTTCTTGGACGTGCATTGCCAAGGGCACTGATGAAGCTGAGTGGTTGGATTCTTTTGTATCCACATTACATTGGGAACTCTTTGTCCTTGCAGCAATTCCTCACTGAACACTCAGGGTGGTGATGAGGCATAAAAAGAACAGGCATCAACTTGGAAACACATGCTTTAAGTCAGGGCAGAGAAACAATAAGTTGCAGCCTTCATGGCCTGGACTACCTCTAGGAAACTGGTTATATGATTTTTGTTTATACATATATGTCAAATACTTGCTACACATTCTGAAATAAAAGTATTGAATTGCTACTTGCAAACTCTCTTCCCCTGGCCCTGTGTCAGCCCTGACCCTGACCACGGTGGCTCCTTTTTTGAAGCTGCAGGTCTGGATTACGTCTACATTTGGAATCATGCTCCCAGGTGCCAAGAGCGCTGGCTGAACCCACACTGCTTGGACCATCAGAGCAGGTGGCATCCTCCCACCTGTGGAGGACACAGCCCTTCGAGAGCAGCAGAGGATTCTGAGCAAGCGCTGATGTCTGGTCTTTGTCTGTTTCCCTGCCAACATGGTGTGCTCCAATGCCCTTGTTCCTTGAGCATTTTTGTAGAATGCCTTCTGGATCTCCTCCTTGT
Organism: Homo sapiens; assembly: GCF_000001405.40. Taxonomy (NCBI): domain Eukaryota; kingdom Metazoa; phylum Chordata; class Mammalia; order Primates; family Hominidae; genus Homo; species Homo sapiens. The sequence goes on along the minus strand of NC_000007.14, from coordinate 154,212,939 downwards.
CCTGGGGCTAAACTTGTCCTTGGGAAGTGAACTCAGAGATGTTTCCTGGATGAGGTCCTCCTGCCTGCTCTGAGGCCCGAGCTAGTACCCCACCTGTGTGCTCCTCAGCATCCATCCTGCTCTTCTGTCATGGCACCTGCCATCTTGCATTCTAACAATTACTCTGTGTTCTCTCCCAGCTGATTGTGATTTTCAAGGTCAAGGATTTTATCCTAGATGAGATTACATATTAGGTCCTCAACAATTGATGGTTTCCATAAATAAATAGGGCATCCATTTCTACTTATACAATAGGTGACCAAGAAGCACTTGCTGATTGATTGAGCTCCGAGACCTCGATCATCCTCATGCTCCCCGGCTCTCCCAGGCCCTGAGTGCTACGGCATCACACGTCCATACATTTATGGCTAAAGGGACCCCCAGCACTGGAATCACCTGCCCTCTCCCTGGGTTGCTTTAATCATGGAGGAAAAGTTGGTCAGGTTTGAATTCTCAATGTTAATTATTTAAGGCAAATAGAGTCCTTGTTTTGTGAGCATTCTGAAGCCTCATTTATTTTTCATTTATCTTTCTGGAATTCCTATGAGCTAGATGTCTTTATTTTCTTAGGGAATACTGCACAGACATGAGTAATGCATTTGGTATTTCTTTTAAGGTATAAGAAGTTGAAAGCGCCTGGGGAAACTGTCCTGAAATGAGAAAATCAGCATGTTCTGGAATGTGGCTGTAGGAATATGATAAGACTCACTAACGTTTTCTGAAGTTGAAGTTGTCTCCACAGAGAAGAGGCAGGCATGGGAGTGATGGCAGTTTCATACTCGATTGTCCAGCACTGATGAGCCATGTGATGGAGGCAAGGTACCCACCCTGTCTGGGCCTGCCTTTCTCATGTATAAAGTGAAGAATACCTGCCTGTCCCCGATGCCCAGTGAGGGGCAGCTGAGATGAGGGAGGAAGGGGCAGGGCGCTGTGACAAGCCCACAGGAGGAGTTTGAGAAATATCATCCCTTCCCAAGTAACACCACGTCAATTCATAATGGGGAGGTTTAGATTCAGCATGAAAGGCCTCAAGACAAGGCTGTCCCTTCCCTGTGTGGACCCTGATGAGGGCAGGTGGAAGCCTGGGGTTTCATCACCTCCAGCACAGACACAGAGGAGAGCCAGCTGAAAGCTGCAGCCCGGATGGCAACTTGGTGACTGCAGTTGCACGAGGGCCACTGGTCCTCTGAGTAAACAGTTTCCGCAGACCAATGCCTCCTTGTGTGTATGGAGGTGGAGAAGAGGGCAAAGATTGGGCCCTGGGATTATCTGTTCTAAAGCCAAAAAGAGAGCCATAAATGCGCATTTCTTCCCCGGTACTGGTGAAAAGGTCAGCAAACACCCTTACAAACCAACAATTCATTTTGAAAGAGCAGGATGTTCACTCTTTGGCTGATCCTAGCATTACATAAACAACATCAACTGGTAACACTTCCCTCTCCTCACTTCCAGAGCGAAGGGGTCGGGAAGAAACATGGAGATGGACGTGAGGGGTGCTCGCTGGAAAAACCCAGTGACTCCCTGACTCAGGTGTGGAATCCTCCTGGCAGGTTTTCCTCCTCATGAACCTATGCCCAGGTGGGGGCTGTCTGCCTGCTCGTTCCCTCCTGTCATGTACCTATGCCCAGGTGGGGGCTGTCTGCCAGCTTGTTCCCTCCTCCAGCCATCCCACATTGGCCACATCTGGATTCTAAATAATGCTGATGCTGGTTCTGTACCAGGAAGAGAGAAAGGAGCTGGGCTTCTCTGCTGTCTTGCTTTCCTAAGACAACTGGGTCCAAGTAAGAGGAAGCACTAACAGAGGCATCTGGGAAGTGCTGAGACCCCGGGGTTCCTATGACCTGTGCCAGCTGGATGGATCCAGTTTGGGCAACAGTTTAGCTCCCAGCTCCACTATCGACTAACTGAGAGGGCACTCCAGGCCTGTTTCTTTTTCTATGAAATGAGAATATACCCAGCTTATAAGATTGCTTTAGGATCAAATTGGATGATATAAATAAAGTGGTTAGCACTGTCCCTGGCATCTAACGATTACGGCTGCCTTTTTCTTTTGTCTTTTTTTTTCCTTTTTGCACAATTACCACTATAATGGTTCTCTTCTCCCTCATAGATAACTTGCTCTTTCTAGGAACTCAGGGTGTCTCCAGCCCGGCCTCCCTGGACAGACCTCAATTTTCAGGTCTCTCTTACCCCTTCCTCTACCAGCATGTCTTTGCCTATACCCTCAGGGCTCGTCCAGGTGCCTGGCGGTCACTTCATTAACGAATTTCTGTGTTTTGCTGACTGTGTCTTCTATTTGCCAGACAACACACTGAGGTTAAATAATAAAAATAACTAATGTTATTGCATAGTAGAATGCACCAGACACTCACAAGTTTTTCCTAGGTATTAATCATAGAATCCTTCCAACACCATTATCAGGTAGATACTGCAATTACTGCTATTTTAAATTTTGCCAGAAGTTATCCAGTTAGTAAGAAGAAAAGCTGGCACTCAATTCTGCAGCCTGGCCCCAGAGTTCAAGCAACTCACTAACACAGTGTTGGATGAGAGAATTTTGGGCACCGTGGCAGGTCACTGGAAAGGACAGGTTTGCTCAGGGAAGACCTCACACACCTCGGGACATCACGCCCCCTGCCATTGACTGCAGGACTGTCCTAATGACAGCATGAACTTCTGAGGGCCTGAAGGAGAGCAGGCTTGGGAGAGCCACACAGGTTCCCCTTGGCTGGACAAGGAGGCAGCCATGGTATTGATCCTTTTCAAGACCTGTTTCCCTGTAATGAATCCCTTTCTTCCAACAAATGACTCCTCTTCACCATCATTTGGTAGAAAATTGAGAGTAATGAGGTTTTCCCAACCAAGCCAGAGAGGGTGGAGTTTGAAGATAGAGGTGTTTCCAGGCAGCACTTGCAGCTTCCTCACTTGGATGTCTCTCCTGGAAGTCCTATTGCCTTGGACACATGAACACTGGGGTCTAACTGCATGCATATCTGTTAGTGTTTTCAATCAAGGGCCAGGGGTCCATGCCCTTTGACTGTCTTGTTCCTCCCTTTGGCAAGGAAGAATGAAGAAATGCAATCTTAATATTCCTATTCTTGAACCGATGGCAAGTATTAGCAACACAATGATGACTGATGCCCATTGTGGATTCCTGACCTGGCTTTTCACAGTATCCAGAAGCAAAAAGCAATTTCCGAACTCACTGTAGGAAACGATGATGATAATTCATGGTGGTTTGCACTGGGCTTCTTTACACTTAAGAGATTATTTTATGAGGATGGAAACTAGGTACGCTTGGTATCACTGGATCTTTTTCAGTCGCAGCTGAAGAAAGGTTTTTTGTTTTTTTTTTTTAACTTCAACTTGTTCACAATAGCTGAGAGTTACTAGATTTTAATCTAGAGTTACTGGATTTTAATCTCTAGAGTTAACTAGATTTAAAACTAGAGTTACCACTGCCCATTTTATAAACCCTTAGGTGATAATGAGAGGCACAAAGGAATGCTGCAGAAAGACACATCCATGGAGGCTGAGTTTTGCAAATAAAACCTGCTTCAACATGGAACCCTCCAGTAGCCTTTATGTAAATGTAGGACTTAAGTGGAAAGAGAAGGAGGATAAATATTCTAGCAGGTGCTGCAGAATGCACTGAATAGGCTGAAATGACACACGTTTTTTTCACGACTGAGACAACCTTTGCATCTAAGGGAAGTCTAATAGTTCTCCTCGGGGATCACATGTATCTCTCACCTATTTTTGTTACGTGAATCAAGATGGCGAACTCTCCATCCAGATCCTCATTGAAACAAAATACAACACATTTCTTTAAGTTTCCACTGGAGGGGACCTGACAACTCTAACTTCCTGCTGAGCACGTTCTTAAATTTTTGGGAGGTGGAAATCACTGTTGTAAAATGCTCTGAGTGTGTGTGTCCATGTGCATGTGTTTCTTTGATATTTAACAGTTTAGTAGACGTGTATAAATTATTTAGGCAAGGAAAGAATCTTTAAAGCCTACATATTTAATATGTTCTAAATTCTGATTTAGGAGGCAGAGTGTAGGAGGAAGAAAGTTATATTCTGATGAGACAGAGATCCAGACTGAGGCTGCCCTATTTTTTTTTTTTTACTTCAATTCCAAGACCTGATTTTTTAATGCCAAAGATGAAAACTTATTTCCCTGACTGTGCTATCTGGAGCATCACCTCAAAACTGTGATCCTTTTACAATAGCTTTCCAACACACAATTGCCAATTAAACTGTGCATTTAACATTTGCACAAAGCACTCCATTTTCTTTTGTTGGGGATTCAAGCTTTTAAGTCAGCCGATCAATTCTGCAAATTATGTAAGTACATAGCGCTTACTTAATATTTATTCTGTTGGGCAGAGTGGAATATAACTAGGCAGTGACAAATAGCACTTTGCACGCTGCAGATGGGATGAGTCAGCGGGGTGTCTGGGCCTTGCGAAGCCCTGGCTGTCTTTGGTTGTGAAGGGGTCTTCAAATAACTGGTGGAAATGTATGTGGTGTAATGCTGGCAACAGCAAGGAGAGTTCAGCTCTATTTTTGGCCAAGGAAATGCTTCCTTGTCTCTAGCCAACTCTTACCTAGTCATAATTTTTGCAGCCTCCATTTCTGGATCTCTGTAAATGCTATGAGGCATTCCAGTAGTGAAAGTTTTTGATATTATGGGGTCCAGAGTTCCAGGGCCTCTTTCTTCCCTAAGTGACTGCCGGAAATCAAGGCTTGCTTTGCCAAGTTAGTTAACACTTATAGAGGTTGTTTATTTTTCTTTCTTTTATTAAATAACAAGGAACCAGTAACCAATGCCTGTTTTCTTTATCATATCACAGGAATAAAAAACAAGTGATATGTAATTAGAAATACCCAATTACATGTAAAAAACGGGAATACACATATTCTTAAATTTTTTTTTTTTTTTGAGGCAGTCTCACTCTGTTGCCCAGGCTGGAGTGCAGTGGCATGATCGTGGCCCACTGCAACCTCTGCCTCCCAGGTTCAAGTGATTCTCCTGCCTCAGCCTCTCGAGTAGCTGGGATTACAGGCCTGCGCCATCGCATCCGGCTACGTTAAAAAAATTATTTCTTCTTCAAATTCCCTTTCCAAAAAAAGATTCTCTGGGTTCTGCTTCTTCATTTATAAAAAGATAGTATGTATTGGAAGATCTCTTCCAGATATACTCTGTATATTGCTCTAGGTTTGTTTACAGTCAAACTTGTTTTGTAGTTAGAGTGAAAATCATCTTAATTCTGGCTGTAACTGATTCATTGCAAATTACAAACTACCATACAAAGTTTTCAGGCCCTAAGCAACTATGCAGCCTCAGCAGACAATGCCTCTGGTCTTCAGAGGTGTCCGTGAATGATAAGCTGTGTTTCTGAAAAGCTTTGGAGAGCCCAACAGGTGAAGTGGTCTGACTGGTCTGATTTAGGTGCACAGACATTAAATACAACACTTGTATATGTTTGGTGTTAATGCTAGATTTTTTTTAAGATCATGCCAATTGATAAATATATAAAATCTAAAAGTAAAATACGCATCCTCCAAATATTGCACTTTTTTACTACATGGACACCAACGGCATTACAATTGCAAATTCAAAATGTCAGGAAATGCCTATGATTGGGTTTTCACAGTTAAATTGGTTAACTTGAGTTGCTTGTATTAAGCCCTGGATTTTAAAGCACCAGACAGTCATTAGAACTTTTATATGTGTGCTATGTGGGTGTGTTAATGTGGCTTTGCCAACAACAATATTCCACATTTTCATCTTGATAATGCCCTCATCAAATTCTTCGAATCTGGATACGCAAAGGCCCCACTTTTGTGTCTCCAGCTATGTAAGGGGCCAGCGTGGAGCACAGCAGCACTTCGGTACCCTTTCCTTTCCACCCCTTGCTGCTCATCTCAGCCCTTCCTTGCATACCTTCATGAATGCTCTAGCTACACCTCATGTCTGAAAGAAGACTGGGCACTTCACCTTGGAAGTGACCCCATACGCATTTAAAAATAATGTATGCAGGTGAAATTCACATCACACAGCATTAACCATTTCAAAGTGAACAATTCCATGTCATCTATTTAGTACATTCCCAGCATTGTGCAGCCACCACTTCCATCCAGTTCCAAAACATTTCCATCGCTCTACAGTAAAACCCCGTATCACATGCATTTTTTTCTAGGGCATGTCAAAGATTTCTGATATCTTGATGAGAAAAGAGAATGCATTGAGAAAGCGGTCAACTTTATACAATCTTACAATTATCTGGATGGATTGGTGAGGGCCCAGGTAGGTGAGGTCATAGTGAAGAAAGGTCAAGTGACTCAGCTATACGGGCTTGGACACGTTGGGAGAGTTTCTCAGGTACGTGAAAAGGTTGCTTTGCGAGCTGTTATGACCCCCGATGAGCAATATGTCTGGGGCAAGAGCATATTCAAGGACAGGAATTTAAGGCTTCTCCCTTCTTTGCTTTCTCTGGCATGCCATGCCTCTGTGCTGCCTGTGCTATGGGACAAGGGGAATGGGTGGTGCACAGGCTTAGAGATGCCAGAGGAGGTTGCTAATTTATGTAAGAGAGCACAGAGGTTCGGAGAACAAGGGCCGAGGACCGGCAAAGATCTTGATGAGAGCCACGGTGCTGGTTGATAGAGGCTGGGATATTCTTTGAGGGGAAGGAAGAGAAGAAGAGAAGAGAGGGAAGGGCCAGCTGTGTGAGCATGAGGACTTTGGTCAGAGACAGCATAAGGAGGATGTCTTATTTTGTGTTGTGGGACATCCTGCCCTTTGGCTGCTTCTTTAGAGACCTTCATTCAAAAATGTTTACAAATGGAACTCTCAGAGGCATTAAGGAGATGCCTTTCCTTGGATGGCATCATGGTGTGGAGGCCAGCCTCAGGCAAGGGTCAGAGGCCGAGGGTGGTCTGGGGGCATCAGCCTGAGCCCACTTGTGCCTGCTCCTGCACACACAGGCAGGACCAAGAGAGGCCACGGCTGCTCCAGTGCCCACAAAGGCTGGGATGGCTGAGAATCCCCTTTGTGGCTGGCAGTAAGAGGGCATCTTGAGCGTTTTTAGTTAATTAATTAATTAATTTTTTTTTTTTTTTAACAATTCTAGGTTTGGTGGAATTAAAAAGAGCTTTGCCCAGTCTGAGCTGTAAAAGACCTCATGGCGGAGGAGTGCTCCGGGCCTGGAGGCCGGATCTCTGCTGTGAGCTCAGGCTGTGCCATGGGTGATCCCTGGGCATGACACCTCAGGTCTCTCAGCCTTCAGGTCCTCATCACTCAAAGAAGGGAACTGTTCAGCCCTGAAATCATCAGATTTGGACTCTAGGATTTCAGAATCAGGATTCCTCCAAGATTGAAACCATATCAGTGTATATACATGATCCCCAGAGAAATATGCCAAGAGGAAAAAAGCCAATCCCAAAAGGTCACACACCTATGGCTCCATTTATTTAACTACATGAAATGACAAGATTATAGAAATGAGAATGGATCAGTGGTTGTCAGGGTTCTGGATGGGTAGGGCTTGGAGGGAGTGGTCATAAAGACAACAGGAGGGGTCCTGTGAGGACAGAAATGTCCTGTATCATGACTACATCCATGTCAATGTCCTGGGTGTTACCACTGGAGGAAACTGGGGAAAGGGTACAAGGGCTCTCTCTGTATTATTTCCTGTAAGTGCATGTGAATCTGCAATTATCTCAAAATACAAAGTTTAATTTAAAAAACAGAAAAAAAAAACCACATCGAAGTTGTTCTTTAAAATGGAGGAAGAAGCACTTAGAGAGAAATAATATCAGCAATGACTAATGAAGGACCAGAGGGTGTATCAGAGTGGCATTGAAAAAAGGTGCTTATTAAAATGTAAAGATTGGAGCAGGCTATGATCTAAGCTGTCATCTAACGCCTGTGACAGACAAAATGGAGTTCAGTGCAGGAAAGAGTGACTCATGCATATTCAGCTTATGATTGAACAATGGTTATAACTGTATATATTATGAGTTCCGGAGTACACATATATCCATATATACGGTATAAACACATGCAGGTACACATACTCACACACGTACAGACACACACACACACAAGGTCATCAAGCTAGTTAAGAGCAGTCCTAGGTTATTGCTGCTTCCAAAGTATGAGCTCTCCTACAGAATAAATCTTGCCACAGAAAAGAAATACACTTTCCCCCTACTTAACCACGCCCAGGACCTGCCGCAAGGGTGTCGGCAGCCATGAGACATTTCACCTACCCATGGAAATGGGGCTCGCAGGTCTGAGCAGCGTCCCTTCCAATGAGTCTCAGGTTTGCCGTGTGTTCACACTGGGGAGAGGAGGCCGATGATGATAATGGGCTCTTTTGATATCAGAAGCACCCTTAAGTCATTGAATAATTAATTCTTCCCAGCATCACTCTACACAAGGGTGAATGGCTTCTCATTCTATGCTATAAGCTGGAAATAAGCAGGGATCTTGAGTGGCGTGCCCAGTGCCACAAAGAGGATGAGATTAAAACTCCATGACTCCCTCCCCACTTCCCATCCAGGAGACACAGGAGCTGTCAAAGCAGTTTAGTTCCTCACTAATGCATATTTGGCCCATTTGAAGCAATCTCTGTTCAACTTTCCAGGGGGCATTTTGTCCACGGATGGGACTGGAGACAGAATGGTGAGGATGCCCATGCCACTCTGTGCCTGACACTGATCATGTGGACATTGTTCCTGGATGCAACACACCACTGCGCAGGTGGCACTGCCCTGCAGGATGACCAGGCAGGTAAATGCACGTAAGAGGAAGCAACTGTAAAGCAGAAACAGGATTGCTATGGAAAATCGGCGCCTTCCCAGGGCTCACTTTCTGGGATATATTGTAACAGCTCCTCTGACATCCACTTACAATAGCAACTATTTATTAAGCACTTCTATTTTTAACAGACTCTTTCTCTATAATATGTCATTTTCACAAAAACACACAAAAATAGATGTTACTGCCTCTATCTTCTTATAAGAAACTGAGGCAAAGTAAATGTAGACGACTTGAGGAGGGAAACGGGGTTACAGGTGTGAGCTGCAGTTTGGACAAATATCCGCCTGCCTCTCTCTAGATCAGGCGCTTCCACTGCACTACGGCCTCACAGATCAGAAGAGAGAGGCCTCTTTCCAGGTGTCTTATTATTTCTTCACTTTTGGTTGCAGCTATTTCCTCCAATTCTCTCCTGCTCTCCTGCCCTTACATGCACACATCGCACATATGTATTAGGATATGTCGCTTGCTTGGTGCTCAGTTGGGTGTGTCTGTCCTTCATTATGCCTCATCTCTGCTGTGGTCTTTGACTGCAAACCTGGAGGGGCAGTGATAGGATGTGACAGCTGTGCAGAGCCCAGTCCGTAAGCACAGACAGGCTTCTGAGCAGAGGTCAGGAGGCTGAAGAATGACCTGCGAGGACAAGGCTGCAGCATGTCACCTTCAGATGGCTTCAACTCTGGGTGGTGGCTCTGCCTGTGGCATGTAGAGGATACTGGAAAATTCAGGCTAAGGTAAGCATTCCTTCAGTGATGGGGCTTTGGGCCTGGTTTATGGGATCATTGTTTCCGTATTCCACTACCCACCTGTATTTGCGCAACTTCAGGCATCAACACATCAGCAGCCCCATGCACTCTAAATGCTAGCTGCAAACATTATATGCCGGGCATGAGCTAACTTTAGCTCATTTCCGTATTTAATACTCTCCAAAATGTATTGTTATGATTTTTATTATCCCCATTTTCAAGTGAGTGGGAAAATCTTAATTTAAGTAATTTATTCAAGGTCACCACCTAGTAAGCGGCAAAATCAGAACTTGAACCCAAAGTTATCTGCTTTAATGTCCTGATTGTCAATCCTTATTATGTACTCCTAAGTCAAACCCTGGCCTGTGTCCCCATCAGGTAAAAAAATAAAATGCTTCGTGTGTATGTATGCATGCCTGTGCCTGTTAGCTGACATTTGGAAAAAAATTAAAGGCCTAATATAGTCCAGGTTCTGTGCTTAGCTCTGGGGACTCAGACAAAATGCCTTTGTTATTTGCCTGCAAGAAGCTCAAGGCATGGAAGGAAGGAGGCATGTTAAAAACCCTTGCCCTGTTGTGAGTGGAAGAAGATTCTGGGGAATGGAGGGGCCCTGAACTAACAGGGCCCAGTGGCCCCGGCCTGTAGTAGGAGGGGATGACGGGTTCACAGGAGCCGACATGCAGATGTAATAGCTGGTGCTGAATTCCAGGTGTGGGTGAGCCCTGAAGGAAGCTGCTCGGAAAGGGGCAGAAGGATGGAGGAGTGGAATCACGTCCGGTTTGGGGGAAACTAACAGGGTTTTGGTGAATGTCAAGTGCAGAGCCGTAGGAAATTGGGGGAGGGAAGCCTGGCCAAAATATATGATTATTACTAACCAAAATGAAATGGAAGGGCTTGCATTTTCACAGAAATGTATGAATGTGTTCGGCATCCTTACCACTGTTCCGGTAGGAGCTGGCCATGGTTGTCTGTTTTCTTCTCTGTCCCCTTATTGTCACCGTATTTTTACTCCTCCAATGGATCTATTTCAATACATCCTTTTGTGTGCATTGCTGTTAACTGACTGTAAACCCTATGAGGAGAGACCCAGCGCATGGCCAGCCTTGCATTCCCAGAACACACCAGGCATCTGGAATGCACGACTCATGCCATGGACATTTGGGAAATGGGGAAATGCATGAGCATTTTATATAGTGCTTTATCACTTCCAAACTCCATCACACGATTTACTTATTTAAATTCCCAAAACTCACTCCAAGAAAACTAGTCGTAGCTCCACTTTTAGGTACTACTAACTGTAGTGGGTGAAAAAGGTCCTAATTTAACAAAAACTGGTAAGTGTTTGAGATGCGCTGCCTTATTTAATCTCTGGAGTAACTCTGTGATACAAGAATTATTGCAATGATTTAACAAAAAAAATTAAAAAACAGATCTAGGAAGTTTAGGTAATTGGATCAAGATCTCAGAGTGCTTAAGTGATGGTTTCAGGACATGTGTTTAGGTTTTTGATTGAGAAACTCTTTTCAATGGTATGCAGACCCACTGATGTGGTTACACTTTCCTTTCAATAGAACCATGACACACGGATCACGGATTTACTAACTGCTATTCTTGGAGTCCCTGTTTCCTATGGATCTATCTGCAGCTGTACCTTACACATACACTAGAGGGTACAGAAATGACTCATTCACTGCACGTAGCCAACCTCCACAGTCCGGCGTGGGACCTGCTGCCCCAATACTTTCTTATTTAGGAGTGAAGGGTTTTCAGAATCTGGAATTTAAATGTGGATGAGGCCCTAATTGGAATGAATGTTTTAGGTAGGCATAAGCCTTAACCCACTTTTAACAATCTTCAATTGCCTAGAAAAATTCACTTTTACAGGACAATCCTGGTCAGGCGTGGTGGCTCACATCTGTAATCCCAGCACTTTGGGAGGCCAAGGTGGGTGGATCACCTGAGGTCAGGAGTTCAAGACTAGCTTGGCCAACATGGTGAAACCCTGTCTCTACTACAAATACAAAAAATTAGCTGGGCATGGTGGCAGGTGCCTGTAATCCCAGCTACTCGGCAGGCTGAGGCAGGAAAATTTCTTGAATCCAGGAGGCGGAGGTTGCAGTTAGCCGAGATCGCACCACTGCATTCCAGCCTGGGGGACAGGAGGGAAACTCCATCTCAAAAAAAAACAACAACAAAAAAAGGCAATCCTTTCCCCACCACCCACAACTATAATGCAAGTTTGTATCTCTGCTGTTGATTAGGAAACTTGACCACGTCAGAATATTCAGCGAGACAAGTTCCACCGTGCCCTCTGCTTCCTGCATTAATCTCAAAGGGATGTCATTTTGATGGGGAAGAGAAGCCCACAATTTTTTTTTTTAAAGGAAACCAATTCTAAGAAGATTCTATACTAATCTTATATTGAGGACCATCAGAAGAGATTAGGAAGTTTTGCTTTCTTGGACAGCATTTGTTCAATTAATACAGAGCTTCACAGCTGGTGTCCAGGCGGGGCTAACTTTCTAGGTGTTAGACACTTTGCTACCTTGCATTTCCGTATTCTAAAATAATAGTACTGCTTTGGTTTTCTTTTAATCATTCACTATTCTTCCAAAGAAAACTCAAGAGAAAAAAGTACAATATTTACAACCTAATTCAGGAGCACTAAGGCATTCTTCAGAGTCCTCACGAGACAGAAATCATGAGGTCACAGCTGTTTTGACATTTTCTAAGACAAAAATGCCTAAGAATGGCCTGAGTAGTTTTTAGTACTGACCTTTAGCATTTGTGTTAGCAAATGCCCCTCAAACCTTTTCCCCAGCGGCTCAGTGTTTATTAAAGACTCAGGTCTCCTCCAATCTCCACCCGGCGGTTCTCACCCTCAGCTGCACACTAGCGTTCGATAGATCAGCAGGGTGGCTGCAGCATACACTCATCTACTGTGCATTTCAAAATAGCGAGAAGGGAATCATTTGAATGTTCCTAGCATAAAGACAAATATTTAAGGTAATGAAGATCCTAAGTACTCTGATTTGCTCTTTACAAATTATATGAATGTACTTAATTATCACATGTACCCCAAAACTATATGCATTGATTATGCATCAATAAAAAATTGTTTAAAAAAAAAGGAGCCAGGAAAGAAAAAGCCTTCCAAAGCCAAGCTACACCCTGGACTGATTAAATAAGAATCTATGGTATGTGACTGATGACCGATGTATGTGTTCCGTGTTTGATTTTGAATTGGTATTATTATTTCTTTCTTTCTTAAAAGCTCCGAGTAATTCCATTGTGCAGCTGGGGTTGAGGAGACTGCTAAGCCCAGCAGCCTGTGAGTCCAGGCATTACGGGCGGGGCTCTGCACTGACAATCAGGAGATTTTTTTGTTGTTATTTGTTTTAAAGTAGCTGAGAAAGCAGGGCATGGTGGCTCACGCCTGTAATCCCAGCACTTTGGGAGGCTGAGGCAGGCGGATCACTTGAGGTCAGGAGTTAGACACTAGCCTGACCAACATGGCGAAAACCTGTCTCTACTAAAAGCACAAAAAAGCTGGGCATGGTGGTGTGTGCCTGTAATCTCAGCTACTCAGAAGGCTGAGGCAGGAGAATCACTTGAACCCAGGAGGCGGACCTTGCAGTGAGCCAGGATCACACCACTGCACTCTAGCCTTGGTGACTGAGCAAGACTCCATCTCAAAAAAAAAGAAAAAAAAAAAAGTGGCTGAGAGTATAGATGCCATGAGGTTAATTTTTATTATAAACTCAGTGCTAGGCTTCTATGCAAATTCTTCATGAATATCTAAAGGACGGGCAAATAAATGAACAAAATGTGTACTTCTAACTCAGCTACCAATTAAGTTTGCCCAAAGTCCCTTAAGCAAATCAATTATTCATCTAAAAAAATGACTCCTACCTAGTTACTAGGGAATAGTGGAAACCAGGTGAGGCAATGTAGAAAGGAAAAGAACCCGGATGAAACAGCATCAATATTAACGTGCATTTTAGGAGCAGCGCCTACTGAAAATGGATGAGTGACAACATGAGGAGCAGGGACGCTTAGGATAACCCACACCTATCTCCGTACAGCCTTTGGGGCTGAATAGCCTGCAAACAGCCCACAAGCCTTCTCCAAATGTTGGTGGGCATTTGAAACTCCTGACGACTTGCAATTAGGGGAGAAGGAAATAAAAGGGAACGTGAGGACTTGACTCAGGGGCCAGGGCTCCAAGCAGCCTCGAGGAACCCCAGCTGCTGTCTCCTGCCAGGTGTCCCCACATTTGGGCAAATCCACCAAAAAAAAAAAACCCTAGTAAACCAATAGCCCAGGTGAAGGATTTGGGAGGACCATAACGATGATCAACAGAAACTGTGATTGTGTTCATGGGCTATAGCAGGGAAAGCCAGGAAAAGGGGCTGTGGGTTCAGATGGACTGGAAACTAACACAGCCGGGTTTTACCAACTCAACCCACCCTCGTCAGGCCCTCATCCAAGGCCAAGAGTCATTCCTAAGATGAGAGACTGAAGGTCAATTTACAAAACAGAGGAGAGAGGCTCTGAATCCTCTGATATCCACATGCACATATGTTTGTATAACAATGGTTAATCCAGTTGAAATCTGTAACCTTCTAGGTGTATCATGACCTTCATTATCTAACCAGAGTTGCATAATGCTTAGACTACTGGAATAAATTTAAAATATGTGAAGTGAGGCCGGGTGCAGTGGCTCACGCCTGTAATCCCAGCACTTTGGGTGGCCGAGGCGGGCAGATCATTTGAAGTCAGGAGTTCAAGACCAGCCTGGCCAACATGGTGAAACTCCATCTCTACTAAGAATACAAAAAAATGAGCCAGGTGTGGTGGCACACACCTGCAATTCCAGCTACTTGGGAGGCTGAGGCACGAGAATCACTTGAACCCAGGAGGTGGAGGTTGCAGTGAGTAGAGATCACGCCACTGCACTCCAGCCTGGGCGACAGAGTGAGACCCTATCTCAAAAAAAAAATAATAATAAAATATGTGAAGTGAAAATTACACTGAGGGCCCCTTTGTCCAGTCTCTCACCCTCTGTAGTAGTAAGACAGAATGGGCGAAGGGTGACTAAGCCTCAAGGCAACCCTGTCTATGTACCTGGAAAAGGAAAGAGCTCAAGTAGGAAAATAATGCACTATCTACACATCAAGCAGGATCCATATGACACAGGGCCCCGTGCTCCAGGATGATCGTAAGTTTGCACATCTACAGCCATCTGGGCCATACTCCAAGACCTCAGTGGGAGCACTGAATGGATGGGAAACCCCAAAATGGTTCTGCTCCCTGCCCAGATGACAATGATGTCATCAAAGAGAGTGATTCCCAGCAGCTGCTGTGGGAGGGAGGCCCTTTCCTGGGTGGGCCGCTCCTGCTGGAATGAAATTCTAGGTCTTCCAGGTGGACCAGTTAGGTTTTCTGCTCTTCTCCTTCCCAACGGTCTGGGCTCCTAGGTGGATGCTGTTAGGATCAGGTGGGTTAGGATATGAACTGCAAAGCAACGACATTCTAAATTAACTACTTAGTGACATAATCTATATTAATTGAACATTATTGATTCTTATTAAGAACAAATGAGCATCTTGGCAAGGAAATATTGATATGTCAATACTACCTTATTGCCAATAGATAAAGCTGACTGAGTTGGGTCACTGGGCACCACCTACAACTGTCCTTTGTTATGACAGTCAAGAGTGGAAAGTGGAGAACAGATGAATTTCAGGGAAGGCGCTGGATGTTCTTCCAAGCTGGACTACCTCTTGTTTGCAAAAGCGAAATCAGGAACACTCTCTGATGACCGGGTGTTCCGAGGGAAGGTCTTCTACCTGAATATTTGTGAGGAGGTGGAAGTCATCTCTTTAGTGTCTGCATCGACGTATGGTATCAGTGCACCAAGCTAGGGCAAGGGTGGGGATCTAGTTAGGGAGAAGGAGCACAGAGCACACAGAGGCACAGGAATGCTTCTTGTCCACAAGGAAGCTAGAGTCTGGTATTCCCCATGGATTCTCTTATTTCTCTGAATAAATCATCACTCTCTGTATTTAGAGCTTTACATATCTTCTGCTTGACCTTCATTAAACTTTCCCCACACCCAAGTTCACTGCTATCACAATATCAATGAATAAAGATTGCAATTCACCAGGCTGTGCCGTGGGTGGCAGAAATATACACCATCTAATTATACCATCAAACTCAATACACAAAGCAGTATCTGGTTAGATGTTCAGTGGGCAGTGAGGCTGGAAATTCAGAAAGGGAGACTTTATGGGGAGAAGAGACTCAGAGCCCCAAAACATAGAAACTTGGAGATTAAAGAGGAGAAGGGAGATTTTACTGGAATCTGAGAGCATTTCAGGGTGCAAAGTCATGGAGGTAGGAACACATACGCTTATTAGGGGGTAGAGATGAATTTTAATTAAGGAGAGTATCCCATGGGGAAGAGTCAATTAAGTGGAAACGGGATAGGGCCAGCTTCTGTTAGAGGATGTATAAAGCCAGCCTGGGGAGCTTGGCCTCGGTCCTGAAAGGGTGAAGGCTCCCTGCAGCTTTCTGAGCAGGGCTGAGGGATGATGACATCGATGTTTTCAGGTTAATCTAAGTCAAATGCCTTTGGGGCAACTGGCTCATGGCCAGGGAGCCCAGGTGGTCCTTGGAAGGAGGCAGTGCAATGCTCCCCATGGCTGAAGGTCATCATCCTTTTCATAAAAACTCCATGAAAGTAGGATGAGTATGAATAACACAGAAATTCACTGAATTCATTTACTCATTCACTAAATGAACATTTGTGAGTTTTGTTTTGTTTTTTGAGACAGAGTCTTGCTCTGTCACCCAGGCTGGAGTGCAGCGGCACAATCTCAGCTCACTGCAACCTCCACCTCCTGGGTTCAAGGGATTCTTCTGCTGCAGCCTCCTGAATAGCTTGGATTACAGGTGTGAACCAACGTGCCCAGCTAATTTTTGTATTTTTAGTAGAGACAGGGTTTCACCATGTTGGCCAGGCTGGTCTCCAACTCCTGACCTCAAGTGATCCACTCGCCTCTGCCTCCCAAAGTGCTGGGATTACAGGCATGAGCCACCGTGCCCGGCCCATTTGTAAGTTCTTACTCCAAGCAAGATTACATTCCAGCTGTAGCAGATCTAACAGCAAACAGGCCTCCATCCATCACAGCTCTGTGGGGAAACACAGAACAGAGAGGAGAGGAGGAACAGTTATTCTATCCGATGGAGCGAAAATGATATTTAGAGACAGAAACTGATCTGGTGGCACAAAGTAAGAGGGGCTAATACCAACAGGAGTACATGAGGTGTTTTCAGAGAGGGTCTTGAAAAGGGAGAAGGTGTTTGCCAAACCGAAAAAGGGAAAAGCCACATCCCTCACACAAGGCATGTAAGAACGAGGCACAGGTGGAAAGCAGGGCTGAGCACAGGGTCCTGCTGGAAGATGGCAGGGAGTGCAAGGACACACTGCTGTCCTCTAGAACTCTGAAGAAGAAGGACCTACCTGAGGTTCCTAGGAAATTTTCAAAGGAGTGGCATAACAGAATTTTTTGGAAATATCACCTAACACCAACGTGGACAATGAATTTGGGTGAATTTGGGTTAGTAGAGGCAGGGAAATCATCTCAACTGTAATTATTTGGCACCTGGATGGAGGTCATGTGGTCCCTCCTCAGGTGTCTAGTGCCATCTTCCTCCACATTTTGTGGTACTTCCCCATAGACTTCCTGGAGTCATCCCATCAGTGCCACAGAAGAGCATCCGTGAATGCAGCCTGATGCGGTTTACCCAACAGGCTGCCGGCCAATGGCAGTTTCCATTCTTACCCAACAGGCTGCCGGCCAATGGCAGTTTCCATTCTTACCCAACAGGCTGCCAGCCAACGGCAGTTTCCATTCTTACCCAACAGGCTGCCAGCCAATGGCAGTTTCCATTTTCCTCCAGGTGGGCTCCTGGAGCGGCCCTTGTAACCGTCCATTCCTAATGCAGGTTGGAAGTGTGGCTTTGCAAGTCATTTATATCACATGTGCTATAATTTGTTACTGCCATATTTCAAGGAGGAAGGATCGTCTTTTCGAGAAATGGTATTGGAATGACTAGATAGCCATATGCAGAAAAAATGAACTTCAACCCGTACTTCATACAATATACAATTATCTCAAAATGAACCACAGACCTAAATGTTAAAACTTCTAGAAAAAAAAGATAGAAGAGAACCTTGTGACCCTCTCTACTAGGCAGAGATTTCCTAGGCAGTCACCAAAAGCATAATCTATAAGAGAACCAACTGGCAAACTGGACGTCATCAAAATGAGGAATTTTATTTTCTAATGATACTGTTAAGAGAATGAAAGAAAAGAAGAGCTAGAGTGAGAGAAAATATTTGCCAACGATATATTTGTCAAAGGAATTGTATCCAGAATATATTTCTTGAAACTCTCAAAATTAAATGGTAACAAAATAAAACAAGACAAAATCCAATTATACAACTGACAATGGATTTGACCAGGTATTTTACCAAAGAAGACAGAGGAGAGACGAATAAGTCCACGAAAAACTTTTCAACAACATTTCTCACTAGGCAAGTGCGAACGAAACCACAATGAGATATTGCTATACGCCTATTGGAAGGGATAAAGAAGGAAGTCTGACAACGAAAGAATTCATCCTATATGGTTCCATTTATGTATCGTTCTAGGAAATGCACACAAACATTCCATGGCAGAAAGGGCATCTCTGGCTGCCTGGGAGGAGCGAGGTGAGGTGTCACAGAGGGCGTGGAGGAAACTCTCAGGAGAGACACACACATTCAGCATCTTGATTGAGGGGTGAGTTTCTGGATGTATACATACACCAAAGCTTATTAATGTGTGCACTTTAAAATATGTGCAATTTGTTGTATGCCATTAATATCTCAATAAAACTGTTCAAAAAGAGAAAAAAATATGCATCTGATTCATTACCAATTCATCTTGATTTTTATGATAATTCCCTTCTATTTCACCCCCTGGTTATATTTTCTTTCTGACATCTAGATTTTTGTGTCTCTTTGCCTTGCACCTGCAAACACCCATAAGCTGCCCTTACCATAGGAAGTGTGTTGCTTTTTCAAGCTATACCAACAGTGACGGCACCTGGAAATGGGACGGGTTTCACAGTGACAAACACTTAAGGAAAAATAAGAATTTTGTCAAAGTAAGGAATACCTTGGGGCTATAGGCAGTTTTTCTCTGAAGTTTAACAGCTTCTCTGACGAGTCACCCATTTTCCTAGACTTCATCAGAGCTAATTAAAATTGGGCACGATATGTTCCTTTAGGAAAAGAGTTGCTATTTTGCCTATATTACACCAATTGCACTTCAATTCAAAAAGGCCTGCTTCTGTTTTTCCCTTGAGACCAGCGCACACCCCTCTGTGGTGAGCGCATCCCAGGGTGTGCAAGGATGCTGGGATTCTCACAACCTGCTTAGCCGGGAGGAGTACATACTTTTGCTTTCTTCCTATTTCCATACTGGTGCTTGAACTTGATAATGCTACTAAAGTGAGGAATCTCTTTCCCCATCCTTCACAGGTGGTCTACCTGTCACCCAGGCTTCCAAACACAAGTAGACATCACATATGTGAGCCCACCATGAGAAGAGGAGCACTCTAAGCCCCCATGCCCCTGCCTCACATGCACTCCAAACATGCTGCCATTCTCTGCAGACCTCTCACCTGCAGGTGCTGCTCTGGCCCTGCGGTCCTGAGACTCAGCCTCCCAGTCTGCCCCTCCATTCAACCTGCTTATTCGTATCCCTGCAACCAAATTTCTCTCCTTATTAAAATGTAATCCATCATTCCAGGCTTCCATAAAAACTGTGCCCCTCTATTTACTCTTTGCCCAAATGGGGCTCTAACAGATATCCCACTCTTGCTTCCTCAAAAATATGAGTATAAGATCATCTGACAGATATCTAGAGAAGGGTGTGAAAATAGGAATCTATCTACTACACACGAGAATGCTGTTTTTTCCTATCACTTCCAAGATGTCTTGTACAGGTCTGCACGCACAGGTAATGCTCACTAACAGATCCCAAAGAAAATCTAAAAGTCTAATGTACTTTTTATTTATAGCAAAATCACTCTGATGTTTTCAATCTGGTGTTGACATTTGCATGTAAATAGCCATGAACCAGGACTGCTGGAACTGAGAGAGATAGTTTGTTGGCTCTTCCATGGCAATAGCAAGTGAAAAGGCCCAAGAACCTCAGGCTTTGCTTACCTAAGTCTACATGTATACAGGAAGCATTAACTCCACATGTTATTTACTGAGCCTTCTGAACAGCACATGCCTTAATTTCCATGTTTACTATTTCAAATGATGCATGAGCATCAGCTCACTAGCTCTGGACTTCCGTACAACAGGGACATGTTCCACCTGGCCTGGGGTCTTCTCTGGCCTCACTGACGGCCACCCTCATGCCAACTCCCCGCCACCTGCTTCAAACACCTGCTTTACTAGCTGGAGTAAAATAATTCCTGTTTGCACGAGATTCTATAAAATTCCGTATTTCTATTCCACAGACCACACTGTTTTCTTCACTTAGAATTCATTTGACCCATATGGGGATTTTTAAAATTCATTTATAAAAGCATCTAATTGAAATATCTCCTTCTTGTGGCCTTCCTCAAGCTTCTGCCTTCTGGGCAAAAGTAAGTGTTCTGTTTGGATATTTCAAGAGTACTTTATCCCTGTCTTAATCTGGCAATTCTCACACCTTACTATGGTTTCTTTCACGAATTCCCTATGCCTGGCTTTAAGTTCAGTGGAGGCCTTCTTATTAAGGCCTCTGCCCTAATTGCCTCTGCAGTGCTGGTGCAATACCTGGAACCAAGAGGCAGTGAAGGAACTGGAAGGTCTACCAGATTAACTAGTGACTAGGTGTTAGCTAATTGTAGTAGGGATCACATTTGTGGGATTTGGAGGATGGGAGAAGTTATTTGTAGGTGGCTTTATCAAGTAGAAAATATGTATTTTCATGAGGAATCAGTGATGCTATCAAGACGTTGTACAATTGGGAAAAAATGGAAATTCAATGGGAAAACGAAATTTAATGATAACTGCCTGCTCAGTCGGAGACCTTGTTTCATCTTAAAATCTTTGCCAAGACAAGGCATCTTGAACTAAAAGGTGCCTTTAAATCAGTCTTCACCTCACTTTCATCACTCGTGCAGCTAAAACAGGAAAATACTCAAGCATTAAGAGACAGAAATCCACCAGCACTTGTCCCCTGAAAGCCTTAGGTTAAATGTTTGTCTTGTGTGTGGTTTTTTTTCTCCTGCCTCTTTTTCTTAGTCGATAAATTATAGAGTGGAAACACTCTACTTTCTTAGTCAAAGAGCAATCTTAAATTCAAAGGAGAATAACAAACAATGCATATGTAATGTCTATGTACAGTGGCTAATAGCCAGAACTACCTGAAGTTCATGTCCCTAAAGAAGGCCAGGTAAGAACAGAAACAACATGGGAAAGAATCTTTTCCTGATTCCCTGATGCTTTCAGGGAATATAAATGTTAATATCAGTAATGAGGCAGCCTGGTTAGAAACAGACTCGACGCATTCCTAACTGATTCAGGGTTCACCCATAAATGCTAATGTAGGTATTTATTGAACATAAGCTAGCTTCATTCATTCATTCAATCAATCTTCTACCCATTCCTCATTCAATAGCTATGCACTGAGCACACACATCCTTGGCCTAGATGCTTCAGCTAAAGGGTAAATGCAGGCTGGTCTGCACAGAGGGAAAAGGGAAACCAACATTTTTTTCAGAAGTGACAGGCCTTGTGTGCGCACATTGCACTTATGATCTCATTTATTTCTCACAAAATTTTAACAGGTTAAGTAATCTTATCACTATTTTATAAATAAGGCAACAGAGACAGGGTGATTAAAGAACTACTCAAGATACCTTAATAAGTCTATCTGCCTACAAAAGAAGTGTTCTCTACATATTCAATGTCAATGATTAGCAGTCTTCTTTCCATTAAGATGCCCGTGACCATGTAATCGTTTATAAATCTTACAAGTATGTTTGTATTTCACATACACAAGCCCTGCCAGTCAGTGACTTGGCTCAGGCAACGTTTGCAGAAAATGGCATCAGCAGTCAGAGCATAGGATCTCAACCTCGCAAATTACTCCCCTAACAATAAGCTATCAACAGACCCCTGATTCACAAAGTTGTTCACTGACTTTCTCTGCAATCAATAGCAGTTGCTCTTTTATTATTGGCTATTAAGCAAATAATAGCCAATCTGAGAATTTATTTATATTTCATGAATTAACTTTTCCTTTTATAAAATAAAAAGAAAATAAATATTTTCTTTGAAAACAGCTGATAATGGAAATTTTCTAGGTTCCTACAAGAGCACATGGCAAAGCAAGCTTCTAAAATATTTTGTTGGCTAGGAGTAGTTATTTGAAGGGCCATCCTATGAAAAACCTATTCAATGCCCTTTTTGCTTTAAGAAGTAACAGCTCTTGCCAGAATACCAGGTGAATTCATGGGCTTTTCAGGCTTTTGGAAAAAAAATGGACTCTATTTATCCTAGTTCTCTCCTCCTAGCTCAGAAAGACCCATCCATCTGCGTAATCAATAGCAAGCTCCAAGAATCTGTTCTGGTTCACTAGGGGAAAGGGAAAAAAATCTTTAAAGAAAAACCAACACTGCAGCTGAGTTCCTGAACATATTTGCAGAAAAAAATTACATAATATGAATTAAATCATATACTTAAGTACCTTTTAACTGACAGACTTGCCTGCTTATTATTCCAAGATTGAGATATGATTTTTCAAAAATACATTGCAGCCCAGGAACCCATCACCTTTTGAGAAGGAAGAGCTACTAGATACTTCTCTCAAATCTTGACATTACTAGAGGGGCTGGTGGTGTTATATAAACGCTCTCTTTTCCTCCCCTGGGTATTCTAGCCAACCTCACCTGGAAGACTAGGGAAAGATGCAATGATCAAACTCACCTGGAGACCTCCCCGGGGCAGCATCAGGGTTTCCTGGCAGCGCCATTCCATCAGACAGCACCTGCTCTAGCCAATGTTAGTCATGCACCTAGTATATCAGTGAAAGCCCAAGTTATATTGATTTTGCAAATTCTGGAAAGAGGAGGCCTCTCTTGCCTTCAATTCTTTATCCCTCCATATCAATCAGATATGCATTGGAGCTTTACAATCATAAAATATTTATTAACTTCCAGCTTTTAATGTTCATGAATAAAGAGCCAAATTAATAATTTTTGACTGTTGGTTAAAAAGAAACTAAGAACGTTCTCTAAAAGGACGGTATTTAAGGCCAAAGAAGAAGCCATGGGTGGTGTTACTGGCCATCAAAATGACTCATTGTAAAATGTTGTTGGTTATTTGAATCATAAAGCTTTGAGAAATTAAATTGTTTGACTGCATCACATTTTGTTTCTTTGTTTTCCTCCCAGAGCTGAAAGCAGTTGATCTGGTTTGTGTGGAAAGATATACACTGAAACACAAGCCAGACCACAAAGAGAGATTCAAATACAAAGATAGCCTCGCTGGTCTCAACCCCAGAGACACGGCATGAGAGGGAAGGGAGAACTGGCTAATGAGAATCTACGCAATGACACCATTTACTCCATTAAGAGTCTAAGAGGTAGTATTTTTTCTTTTTCCAAATGTACCACTGCAACCCCATGACCTCTCCCACATCACACAGAGCTACTTCATAGAGACTGAGTTGGCGGAACAAACATCTTACTAAGTGGTGCACTCAGTCTCCCATGACAGTTATCAGCCACCTTGGACACCACTAACTGAACATCTACTATGTGCTAGTTATTTTAATAGCTGCTGTATAAACAGTATTAATATTAAATTTAATCTTCACCCCCAAACACTACGTAGGGGTATTACCAGCTTCATCTTAAATTGGAGGAAATCTGATTCAGGCAGGTTGAAATTTGCCTAAGCAAACATAGCTAGGTTGTGGAAAGATACAAATTCAAATTCTGATTTGTAGCACTGTTGATGCTTCTTCTACTAAACTATCCTGGTTGGTTGGTTGTGTGGTTAGTCCCTTGGGGAAAAAGGTATCACGATCTCATCTTACCTCCTCTTTGGATTAGCAATTTTAAAATAGCCTTCCCTACTTCCTAACAACCTGCAGAAAATGGTTTCAGGGAGACCCACAGAACGCAAGAAGGAGACCTATAGACAACTAGTCTTACCTGGTCAGAGCTGCAAAGAACACAAACACCCAGGCTATTGTTTCTCTCCCTGGTCGGAAGAAGTCTTGGATAAGGATAGGTTCTGACACAAATCTGGGACACGGAGGCTCAATAATTCTAATACACAAGCTGCCTCCAGATGCTTAAGGATAGAATAAGAGGTTCACAAGTAGTTAACAGTGGTTTTCACCTTTGTGTCATGACTGATGAAGTATCCTATTGTATTTTGTTCTTTTATCGAAATATGTAAATATAGGTTTGCATATTTAAGTACATAGAGGCTTGTTGCACATCAGTGTAAACACTTCGCAATACCAGAGTCTGTGTGTGTACAGGTGTGGGGTTGTGTGGGTTTATTAGATACCTTTGTGTTTCAAAGAAATATGTATGGAAAGCATAATGAAAAGCTCACTCGCAAAACTCAACTACCTTAACTGGGCAAATGACAGGGTTAGGGGTCCTCCTTCCAGTTTTGAATTCATTAGCCAAGTTTCTGAGACTAGAAAACTGCATAGCTAAGCAATATCAGACTTAGAGACCCCCACATTACACAGTTACTATTTGTCTCTCACCCCCACTAGATTGTAATTTGTCCCTCACCCCTACTAGATTGTAAATTAATTTAAGATAAGGACTATGTCTTATTAAGATAAGGACTGTGTCTTATTAATCTTTGTATACCTAAAATCTGATTAGACCTCGGTGTAGCCAAGACAAATATATTTGGGGGGGAAAGTATTTTTTTCACTTGTTTCATCCCCTTGAAAGTAGAGTTCACTGCTCTTAAGAATAAAAATATCCCATTTAATTCAGTGGTTCCCGAATGCCTTGTCCACACCAAGTACACTCACAGTCTCTAGCTTGGGAAGTCACTGTGGGGTGTTCATGGCCTTTGGATCTGCTGAGGTGCTGCCTTCCACTCCCGGTCTTTACGCGTGACCAGAAGAGTCAAGAGAACCACCGTGACCACAAGACGATCTGCATCGTGCTCTGACATTGAGAAAGAGCCATTAGCATCTTCAGGTACGGAATGTTGGAGCCAGAAGAGACCTTCAGACGGTTCTACTGTTCTCAACTTTAGATAGATGCCCATTAGAATGACCTGGTGAGCTTTATTGAGCATGTATTGATATCCCGGGCCTCATCCATTGTGTCTCTGACTTAATTAGAGTGGGTTAGAGTCTCGGCATCAGAAGTTTTTTTTTTAAAGCTTTCTAGGAGATAATAATGTACTACTGACATGCAGAATCATGCTGATTTCATCTACACCCTCTTCCCCAATTTTACAGGTGAGAAAAACTGAAGCTTAGGGAGGAGAAGTGACCACTTTGGGCAAAACCATAGGAAAGATAGGATTAAACCAGGATTTCTTACATCCTGTTCATTGCTCGGTTCTATCACACTGCCCTTCGTGATTGTGGCTACTCTTAAATATTCAAACTTGGGTTGTTTCATGTCATTGTAACTAACAGTAGAGAGTATATAGGAAAGCAAACCTATTTTTCTTGCTGTTGTAAATTTAAAGGAGCTCTTCCAGTGCACAGATTTCTGTGGGCTAACATTTGTGGAATTAAATGGCTTTATACAGTATCCAATAACCAGATTTACAGATTTTTCTAGTGAAATCAAATAGTCATTTGGCTCTCGTGCACATTCAGTCTAAACAGCAAAGCCACTTAAAACAGTGATTCCAATACTCTTCACTTTCCAGCCACAGCAAGTAGAATGGTCTTGGGTTTGTTTAAACAACTGTGCTCTTATTCCCACTTGCTACCAATAAAAATATATAAATAAATAGAGACTACCAAAACCATGAGAAGACTCTCACTGTTTTTTAAAGAGAACAAATTAGTGGTATAATAATGTTCCATTTCATACGAGTACCCAAAGTCCAGTTCTTGAAATTCTATGCTTACCATCTTCAAAGCCACCCTGGCTGCAGATCATTAGAGGTGCTTCCTTCAAAGTCAGCCTGAACACACACAGGCTTTTTCACCAGACTGAGTCATGGCACTGCCAGGAGCTCCCTCCAGCCCAGACTCCAAACGGGAACTGGCTCAGGAAGGAGGACAGCCTGGAGGAAGCCCAGTCAGCCTTCAGCTGTGGCTGTTTGAATGCAATGCCGCATAGCCACTCCTCCATTAAGAGGCTTTTAAATCCTTCCTCTGAAACTGTTTTCTAATCTACTTCTGATTTTTTAAAAAATTATTAATAATAGCCTGGAGTTACTAGCATCAAACTACCATTAAAAACAGAATGAATAATTCAGAATTGAGACAACCGAGTAATTATATCACCCATTTAAATTTCCTAAATAATTAAGGAATTCTTTGGAGTATTGAGTATTTGCTTCATCATCTGGACTGTGTTGGTGACAAGTGAAACCCTGGGTGTCTGCTCATATCCACCGGAGTCCTCCTCTGAGTACTCAGGCCATGCCTGTGTGCTACTAGCTTGGGACCCCAAGTCAGTTGCCTCTGTGCACTTGTGTGCATTGTGCGTCTGCAGGAACATCTCTCAGAGGATGCCAAGGGGCCCCTGGGGCCTCCCTTCCAAATACAACTGAGGGAGTGTCCATCTGAAACTTTGAGGTGTTGTATGCAATACATTTTCAGATCATTCGGAGATGTCAGTGGCTAAAATAAGGTTTCATCTGTGAAAGAGAAAATAAAAACTAGTCTTTTGTTCATCACCATATCTACAAGTGACTCTGATCCATCACAACTGATGTCATTAAGGAAGAGCTTTTTAGAGTCCAGAGCCAGACCCAAGTATGATTTCAACAAGACATTGTCAGAGTCCTCTAACATCTAGAAAATGTGACACTCAACACATTTAATCAGATGTTCCCAGTCCTATCTACACAGATATTTGGTGAAAATGATCTACTGTTTTCCATGCTGTTCGGATGAAATCTCAGAGCTGGGAGGAACCACTCACTTCACTGATGGGTAATACAGGGCACTAAGCAACTTGCACAAAACCAAGAGGCTAATCCCAAACCCAAATATGGCTGGTTTTCCCAATGCAGCCTAGAGTTGTGCATGCGTCATATGGTTCTTCTGCAGAGTTCCATCATTTCAATGTTTTTAATATCTTCTTGCTTACTCAGAAGAAATACCCGCTTATATACTATACACATGCTTTAATTTGGAAAGGCATTATTTTGGTTCTACCCAGTGAATGCAGAACCTTGCTTAAGAAGTAATTTCAAAATTACTAGCATACTCATATTATCTCATCTTTAAAAGCCTAAAAGAGTAGATATGGGGATTCCAGAAGTAATTGACAAAGAATATCTGTAACCCCAGGCTTTTCTCAAATGACTTAGAGCAACAGAGAGAAAGAAAAGCTGTCGATCTATTGTCAGAAATCTATTAGATGCGCTCACTGCTTGCTGTTTATTCATCTACTAAAGTGATTTCTAACGATCAGGATGACAATCCTAGCATTGAAAGAAAACCATAGAATCATAAAATGTTCAACCAAGATGGAAACCTACCCATCACGTTATTCCAGCCCTGCATTACAAGTGTGAGGGATCACTGAACATCGGCTTCAGGATCATCCATTCCTTTCTAGACCCTAAGCACTGATGGAACGGACTCTGATATTGATACCCAGCGTGGACATTTACCATCTCCCTGAATCCCAAGTAGAATAACTATTCAGGAAAGAATTCTTTACTTGTTGCACAGAGCCTAGCTTCTGACAACTGAAAAAAAAGCAATGAATTCCCAAGAGGTTTTACTATTCTGTGAATCCAGGCAAAAATTGAAATCCCAGAAGCTGTCTGCCATTAGGCTAGCTTGGTGCTGATCTTCTCATTACACAGGATTATGTTAATAGCCTACAATGCATACCATACATTTGAATGCTTTGTGATTACAATTGCCTTAGTACATTCTAATGCTTTAACAGTACAATGCAAAGACTGAGATTTTCTTTTGTCCTTCTAGTTAGATAGGGCTTCTGAGAGACTAGAGAGTCTGAAGGAAAACATATATACACATATTTTCAGAATTCTATCTATTAGCCATCACATTCAAGACTTAAATCGGCTCCCAGAGGCTAAGATCAGACTATGCTGGTTGATGCATGAGTGGTCATAAATATGGCTAACCATCGCACCGTGGCTCAGATGCTAAACTGCCTTTCCCAGAAAACTTTTGCTCTGAGTAAACACCCAACACAGAGCTGGCTGCTGATTGCTTCTGCTGCAGATCAGTTAAAATTAGATTCCCAACATTTAGTAAGGCATCAAACAGGCACGACTGAACCTCCCCGCAGAAATTTTGTAAGATAATGTGTGTATCTCTCAGCATATCTCAGACTGCAGGTCAGCTACTTTTTTTTTTTTTTCCAGAAATTAAACTTTTTCTTTTTGTTCAGTAAGTTGATTTGTATCCTTTTACTCACCCTCCAAAATTGCTTTAATCTGTTCACTCCGGGCACTTTGGAAGCATTCATACCTGCCGGTCGGAGGTCGGAGGTGTGTGCCCCTTGCAGCTGCTAGGACGTCTGTGGGACTCACACAGACCAGTGTCGGAAGCAACGTGATGCCCAGGGATTCTTGCAGCAGACACTCCCTGGCTTTTACGCTGCTTACCAACAACCACAGACTTCACCGTGCAGCACAGAGTAACCAATGGCTGAACACGACATTCTCGGCCTCTGGGAATCAGAGGGGAGTGGAGAGGACCCCCTGCCAGCGGATCCCCCTGACCTACTCAGCCTCCCAGGGGAAAAATGGGTGTTTTCCAAATGGTTCTACATTCTTTTTCTTACCTCATATGGGCTTTGCATCCTAGATTAAAGAGCATATCCTGCTCTGAGAAACACAGACACTAACCATTATCTCAACTCAAAATCATTGCCTGATGCTGAGGGTCCTCACTGTGCCTGGGCTGGTCCCTGCTTCTTGGTTGGTCCTGCCCGTCTGCCATGCCCAGGGGCAGGGCTTCCTATCCATGTTTGTGGATAAAGGCTAAATGCTGACCGCTAAGTTTGGCTACTCAGAAAAATAGAGATTTGGCCATTATCCACTTAATCTTATGCTAAGGGAATGGACAGGTATTTCAGAGTGGTTTAGGCAATTAAGAAATAAATCTACAGATGCCTCCGCAAATAGTGCAGGGCCCCTGTCAGAGAAATGCACGATGCAGAGGGAATGACCCACAGTTCTTTACACTCACTTTTGTGACAGTCCCGGTGCTGAGTGATTCATTGGACACATGGTTTTGGAGTCCTGGCTCTAGGGTATGAAAGTGTGAGCCAGGCAGGCACTGACTGCGCCTGTGGGGTTTCTATCCGGTGTTGTGGTGACCTAATTGTCCGTCGTTCTCTCCATGAGGCTGTGGGTTCCTTGAAGGCAGATCTTAGAACCTGATCAGTGCCCAGCAGGGTGTGGGAACCACGCAAGCCTTCAGTCATGGAGGAAGGAAAGGAGGAGGGGAGGAAGGAAGACGCCCTAGTGAATGCTGAGGCTCTCTGCGCAGCATTTTGCATGTCAATCACCACTCCGGAAGAACCACTCCCCGAGGTGATTCTGCCCTTACAGGAATTTGACAGGAGGGACTGGACATATTTAGAGTGTTTAGTTCACATGCAGACCTTTTAAAAAGATCAGGAGCCACAACTAAACAATTACTTCAACTCACCCAGGCACCTTCTGTTTTTCATTGTAATGAATTATAATAATATGCTGTCTTTAAAAGAAGTTCTGATTGTCACTTAGAAGCAGTGAATGAACACTGTTCTTTTGGGATTTTCTTGCTATAGGTTATTTTAGGGCAGTGAAAGTCATGCACTGAAAAGGTGGCTCAGAGGCAAGAGTCGAAACTTGAGAAAAAATCAGCTTCATGAAACCAAAGGGGGCAAGAAAGGAGGAAGAGAAAAGTGATGGAGGCCAAGAGCACTAGCCAGCTGGGGACTCAACAACAGCAAAATCTTAACACAGCTATGAAGAATCCTTATCCGGGAAGTGAATTCTGAAATGGGTGACATTAGCCCCTTAGACAGTCTCATCTCAATCATGAAGAGAAATCCCCCAAAAGAACACCAGCTCTGAATTACAGGAAGGCACTCCAGGGCACAGAGTGGGAAGAGAAGTGAGAAAGGAGGGCTCAGGAAAGGAGAATGAGAACCAAGAACCTATTTCTGGGAGAATATTCAAAGGCCAGGCTGTGAGGGCAAGGGAAAGCAGTGCCTCCTCGGGAATGCGCTGGTCTTCTCCATCCCACAGCAGGTGGTTTTGCATTTTTCTCTTGATGAGGAAGCAGGATGGAGTTGATGGTTAGGGCAATGCACTGGCTCACATATTAATAGCACACCGAGAGACACAGCACAAAGCCTCTTCCTAGTCATGAAGACGGAGGATACTTCACCTCCGGAAAGGCTGCTGGCTTTTCTGTCCAGTGAAAATCATCTCTTGACATCTGTGTGTGAGCAGTGCTGGCTGCCAAACATTTCCAGCCCACCTCCCCCGGGCACATGTTACATTATCCTTCCTGGTTGCTATGGCCAGAAGGAACTGGGTGACCTGTCAACAGGTTCTAGAAGGAAGCAGCATCCCTTTGGCATGAGCAGCTTGAACAGCCCCGACATAAAACCTTCCAGAGCTCTCTTTCCTCTGGCATGGCAACCAGCATGAGGAGGGGGACAGCAGAGCCCCCTGGTAGGTCAGCAATGGGCATGTGGCAAGACTGAGAAATAAACGCTTCTTCTTGGAGCCCTGGAGATCTTGGAGCTGTTACCTAGGCAATCCTGGTGGTTACAATTTGTAGAGTTATGGCCTTAATTTCTGTCCCCCTTAGCAATCCATAATTATTCCAAAATAAATTTACAGGTTTCAGTGTGCAATGGTATTTTGCAATTTCCTAAGTGAGAAGTTCAGCTTGTTCATCCTCCTAAACCCAAGCAGGATCACACATCCACAGCCCAGACTGCCAGCCATGGGGCTCAGTCCTCAAGACCATTAAGAGATGCATTTTCGGCCAGGCACGGTGGCACACACCTGTAATCTCAGCACTTTGGGATGCCAAAGCAGGCAGATCATGAGGTCAGGAGTTCGAGACCAGCCTGATCAACATGGTGAAACCAAACCCCGTCTCTACTAAAAATAAAAAAATTAGCTGGGTGTGGTGGCACATGCTTGTAATCCCAGCTACTCATGAGGCTGAGGCAGGAGAATCACTTGAACAGGGAGGCGGAGGTTTCAGTGAGCCAAGATTGCACCACTGAACCACTCCAGCCTGGGTGACAGAGACTTTGTCTCAAAAAAAAAAAAAAAAAAAGAGGGAGATGCATTTTCATGAGTGCACCACACCTCAAGTGTTTTTAAAATGGCAAAAGAAACAAATTAAACACACACAGAGAGATAAGGGGTCCAAATGAGTGTGTATAAACTAATATTATGCTGCCTTACATATTAAACATATAAAAATGGGCTATACACTTTCTGCCATTGGTAGAAATGAATAGTTTAGGGCTGTGAGCTCAGCTCCTCTCTGGCTGAATGAAGAGGACAGGAGTTTCAGGATCTTTATTTAAGGCCGTCATCAGTTGGCTCTCTCTACAGAGGCATTCACATTGGAGAGGGTCATGTCTTACATAAACCAGCAGAACACTAGGGAATTTCTGACACCAGAGCTGGCTCTTGCAAGGAAGTATGATGGGGCGGTTGGGGAGACTTTTAAGCACCTCTCCCATGATGCCTTGTCACCACTCTCTGGACAGTAGTGTTCCTCTCTTATCTGAAAGACAGTTTCTACGAGTGGAAAACCAAAATAAAGAAATGGTCATAATCTCAGGAGCTTAAAGCTTTACTGGAACTCAGAATCAGCAGTTTTCCAGGGGCATGCTCTTGTGTTTGGGCATTGAAATGCATCAGATCTGTGGGTAGCCTGTTGATCATGTCAATATGGAAACAAAGCAAGTTAATACTCTTAAAGCTCTTCAACTTTCCACTTAAGAGAAGTCGCAAGTTAAGCAACACAGATAGCTACAGGAGTCAGTACTGCTGACAAAATTATTCCAAGCCAGGGGATTGAACTGGCAGGGTTTCTAGTATTTCCTCTTTAAAGAGTCTTGTAAGTAAGACCTATAGGCTAAAGACCAAGAAAAGCTGATTAATATTTAATTGATGGCTGATAAAAATAATGTGAACTTGAATTAATGTGATTTTGAAAAGGTAGGCATGATGGATTTGTAACCCTGGAAACAAACTGTGGAGAAAACTTGCATCACAAGAAACTGTTAATCACTGAAAATATGGGTAAGAACATGGAGGTTTCTGATACTTCTTCCTAGCAAGAATTTTTTTAAAAAAAGATTGTCATTCCTAGAATATCTTTTCCCAAGTCATTTGAAGTTTCATCGCCCACATTAGTAAAAAAACGGGATATTCATGGATCTAAGTGTTTAAGGGAAGGCTTTTGAAATCTTAAAAATAATAATATAAACTCGAATATATATATATATTCTCTCTAAATATATACGTAAACATATATATACTCTCTATATATTTATATATATTTATTTATATATCTATATCTATTTATATAACATTATATAAATATATATCTATATATAATATATAAATGTGTATATATATTATATATTATATATAGATATATATATTTATACATATATATATATTTATATATATATTTTGAGAGAGAGAATCTATCTATCTATCTATCTGTCTCCCGGGTTGTTGCCCAGGCTGGAGTGCAGTGGTGCAATCTCAGCTCACTGCAGCCTCCACCTCCCGGGTTCATGCGATTCTTATGCCTCAGCCTCCCGAGTAGCTGAGATTATAGGTGCGCACTACCATGCCTGGCTAATTTTTGTGTTTTTAGTAGAGACGAGGTTTCACCATGTTTGCCAGGCTGGTCTTGAACTCCTGGCTTCAGGTGATCCACTTGCCTCAGCTTCTCAAAGTGCTTAGATCACAGGCATGAGCCACCACAAATATTTTGTTAATTAGCCACATTTTAAATATATCCTGTACTTCATTCTGTTTCTATACAAAAAGACCTTTCAACATTTTTAAACCGAAATCCTCTTATGAGAGTCTCAATTTTTAAAAGAGGTTGTTGGTAAACCAAGAATTGTCGGTCATTTTTAGCTTAAATTGCATTAAAATTAATAATGTGTTGATTTTTTTTAAATAAATGGAGGCATCTGTCTTCACTGAATGTTGGGCTTACTACAATGGTGGAAAGTGTATATGCTCAATGTCATTTACAAAGTAGAACGCTACAGAATGGGGCAGTGCACTGAAAATTAACAACTTCACATGTTGTGTTTATACTTTACAAAGATGAAAGTGACACAAAATCAGGCCAGCTTCTCATAGCAAGTTGGTGACTCCTAGGATGACCAAGGCCATAAGCCTGAAGCAAACCTAAGGTTTTGATGTAGGGGAAAAGGAAGCAACAGCCATTATTGGTATCAGCTTGGTGGTCCAGACATGGGGAGCTCATGCCAGACACTTGTTTCTCAGGGACAACATTCATGAAATCACAATCACTGCTTTGTATGAGGGCTGAATTTTAGGGTATCAAGAATTTATCCCTAGAATATCAATATTCAGCCCAAAGTCTTCTAATGTAAAAGAAATTCTAAGACCCATACTTTCTAATTTGATGCCAATGGCCCGTTAAATACCCTTCAGTCTCCATTCACTCAACCCTTAAAGCACTGCACTTCCTTCTTGGACTCTCATTTTGTCCTTTGTTCTGCATGTAGCCTACAAATTCAGGTGTGCAAGAAATATCACATTTCCTAATTTTCTTTAGAGCAACTAGAATTTGAATGCAATGCTGAGTTCTAATAGGCTGGCAGCACACTCAGTCTTCCTCCTCTCTGGGGTCATCTCCTCCAGGCCTGGTCTGCAGTCCTGTGAGTTTATGCAGAGCCACAGCCCAGGGAAAGGGGAATTCTGATGATGAGTCACCAGTGGCAGGAACTTCTTCAGCCTGCATTGCTCCTTAAGGTGTGTCAGCCCTGTTGCTTCTGGGCCATCCTGGGACTCATAACCCTTTGGAGGGGCTGGGGGCCAGGAATCTGGGACCTCCCCCAGTGAGAGCCTCACTCAACATTCCCCTTGGGACCCTGCCACTTCCCTTGGGTTCTATCTTGAAGCAGCACCCAGATCTTTGCTAGTGGTGGACATGCCAACTTCTCCTCTCTCCCCCATCTGAGGCTGTTCCTCCTCCTGCTGCCTCTAGTCTAAAGGCTCTTCAACTTCTCCCTCCTAATCTGAATCCTTCCATGTAAACTGCAAAAGGCTGTTGCAGAATGAGGCAGGATCATCTCTGAGCAGGGATGTTTTCAA
Source organism: Homo sapiens (assembly GCF_000001405.40). Classification (NCBI taxonomy): domain Eukaryota; kingdom Metazoa; phylum Chordata; class Mammalia; order Primates; family Hominidae; genus Homo; species Homo sapiens. The sequence goes on along the minus strand of NC_000007.14, from coordinate 154,178,702 downwards.
ATGATAAAATCCTATATAAACGTGATCTGTGTATTTCAGCATAAAGCCATAGTCAGTGACTTCCTTCCAACAGACAGATGTCTATGTCTGAGGCTCTGTGTTCAATGGAACGTGTTTTTACTGCTCTCGCCTATGTTGCAGAGCACTCAAAGAGGGATCCTAAACTAGAATTGTTTTTTTTTTTTCAGGATTTTTTTTTCCAAGAATCCCCAACTTAATAAAACTGTGAAACAATTGCTGGGGATGGGTAGAGAAAACCCATTTATTGTACTTTTCTGCCTTCTTGTGGTTTTTGGCTTTGTGGTTAGGGGCTGAAGATAGAAGGAAAAAAAAAAAAAGATGGTCAGCATGAAAGCACTTTAAAAGAGGTGTGGGGCCTGGAGGCCTTGGTTATTTCAGAGTTTGTTCAACAGTGACTTCTTTGCTTCCTGAGCAAATGGTGGATGCTAAATTTTCTATAGTAATTGGAGGATGTTGTTGGTATAAAGGTTTAATCTTCAAATTAGCAGTGACCTTTTGTTCTTCAAAGCTCATTGAACAGAAATGAGTAACTTCCACCTTCTGTAAGGATGAAGTGTCATGACAACTTACAACCGACTCCCCTGATCTGGACCCAGCTTTGGGTCACCCCAAGTGCTTTCTGAAGTATCCTGGTTGGTGAAAGGAGTGAAACCACTCAGTGACCAGTGGGTTGGCTTCATGGGAAAAGCCCTGAATCTCAGGGACTCAGGGCCACAATGTTCCTGCCTCACCCAATGCTGACTATTAGGGAGTGCTCACCTTACCTCTCTGGGCCTCATGTTTCTCCCCTGTCCATGACAAAGACAACAACATCGCCTATGGGTTATACGAAGCGTTTAATTTCACATCCACCATGAGCCTTCTGCCAATGCTGTGCATTAGTGCGCTATCAAAGTACCGTATTACTCCTAGTACTGGAGTACCATTCTTATTACCATCATTGCCTGACATCACAAAGAAACCTGGGTAAGGAGAGGACTCATTCCTTCAAGACCAGTCCAAATTTTCATATCACAGATGATTATTTTAAAAAGTGCGTAAAGGAACAAAATACTCTTCTGGGGGACATCGTTAGCATCACATATTCCAATGAGCCCAAACTATGCTGACTTGAGCACAAGTCTCAGGTCAGGGCCTCAGGCCCTTCTGCAAATAGCCAGCAGTTTGGTGACCAACAGTGGTCACTCCTCTTTGGCTTTCCTCAGCATACCTTTATCCTTTCTGTTGATTTATTATGACTCCCATATTTTAAAATCAGAGATGCAGTTTGGCTTTTATTATTTCCTTCAAGTCTTAACACTTACAGTCATATGTCTCTTTAGTTTTCATCACTTATACTTCTTTTTTTTACCATATCTCATTGGTAAAGCTAATTTTGAAGGGGCTTCTTTATCTATGCGGTAATATTGTTCCACATCAACCAAAAACCTTGTATTGAAGCCATCCATTTCTATGCATCCGTAGCCAGCACCTGCCTATATTTCTTGTGTATATCTGTGCGGGAGATGCAAAGACAACTTTACTCCCCAGCGAATAGAAAATTATTTTGGCTGGGTGCAGTGACTCATGCCTGTAAACCCAGCACTTTGGAAGGGAGAGTTGGGAGAATCGCTTGAGCCCAGGAGTTCAAGACCAGCCTGGGCAACATGACGAGACTCCATCTCTACAAAAAATACAAAAGTTAGCCAGGTGTGGTGGTGTGTGCCTGTAATCCTAGCTACTTGGGAGGCTGAGGTGGGAAGATGGCTTGAGCCCAGAAGATGAAGACTGCAGTGAGCCAGGATCACACTGTAACCTGGGCGACAGACTGAGGCCCTGTCTCAAAAAATAAAAAAAGAAAAAGAAAAAAAAATGATTTCCACTGACATACTCACAGGTCCCCGAATGGAAGGAAGTGTGTCCCTGAAAGCCCCAGGCACGCGCTGCCTGCTCGACTCTTCCGAGGGTCGCCATAAGGCAAGGCAGGCCACGCAGGTGGTCAGGGCAGGGTTGATCAGAGACCCAGCGCATTGGAGAGTCCAGGACAAAGGCTTGAGATTTGCAAGATCAGACAAGAGCAGTGCTTCTGAAATATTCCTGCTCATTTTACATGGTGACTCTGGACACACACATACGCAGACACATATAGTGAAAACACACACATTGAAACAAAAGTTTCACCAAACACACTTGTCCTTACCATGTTGCAAGACATTCTGATAACATTACCTTTTCTTTCCTATGCACTTCTAATTTTTTTAAACGATGGTCTGGCTACACTGATTTCATGATTCAATGGGTCTCAACCAGCTGTTTAAAAAACACTGGAGCACAGCAGTGGGTTTCAAATGTTTGTATGTACTGCCTGGGCGCTCACCAAACATATACATACATCCCCTTCCCATATCCACAAAGATACTGATTCAGGAAATATGCAGTGGTCCACAGGATACTGCACTTCTGAATTATTTTCCTGAGAATGCAACCGATTTCCAGATAGTCCTCTGCAAGGAGCAGGGACTCAGAATCCACACTTTTACTCAATTCACTTGCTTAGGGCACATTTCTAAGAAGAAATCTTGTCCCATATTTCTGAAAGGCCAACTAATTTCCTCCTATTCCATGAACACAAAATATGTATCCACTTCAGCTGGGGACCCTGCACATAGACAGTTTTGGTCATAAAGCATTTGAAGCAAAAAAAAGCCAGCCTCTGGCTGGGCATGGTGGCTCATGCCTGTAATCCCAGAACTTTGGGAGGCCGAGGTGGGTGGGTCACTTGAGGTCAGGAGTTTGAGACCAGCCTGGCCAAGATGACGAAACTCCGTCTCTACTAAAAATACAAAAGTTAGACAGGTGTGGTGATGGACACCTGTAATCCCAGCTACCCTGGAGGCTGAGGTTGTAGTGAGCCGAGATCGTGCCACTGCACTCCAGCCTGGGCGACAGACCGAGACTCCGCCTCAAAAAAAAAAAAAAAAGCCAGTCTCCAGTAAGAATAAATAGCCTTGCTTCTAAGCTCTTATCTGCCAGTGAATGGTAGGTGTAGGAGTGCTCTGTTGCGGCCAAAACAAATTGCTGCAAGCTGAGCATCTTAAGGCAACACCCACTATAGTTCTATAGGTCCCAGGTCCAGCATAGAGTGGCTGTATTTTCTGTCCAGGGCCTGGGAGTGGGGCGGTGCAGATCAAAGTTTCAGCAGTGCTGCACTTCTTCCTGGAGGCTCTGGGGGTGGGGTGGGGGGAAAACCTGCTTCCGAGCTCATGCTGGTGCCAGGGTCCAGCCCCTTCTCAGGCCTTCTCCTCCCTTAAGCCACCAGTTGCACACTGAGTCCTTCCCTTGCTTTGACCTCGTCTGTTGCTTTGAAGGGCTCATATCATGACACTGGTCCCACCTAGAGAATCCAAGACGATTTCCAACCTTAATTCCATCTGCAAAGTCTCTTTTGCCAGGTACTGTAATATACCCATTGGTGTGACACCAGGTGACAGAGATCATAGGAGCCAAAATTCTGCCAACAACACTGGGTTCGTGACAACGTCTTTTATGTGATGGGCAGTATTAAGTATAAAGAATAATTCAAGCATAAGACATGCTAGTTGGGAAATGACTCCATAGAATATAATATTAAAAATAAATAAAAATACAAAAATTAGACAGGGGTGGGGGGCGCGTGTTGCAGGGGCCTGCAATCCCAGCTACTCGGGAGGCTGAGGCAGAATTGCTTGAACCTGGGAGGCGGAGGTTGCAGTGATCCGAGATCATGCCACTGTACTCCAGCCTGGGTGACAGAGTGAGACTCCATCTCAAAACAAAAAAAAAAAGAAAGAAAGAAAGAAATTGGGCTGTGAAGAAATTATGATGAGATAACAAAGAGGGTAAGAGAAGAGAGGAGAGAGGCAGGGGAAGAGGGGACAAGGAAGACAGAACTGGAGAAGCAGGAAATGAGCAACTTGCTTGCATTACAGGGACTCGATGTCTCCTGAAAAATATACAAAAATAAATTGTTTAACCTTGGAGATATCGATTTGTCTGCAAAGAGCCAGGCTTCCAGTAATGAAGAAATGGTGATAAAAAGAAAATTCTAAACAAAACAAAACCTTTCCAGGCAGGTCTGTGAGCATGGGCAGGCTGACTCTTAGACACCAATAGGCCTTGGCTTTCTAGTTCCATCATTTGTGATGAGTGACGGCTTTGTGTATGTATCAATTCCAAGGATTTATTTCTAACAGAGGTATTTCCAGCATAAAAATGTGCCGTGCACTGGAGATCTGGTTTCCAGCTGTGTGGATCTACTTCACACTACTGAACTGAACATTTGAAAACAGTTAACATGGTAAATTCTATGCTATGCATTTTTTAACCAAGATAAAAATAAAATGTGCCATGCACTGTAATGAATCCGTGTATCTACTTCTCCCCAACCACGTAAGGTTGTTCTTTTTATTATTTCAGTTTTCCAATGGGTAAACAGAACTGCAAGAAAGTAAGAAATTTGTCCAAAGTCATGCAGCTAGTGCGTGGTGGAGCTGGCATTAATCAAAGTGGTGTGACTCAGGTCCCCCGGTCATAACCAACTCACTCCGTTCTCACCCAAAGGAAACTGTAAATAGAAAAGGAAAATAAATCTGTATGTTTAAAATACCCTATAGCCAAAGGATGGTAGAGAGGCACGTGGGGGAAACTGGTCCCCTTAAGCAAGACACCCATGTCTCAAAGAAGGCAAAGGGCAGAATGTCCTCCTGTGGAAGGAACTGCACAGGTGCCCAGGAACTAGCTGCATGGAGCAACTGTCACAGCTAAGGTGGGTGTCAGGGTCCCGCCCGTCAGAGGCAGCCCAGCCACAGTCAAAGGCCCCGGATGTCCCACTGGTTTGGGGAAGTCATGGTGATTCTCAGGATGTCAGACCCACTCTCCCTGAGTGGTCGTTCCTTGGTGAGCCTGCAGAAAGGGTGAGTCTGCGTTGGCCATAATAGGAATCCCGTGTCTGTCCCCTTCAATAACACAGATGTGGCAGCTGACGTCCAGAGGAGTCCCTCAGATGCACAGAGTTGCACAGCTGGTCAGCAGCAAAGAGCAAGAAGGGATGGGGAACGGAGACAGGGAGAGCAGGGAGCAGCGGGAGGTGGAAGCACACAGAGAAGGGGGAGGAAACAGAGAGAGAAGGCAGAGAGAGAGGAGTCCAGGCAGTGGAGAGAGATGAGCAGGAGAGCACGGCCTTGTTAGGGTGAAAGGGAAAACAGAAATAAAAATCCGGGGCTGCCTTTTACTTCCAGGATCTGCTCGACTTGTCCAGCTGCCCCTGAGGGAGGAGCCAGGGCTTACACGAAACTGTTTCCTTTACGTCACTTCTTCAAAATTCACTAAGAATAAAAACCCTGTCCATAGATTCCATTTAGAATGTTCTCCACCCATTCTTCTAAATCTCCATCCCTAAAACAAATTGTGATGAGTCTCATTCGTCCCACGCTGGCACAGTCAGAAACCATTTTTGTTATACAAATACTGGTAATGTTATTGTTATTGGGATAAATTAACCAAGACTTCAATTAGGCCAAGAAACAACTGCTATTTGCCAAAATTCCTCTGAAAGATATTAGTGAGGGTTTGAGATTCATTCTAACATAACCCACCAGGAAAGCGATTCACTCCTAACATTGTTTTAAATGCAAAAGCAGCCTACTCTTTCCTACCATTCCCTTCATGTTACAGATTTTTAACAAAATACATTTCCTGAGGAAGACACACATATAATGTTTTCTGTTAAAGCTTCCAACCACTGTGGTCTCAAGACTGGGAGAGGGCCAGGCGCAGTGGCTCATACTTGTAATCCCAGCAATTTGGGAGGCTGAGGCAGTTGGATGGCTTGAACTCACAAGTTCAAGACCAGCCTGGCCAACATGGCAAAACCCCCTTTCTACAAAAAAATACAAAATTTAGCCAAGCGTATGGTGGGCACCTGTAGTCCCAGCTACTCGGGAGGCTGAAGTGGGAGGATCACTTGCCCCCAGGAGGCGGAGGTTGCAGTGAGCTGTGATGGCACCACTGCAGTCCATCCTGGGTCACAGCAAGACCCTGTCTCAAAAAAAAAAAAAAAGAAAAAAAAAGACTTTAGAAGAGACAATTGCATTTGCCTCTGCTAATTTCCCAAGCTGTGGTCCAAGACTCAGAAATGCACTTTATCCAGGGCAAGCAGACCAAGATTGAAAGTTTTGGTTCATGTTTCAACAAGCAGATCTATGCAGCTAATGACAACATGCAGAGATTCTAACAGTGGGGATTCTCTCTTGCTGGAATGTTTTCCTGCCTTTCTTCACACAGGAGGCGGGGCAGGCTGCTCAAGTCACATTTGCCTCCTGAGTCTCATCTTAAATAATTATCAGGGCTCTTATCGCTCCTTGATATTTTCTTGTTAATGTATTTGTTTATTCACCCTTTCCTTCTCGTCAACATAAAAACTCAGAGCAGGAACCTTGTTTCATTTCTAGAATACTCCACAGCCCCTGGCACATAGTTGATGTTCATTAAACACCTGTGGCAGGCAGGCAGGCAGGGAAGAAGGAAGGAAGGGAGGGAGGGGCACAGAATCTATACAAGTATTGCAATGAGGCTCAGTGAAAGGGAGGCACATCCTTTTCAACAGCAGACAGAAGTCAAAGGGGCTTGACCATGGGCTGTCCTTGTGTCAGATCACCTCTCTGCATCCCAGTGTGTACATCTGTAACAGGAGAGTAATACTGTTTCATAACGTTAGTCAGGAAAACAAACAAAACTACCAGTGGAAAATACACTAAGACAGAAATTACCATCTTGGAGACTCTGCAATCAGGAATGATATTCGGTTTCAATCATAATTATACATATGGAATGGTGGTTATATATATCATATAAGAATGGTGGGATTGTTCAGTTGTCACAGGTTTTGTGAGGACCCTTGGACTCTTCTGCAAACTAGAGAGCTCAACAGTGTTGCTGGAGAATGCACCAGCACCCTGTCCACGTGGCCCTGGGCTGCAGCACAGCTCTCAGAGGAGGGCAGGTGTTGTTCTGCTTGTGAATCCTGGCCTCTAAGGCCTGGGCTGCAGGTGGGAGATGGTAATGGCTGCCAGCAGGGCCTGATTTGCATGTGAGCCCTTGAAGTGGATTTGTAGACAAGTTCTTGAAACTCAAGCTTAATTAGCCCCCTACCCACCCAGCAGGGACTCATGAAGGAGGCAGTGCTGAGAGGTGCTGAGAACAGAGCAGATTTGCTCAGGGCTTTTTGAGACAGTGACTGTTAACATCCTCCTCTGTCCTCTCAGCTCAGGGAGCAAAAGGGCTATGCAGTTGTCGAGACGTGTATTAAATGACCCCCATGTACCAGGCACAGAACAGACAATCCCTGCTCCCAGAGTTCCCAAGCCTAGGAGATCATGCAAACCACTCCTAGCGTTGTTGAAGCGTATATTTGGCAGTGGCCTTGGAGCACACTGGATGTTTATAGCCATAAAAGATCATCTGTCCCAATCCTTTACCTGATAGAGCAGAAATGGAAGCCCAAAGAAGTTAGGCAGCTAGCCCAAGATCACCAAATCCAAGGTCTCACAACAATATTTTGGGTGGAAGCTTACCTACAAACTCAGAGAATAATGGTTTTTGCTTTAGGTCAAAACAAGCTGACTGGGTTTTCTAAGCATGCACCAGCGAGCAGCAGGAAGAGAAGGCAGTGTGAGGTGCCCAGGGCAGCACCGCAATCCCAAAGGTGGCTCCTCCCTTCATTCCAGCCTAACTCACCCACCGAGGGAGTGCTAAGAAGTGAGTCCAGTCACACTGGGAAGACCCATCTCCTACCGTGAATGTGGCTCTAGGCAATGCAAATCCAGGCTTTGGGAAAAAAATATCAACCTTATGGAGGATGAACTAGTCCACAGAGGCTAGTCTAGAAGAAAAAAATGTAGTATGTTCCCTGTCTGTGGATATCTCACTTGTAAACGCAAGCTTCTCCTCCTTCCCTTCCCATACCAGGGGCACAGTCCTTGCGTCCTGTTTCATTGTGGAAATGGTGAGGTTTCAGAAAGGCCAGGGCAAGCCGTTGGCAGCCAGGTTCTATCAAAACCCCAGGCAGATTCGGAGGATAATAAATTGTAATAAATAAGGAACCTCTATTCAGGCCTGACATCAAAGGGCACGTCTGCCCCTGTAATGAGCAGGAGGCTGAGCCCCAGCCCAGGGTTGGGCGAGGTCGTGACCACTGTCTTCAGGACGGAGAACAAAACAGACCTGATAGGGGAGCTGATTTTGAGAAGCAAGTCACAGTGTCAATCATCATGTCCAAGGTGCAGGTGGAGAGGGAAGTTAGGACTGGAAACTTAGGAAAGTTAGGAAGGATAAGGGATATTAGACTAGGCCAGAGAGGAGTTTCAGGAGGTAGGGCCTGGAAAGACCTCCTCGGGCAATGGTCTATAAGGAGAGGGCCTTTTTAGGATGGGCTAACAGCCCTGGATGGAGCTGGGCAGGCTGCTGGGTCAGCTGCGGCAAGGGTGGCTTTGATCAGAGCCTGTTGACTGTGGCCCCACTAAGCAAATCAGTGCAACCTACAAAATGCAGGCGAGGTAGGTGCCAGAATTCAGGGCCTGGGCATCCTTAGAAGGAGAGCTCATGGTGTGATATCTCCCACTGTAACTCTGATAAGAATTTTGGGGCCAAGCGCAGTGGCTCATGCCTGTAATCCCAGCACTTTGGGAGGCCGAGGTGGGTGGATCACCTGAGGTCACGAGTTCAAGACCAGCCTGGCCAACATGGTGAAACCCTATCTCTACTAAAAAATTAGCCAGGCATGATAGCGCGTGCCTATAGTCTCAGCTACTTGGGAGGCTGAGGCAGGAAAATCACTTGAACCCGGGAGGCAGAGGTTGGGGTGAGCCAAGATCTCGCCACTGTACTCCAGCCTGGGTGACAGAGTGAGACTCCATCTCAAATAATAATAATAATTTTGGCTCTTTTACTTATTAGCTATTACAGGACCTTGGACAAGATACATAGCTCCTTATAATAACAGTAAAAGTAATGGTAAAAATAACATTAGCTTACATTAATGAAGCATCTACCTTGTATTAGATACTCCTCTAATGCATTAATTCATTTAACACACCCAATTATCACAGGAGTTAGATATGATTGTCCTCAGTTTAAAATGAAGGAAATCAAGACACAGAGAAAATGCCCTCTCTAAAGTCCCATAGCTGGTATGTATCGGTGCTGCAACTTAAGCCCAGGTGCTGTGAATCAGGCTTAGCGATGCCTGCTGCCATCTCATGTGGAAGTGGAGCCAACTGCTTGCCTGATTCATACTAGCTCCCTCTGTGCTCCATTTTGGTGATGGACCCCACCCCGCCCACCACCATATGGCACCCAGTAACTTAGGACCCTTAGGACTGTATCCTCCAGCTTCAGGGATTGCTTCAAGGATGGGCATAAGACTCTACCAGGCCAACCGGGTTCTTGCCTGAGACTCTTCAAACTGAAGCTGGAAGAGAGGAAGCTTCTCTCCTTTTTACTCAGAGACCCAGGAAATGACTCAGAATAGCAACTGATTGTCTCCTCTCATTCCCTAAGTGGAGAAGCCAGCAGCGCAATCAGAAGGGGTATGGGTAGGGTCTCAGCTGCACCTGAGCCCCCATCCCGCTGTCCCTAAGGCCAGCCTTGCTCTTGCCACTCCACAGCTTTGCTTTGTTTTTTGTTTTTTTGTCTAAGGTTAGTTCAAGTCGAGTCTTACCATTTGCTGCACAGATATGCCTGATCAACTTGCCTTTCTAAACATTAATTCTCTTATCTAAAAATGGAGACGATAATACATATTTCATTGAGCAGTGTTGAGATTTTAATAGAAATGCTTGTAAAGTTCTTAGCATGCATCCTAGCTCAACGAATCTTGACTATTGTGAATGTCATTATCATTTGAGCAAATGCATTTCCCATCCCTTTGACAAGTCGCTCTAAATCCCTGTCACCTCACCAGTTCTGATGTCGGTGGAACAGGGGTCAAGTTGAATTCCATGATGAAGAGACTGTTGACTTTAAAGACCTCAAAGAGGCCCATATGGAGCCACTTACTTGGAAGATTCATGCCTCACTCTCAGCCCTGAGATCTGCTGTGTGCTGGTAACATATCAGCCTTGGTTATCATCACCGCCTTAGCCAATGTTTTGAAAGATCACAATGTGACTGCCCTTCCACAGAGGAAAGGAGGTGACCTACAATCAGAGCTGTGGCTCAGAACTACAAATAGTGTATTTTCCTTGCCTTCTTTCCATTCACATTTTCCATGCAGGGTAGGCCAGTAGGCCCTAGCAGGGTGATCAATGCGTTTATGTGTCTGTCTGTCTCTGTGGCCCTGGATCTGCGCGGCCAGCTTGGATGAAACAGCTCATTTACTTTATTGATCCCGTGCATCTTTCTAGAGTAGAAATAATAAGGCAAGGTCTTCTAGGCTGTTTTCCCTCTCGTCTGTCTGGGCTTCTAAGGTGTCATGGTCTTCAGACATGGATCTGCTTTTCTGTTGACTCCACAACCTCTGGAGAGAGAGTGGAAGTCTTAATTGCAGTGGCTCTATTTCTTAGAGGCTGGTTTCCCCGGTGTTATCTTCAGCCACCCATCTGTCCTCAGTGTCTGCCTCTGCCTCAATTGAATCTAACAGAAACAGATCTGCTCACTGACAAAACCTCCAAATGAGATTGGATGGCGTCCCAGAAAGCAGCATCAGGAGTAAAGTTGCCTGACAGGTGCGAGACAGGCCAGTCTGTCCTGGATAAGACACAAGCAGCATTCGCCCTGCATACACTCTGAGCCTGCAGGCCTGGGAGCCTGACATTTTGTAGGGATTAAAGGAAATCATTTATGCTGAGCAGTTTGTAGGGTTTAGCAAAATTATAAAGTCAGTGAATTAACTAAAAAATTAAAATGAACAAAGTCACTAAATTAATGGAAAAGGCTAGATTCTTCTTGCCAGCCCCCACACAGCTAATGTTATAAAACGTGAATGTCGGGCTCAAAATGCCCCCCTGAAAACAGCTACCTAACCCCCTGCAGGTCACAGTCCCCAGAAGGGTCTGCAGATACTGGGAAGCAGTGGATCCCAACCAAGTAAGAGAGCTGTAAAATGCGTACGCAAAGAGTTTAGCGCCTCAAATCTCAAGATCTGGCTTAAAAGATGAAAGCTGATCTAAATGATCATTTGCCTCAGGCAAACTGCATTACCTCAGCAAATAAGCTCACTTAAAAAATAGAAACTTAACATATTCTGAACATGGCTTTGCTCACAACTCACCCAGCACCTATAGCTCTGTATTTCTGCAGAAGGTTGGCACTAATCTGAGTGGCTTCCTAGAAAATACCACTTGCTAAGCTACTGGCTAAGCTCTGAAGCCTAGAATGATTTCTGTTAGGGTGCTTAACTTCTATTTGCCTACCCACCCTCTCCTCAATGCAGCACACACCACGCCTGGTCCCTCTGAGCCACCATACGGTTTCCATTTGTCAATCATCTGACAGGTCAGCAGCCTGAGACCAAGATAAAATGTGGCAACAGGGAAAGACGAATGGTCTGTTCGCTGGTGTTTTCTTGAAGATTGTTTTCATATTGTAGACAGTTGTGGGGGTGCATGGAAAGATTTCCCCCACCAAACTCAGCACATGAGCCCCACACATACTTACAATTTTTGTATTGTTTTGTTTTGTTTTTTGAGACAGTCACCCAGGCTGGAGTGCAGTGGTGTGATCTCGGTTCACTGCAACCTCTGCCTTTTTATTTTTTTAAGATGGAATCTCACTCTGTCGCTCAGGCTAGAGTGTAGTGATGCAATCTCAGCTCACTGCAACCTCCGCCTCCTGGGTTCAAACAATTCTTCTGCCTCAGCCTCCCAAGTAGCTGGGATTACAGGCACCAGCCACCATGCCTGGCTAATTTTTGTATTTTTAGTAGAGACAGGGTTTCGCCATGTTGGCCAGGCTGGTCTTGAACTCCTGACCTCAGGTGATCCACCTGCCTCAGCCTCCCAAATTGCCGGGATTACAGCATGAGCCACTGAGCCCGGCCATATGAAAACTTTTCTAAACGTACATACTGTGCTCCCACACTGGGGTTTTGGCTTCTGTAGGTCAGGGAGGGTGCCCTGGGTCTGTACAATATTTTCAAAAGTTCTTCGGGGGAGGATTGTTTCTGTAGTCCACGCCTCAGTTTACTAGCACTCCCTGCCAGGTGCCCGTCTTTGTCGGTTTCATCCTCCCCTCTTATGATGCACAGTGCTCCCGCAATGCTCCCTTGCAGCTCCTGAGCTCTTATCCACTCTCTCATCCTCTGAGAAGGATGGCTCACGGGTGAGATGCAGGGGTGGCCCCTCCAAGATGACCCTTCACAGCCCTCCCTCCCCAAGAACGTCACAGCTCCAGAAGCAGGTTTGCACCCACAGTGACACGCCATGGCTTTGCATTTCCCCCAGCACTAAGGAGCTGCTTCATGGAGCACCTCTGATTGACAAATCTAAAATAGAGAATGAAAGAAAGTGTCAACCTGGAGGAGTTTAATAACGCTGTAATTAAAAGAAGGAAGAAGGGTCCACATCCCAGTGAGGAAGCAGCTCCTTTAAACTATTGAAGAATATATTGTTCTGGGGGTGCCAACGGCAGAAGAAATTTTAATAACAAAAATAAATTGACCAAAAAAAGGCAGGAGAGGTATTAGTTGGAACAAAACCAAGTATCTTAAAACTGCTCATTTTAAACTGAGTGTTTTATGGTAGGATAAGTAAGCTCCAATATTTTCAAACACAATTTATGTTTAGAAGTTCGAGTCTCCTCTTTCTTTCTGAGGAATAAAATACCCAGTTTCAGGCAAAGGACATGAACAGATACTTCTCAAAAGAAGACATTTATGCAGCCAAAAATCACATGAAAAAATGCTCATCATCACTGGCCATCAGAGAAATGCAAATCAAAACCACAATGAGATACCATCTCACATCAGTTAGAATGGCAGTCATTAAAAAGTCAGGAAACAACAGGTGATGGAGAGGATGTGGAGAAATAGGAACACTTTTACACTGTTGGTGGGACTGTAAACTAGTTCAACCATTGTGGAAGTCAGTGTGGCGATTCCTCAGGGATCTAGAACTAGAAATACCATTTGACCCAGCCATCCCATTACTAGGTATATACCCAAAGGACTATAAATCATGCTGCTATAAAGACACATGCACACGTATGTTTATTGAGGCATTATTCACAATAGCAAAGACTTGGAACCAACCCAAATGTCCAACAATGATAGACTGGATTAAGAAAATGTGGCACATATACACCATGGAATACTATGCGGTCATAAAAAATGATGAGTTCATGTCCTTTGTAGGGACATGGATGAAATTGGAAATCATCATTCTCAGTAAACTATCGCAAGAACAAAAAACCAAACACCGCATATTCTCACTCATAGGTGGGAATTGAACAATGAGATCACATGGACACAGGAAGGGGAACATCACACTCTGGGGACTGTTGTGGGTTGGGGGGAGGGGGGAGGGATAGTATTGGGAGATATACCTAATGCTAGATGACGAGTTAGTGGGTGCAGCGCACCAGCATGGCACATGTATACATATGTAACTAACCTGCACAATGTGCACATGTACCCTAAAACTTAAAGTATAATAAAAGAAAAAAAACTTTAAAAAAAAGTACAAAATGGCTAATTAGAATGATTATAAATCTAACAGTTATATCCACATAAAAACTTGAGCATAACAGTTCATAGCAGCCTCATTCATACCAGCTGAATAGTGAAAACCAGCCAGGAAGTGTCCAGCAACTGATGGATGGATGAACAGTGTGACAGGTGCATACAGTGGAATATTATTGGCCATAAAAAGGAATGGAGTTTAGATACATTCTGTAACACAGATGAATCTTGAAAACAGTATCCTCCATGAAAGAAGCCATTCACAAAAGTCCAAATGACTCCATTTATATGACACGGCCAGAGTAGGCAAATCCACAGAGACAGAAAGCAGAGTAGAGGCTGCTGAAGGCTAGGGGAAGGATGAATGGGAAGTGACTGCTAATGGATATTGGATTTCTATTTTGGATGATGAAAATATTCTAAAATTAGACTGGGGGTGATGGTTCCACAATTCTCTGAAAATACTAAAAACCATCTAATCATACCCTTTAAAAGGGTAGATTTTATGGTATGTAAATTATACATCAAGGAAGCAGTAAAACAAACATCATGGTCAAGATGAAGGACCACATCAAGTCAAACACAACGACAATGTTTTAAATAGGTTGGTGGAGATAATCGCACAGTCATTTGCTGGCTCTTTTGGCACTGTTTGAAAAATCATGGAAATGAGACAGAATGTTCAATGTCTTAATTCCTGGAGGAAGGAGGGAAGGAGCGGGGGAGAGAGGGAAAGAGAAGGAGGCGAGGGGAGGGGAGGGGAGGGAAGGGGAGGGGACAGCAGGTCAGGGCAGGGCAGGGCAGGGCAGGGAAGACTCTTAGACCATAGTCAGAACAACCCAGGCACCTATTCTGAGAAGGAAAATACACGATGGCCCAAGACCTGAACCTGAGCAGAGGCCAGACCTTGGGTGCCTGGAAGAGGTTTGGCGGGGCCAGGCAGAACACCACACTTATGGGTGGTAGCCAAACCAGGCATCGAGTGGAGGAAAGGGATGAGGATCTTTGGGGTGTTTCCACTTGGAAGTCCAGGTGGAAGGCTCAGTAGAGAGCGGGCCTGAGCTGAAGCTGAGTGAGACTCTTGTCTCTGAGGACAGCTGGCAGGAAGAAGGCGTGCCCTGTAGTGAGAGGGGCCAAGCACAGGGAGCCATCCTCACTGCACACACCTGCACAGTAGTGGCCCAGGTGCTTCCCACCCCTATAGCTCCACCCAGCCCCAGAGATCCTGGAACCTTCTCCAGAGGCTAATTAACTTTCCAAACCTGCTCTTACAGGATAAATCACCTCCAAATCCATCTCCCCACCATCCCCATAGGAAAAATAATTTGCTGTATAAGGAAGCATCATTGCACTAGCAAATCTGGCGATCTTATTGATACATCTGCCTCAGTAATCAGGACACTGATGATTTACATTTGAACTACAGTGCGTATACATCTTGCAAATTAGTTTTGAAAAAATTTGAGGGCTAAAAATATTTTTCAGAACAGATATGTCTAACACATAATTGTCGACTATCTGGTTAAGCCAGTGAATGAAACTGAAGATACTAAAGATAATTAAAGGATGATTTTTAAATAAAAAAGAAACAAAAAACAATTACAACAAAAAGCCATGAGCAAGTAAAATAACTGAAGTACAAACCCCAAACATGAGCAACGCACAGATTCCAGGTGTCCAGCTCGACTCAACACTAGCAACACACAGAGTCTGGGTGTTGAGTTCTACTCAACACTAGCAACGCATAAATTCTGGATGTCAAGTTCCATTCAACACTAGCAAGTTCCACTCAACGCTAGTCAGACTCCAGGTGTAGAGTTCCACTCAACACTAGCAACGCATAAATTCTGGGTGTCAAGTTCCATACAACACTAGCAAGTTCCATTCAACACTAGTCAGACTCCAGGTATAGAGTTCCACTCAACACTAGCAATGATCAGATTCCAGGTGTCAAGTTTGACTCAATGCTAGCAATGCAGATTCCAAGTGTAGACTTCCACTCGACCCTAGCGATGCACAGATTCTGGTGTTAAGTTCCACTCAATGCTAGCAAGGCATACATTCTGGGTGTCAAGTTCCTTACAGCACTAGCAATGCATGCATTCTGGGTGTCAAGTTCCACACAACACTAGCAAGTTCCACTCAATGCTAGTCAGACTCCAGGTGCAGAGTTCCACTCAACACCAGCAATGATCAGATTCCAGGTGTCAAGTTTGACTCAATGCTAGCAATGCACAGATTCCAGGTGTTAAATTCCACTCAGTGTTAGCAATGCAGATCCCAGGTGTTGAGTTCCACTCAACACTAGCAACACACAGATTCCAGGTGTTAAATTCCACTCAATGTTAGCAATGCAGATTCCAGGTGTTGAGTTCCACTCAACACTAGCAACATACAGATTCCAGGTGTCGAGTTTGACTCCGTACCTGCTGGGTGAAGCAAAAGCTCCAGAGTGTGCCAGGCTCTTGGAGCAAGCTGGATTCCAGGGAATATGGAATGGATCCTGGGAAATCTGTAGCTGCAGTCTAATTTTATATATTCAAGACGTTATTCACATTTAATAACTCCTTTTGTAACCCTTAAGTGTATAGAAAAATGAATGTCTATGGCATTGTGGGTTATTCACTTCATAAGAACCAAAGAGTTGAACTTCATCTTTGGATTAGTTTGGTTCCCATTCCCAAGACACTCCTGGTCCACAAGCAGACTGGGGAGCTTGTATGGTGAATCTCAGTTCTAGACCAAGGCCTCCCTCCACTCAGATGAGGCCCTGGCCACAGGCTGGTCAGTGCGGGTTCCCGGGCCAACACCAGGCCTCCCACCTCCCATGCTAGCCCTCTGCCCCACACCACGCTGCCTCTGAGTTTCGAGATGAACCCAAGTGCATTTTCCTACTTTATTCTACCCTTTTGGAAGAGGTGAAAAACAAAATATAGATATTTATAATTAAATAAAACCTTCTTTAGAATACATTTTTAACCAGAGTATGTTTGCTAAAATAATTGTTTAGAGATACACCATACTTTTAATTTTCAGATTATTTTGTCACTTGAGTATTTCAACTCAACTGAGACTTAAATGGTTCAACTTGGTTTTCTCTTCCTTCTTCTCATGGAGAAACCAATATTTTCTTATTCTAAGCCTTATCTTATTCTATGGCTTTTCAGGTGACTAAGAAAACAGACTACTTCCCTTTCAGATGACTTCTCTGAGAAGATCTATGATCAACTCAAGCGCTGGTCTTTGACCTGGAAAATTAAATATGATGTCCCACTCTTAGGAAAAAAAGGTAAATCTGAAGCCTAAAGATTTGGCTTCTGTTTCTGTCCTGGTAGCAAAATAAGACTTGAAGCTTCTGAGCCTCCATCTTCTGAAATGTCACACAGCAGAAGAGGGCTGTTCTCTTTGCAAACTCACAGAGGTGTGCTTTCTGCATGTGCTATGAAAAGGTGAACTTGCTCTACACAGGTGTTTTTTTGTTTTGTTTTGTTTTTGAGATGGAGTTTCACTCTTGTCACCCAGGCTGGGGTGCGATGGTATGATCTCGGCTCACTGCAACCTCTGCCTCCTGGGTTCAAGCGATTCTCCCACCTCAGCCTCCCAAGTAGCTGGGATTACAGGCATGAGCCACCATGCCCAGCTAATTTTTGTATTTTTAGTAGAGACAGGGTTTCACCATGTTGGCCAGGCTGGTCTCAAACTCCTGACCTCACGTGATCCACCTGCCTCAGCCTCCCAAAGTGCTGGGTTTACAAAGGTAATGTGTTCTTATCAGCAGCAATCATGTTACCCTAAACATAACACCAAAAGCAAACAAATAAAACCAACAAGGATACAGCTTTATCTGCTGTTGTTTTTATGACCTCTACATTTTTGGATATATCTATTATATAAAACTATTTCTTTTGGAGAAAAGAGAAAGGTGTGGTGCAGTGCTGGACAGCTGCACTTGTGGGAGCCTCCTGACTGCCCCTGAGTAGACCTGCCACTGCTGGTTGTAAAGGAACTGGTATTTTTAATTTGGGAATTGTAGGCACTTAATTATGCACAGTCACCCCCAAAAGAATGGAAACTTCTTGCTGTCGGCGGTTTTGCATGTTTCTGGCATTCCCTCCCCGCACCTGCCTGGCTGATTATTAAGTCCTCTTCTGACTGTATTAGGATAGTCATTTCATCGCCAAGGTGACAGAACGAGGTAGGTTTAGGATTAACTAACTCTCTGCTAAGCTAGTTTTCAAGTCCCCCATCTCTGTCTTCTGGAAGTGAGCCGAATGTACATATTAGAAACACCAAAGCTTCAATCTAAGCTAAACATTTGGGTATACCGGGTTTGGCTACTGGCTTCTATAACTTTTCCCACCCCCTCCTCAGCATGCATGAATGAGGGCCAACCAAGTGATGAAGGGAGCTTCTAAGCGCCACATCCTCTCACGGCCATGTGTCCTCCAGATAACCCAAGTGTCCCATGAGTTGAACTTTCCGTGATAGTTGTATACAATGTAGACCACACAAGCACTTCCTGCTCATCCTGCCCATTTTAGCATAGTTTGTTAGGGGAAAATAATTTACTTTCCATGATGACTTTAGAAAGCCTGCATTGGGGAAGCACTTGTGGAAACAGGTGACTTTGCAGCACAATAAAACACTGTACTGAATGGCCTGCAGTGGCCTACAAGCAGTTAGTGTTTATCCTTGAGGACTGTGGCTCCATTTATACATGATGCTTGACTATTGATTCAGGATGGAGGAACTCAAAGAACACCCAGAAACACCTGGAGGTCCCGGGTTCAAGTCCTGTCTTTGCTACTTGGTGTTCTGGATTGGGTAGCCAATTAACCGCTCTATGTCTGATGTATTTTATTTTATTTTTATTTTTATTTTTGAGACAGGATCTTGCTCTGTTGGCCAGGCTGGAGTGCAGTGGTATGATCAGGGCTCACTGCCGCCTTGACCCTGCTGGGATCAAGGGATCCTCCACCTCAGCCTCCCAAGTAGGGGGGTACTAAAGGCATGTGCCACCATACCCAGCTAACTTTCTGATTTTTGGTAGAGACGAGATCTCCCTATGTTGCCCAGGCTGGGCTGGAACTCCTGGGCTGAAGAAATCTTCCTGCCTTGGCCTTCCAAAGTGCTGGGATTACAGGTGTGAGACACTGCGACTGGCCATCTGATGTTTTTTAATCTGCAATATAGACATATTACCAACTAATAGTGCTGTTGGGAAGATCAGTGTGAATAACCTGTATAGAAGGACCCTGTATTTGTAGCGCTTTGCTCATTCTTTATGCCACATGGGCTTTTTAGGCAGTGCCGTGCCTGATGGCTCCCTGACATCTTTGTGCGCAAGTTCATGTCTGGGAGGCAGACTGGATGATGTTAGAGGCGGAGGCTTTATTTTTGTTGAGAGGAGAGAGTAATTCTTTGTGTCTCATAAATATTACCTTTTGATTTAAGTCATCTGATCCATTTGATCTGAATAAAAGCAGACAGGATCAAAGACTTCCATTTAAACATTCTGGATTCTTCTGGATTTAATATGTATTTATTTCCTCTTTACTGCTGAAAATCCACCAAAATAACACTAAATGAAAAAAAAGGTAAAAATCCACAGGAAGAGGAGTGAGAAGAGAGAACAGCAGATCAGACCTAACATTTCAACACCTGTAATCAAAGACAGACCATGGGTGGGAGAACACTGGCTGGTTTGGTGGAACTGAAGAAACAGGAACCGAAGTACCTGGCGAGGATGAACGCCAAGAAGAGGCCAAGAGAGGTGCCAGGAACCACGGAGCAGGGGCTCGGGGATGGGAGGGCCCGGGTGCGGGGAAGGGCAGAAACCAGGTGAGCAAGTGAATATGCAGGAAGGTTGAAAGTCTGAATAAGGCGTATTCTGATCCCTTCCCTCAGCCCAGGCACCTGGGCAAAAACCCTCCTCCAGTAACACACGAGATGGGAGGTTGATTCTCTGGAGGAACTGAACCTAAGGTATTCAGGTCTCAGAGACTCCAGTCCCAGCGGGGAATGGGAGGAGGCTCTGAGTTGAAGATGGGACAGTGTGCAAGTGCTTGCATGGAAGAGCGAGACACCCTTCCCAGCCTCCTCCTCCCGACCCGTGTCCTAGAGCAGCAGCAGCCCAGCTATGTTCCCTGGGCAAGAGGTGGAGGGATTCCGCCCTGGGAAAATGAGGGGGCTCCAGAGAAAAGTCCATCAAATAGGAGAGTCCTCAGTTTAAAAGCTGACTCGCTGCTTAATCACAGTAACACCTGCTAGTGGACAAGCTCTACTCTCAGCCCCCAAAATTCTATTCAGCTTTTATTATTCTACTGAGGCAGACAGATACCACCAGACCTTTGAGGAATGTTGTTTCATAAAGACAGAGACTAAATGAATAAACATTTAAAATTACAAAATAGAGACAATGCAGAGAGAAAAAGAATTCAAAAAGAACAAAATCTGTTTCTTCGGAATAGCCTCAAAATATAGTAATGTTTTGCATTCAGAAATTTAGGAGATTTTTTTTTTAAAAAAAGGAAGAAACAGGACAAGAGACCTTAGCAATTAAATGAATGGTAGCCAAATTTAGAGCCAATAGACAGGCTGAAAAATAAAGGTTAGGAAACCCCCCAGAATGCAGAATTAAAATAAATGGAAAAAAGAAATTTTAAAAATTAGAATATCCATCCAAATTATTCAATTCCATGAACTCTGAGAAAAGAACATGGGGGTTGGGTAGTTATTGAGATAGAAGAACCCCTCCAAGATCTGAAAGCTCTAGGTCTCTAAATTAACAGTCTTTGTATACAAAAAGAGAACGTAATATTGTACCTCTTGTTCAGCAACAAT
This sequence comes from Homo sapiens, assembly GCF_000001405.40. Taxonomy (NCBI): domain Eukaryota; kingdom Metazoa; phylum Chordata; class Mammalia; order Primates; family Hominidae; genus Homo; species Homo sapiens. The sequence continues at coordinate 154,158,148 of NC_000007.14, read as the reverse complement.
GCAATCATCTCATATTGGTTTAACCAAAATTGAAACATAATTATATGGGAGTATGGGGGAAGGTGAAATTGGGTGAAAAGTAATACGGAAGAGTTAATCTTCATCTATTACAGTAGGAAAGCAATGCATAATATCTAAATAAATTAGTATAAATATATATGTATATATATTTATATACATATATATATGTACATATATATGTATATATTTTTTTTGAGATGGAGTTGTGCTCTTGTTGCCCAGGCTGGAGTGCAATGGCGCAATCTCAGCTCACCGCAACCTCTGCCTCCCGGGTTCAAGCCATTCTCCTGCCTCAGACTCCTGAGTAGTTGGGATTACAGGCATGTGCCACCACGCCCAGCTAATTTTGCATTTTTAGTAGAGACGGAGTTTCTCCATGTTGGTCAGGCTGGTCTCGAACTCCCGACCTCAGGTGATTCGCCTGCCTCGGCCTCCCAAAGTGCTGGGATTACAGGCATGAGCCACCGTACCCAGCCCAAATAAGTACAAATATTTAAGCATGTTATGGAGAAATATTAAAGTAGTTGTTGGTAAGAAATAGCAAAAATCATTGAACATATTAGCAACTGGGGAGCAAGGCCAGAGTTCAGGAGGAGAGAGGCAGGGGACTATTGTTTTTGTCACTATGAGCCAATAAAAGTCAGTGTTACCCACGTTGTGCATACATTACTTTGAAAAAGACAATGAAAAACAAACACGAAGCACAAGACAACTAGAGAATGACTTCCCATTCTCAGGGAGTTCCTCCTCTGAAGTCTCTGCCAGGCTAAGAGACAGAAGCTGGGAAGGGACCTGTGCCGGGCTCCTGGCTTTCCATACTTTCGAGTTTCCTCAGCAAAGTTGGAGAGGCAGACTGTGCAGCAGATACCTCACTGGGTTATCACTATCTGATTCCTTCTTTTCTCTTGGCTCTGAAATTTTAGATAAGGATGTGTCACATATGTGAGATACAAAAACATGTGTGCCCTTCAGTATCGTGACTCCGCAACACAGCAAGTAGAAATGTTCAGAATAACCAAAATGTGAACACCTTAAGCAAATCTTCCATTTGAAAGAACCTCACACATCAGGATTTAATTATCCCAGTGAGGGTATATCTTTTAAATTAAATTGCTCTCCCAAAATTATAAAGCTAACCTGTTCTTCCCCACCAGGGAAACAATGTAATGCTGTACAAAAAATAGCACCAATATATACCTCCCCACCCACCAATGGGGCACATGTTTGCTTAAAGTGCTTTTCCCATAGGAACAAATTTATTATATTACTCTGGTCTCCTTTGGCTAAATTTTAATATAGACACAATTCTTCAACATTCATGGGTTATCTATCTATCTACCTACCTACCTACCTACCTACCTATCTATACCTCCATTAAATTCAAGGTCTAAATCTGATCAGGAGGCTAAACTATACCTGGTTTGGTCAACTTGTTAAGAGGTATTGATCAGGAAAGACATTTTATTAAACAAGGAAGCAATTAAGCAATTATATGTGTTTGTCTGTGAATTTTGTATGATGCATTTGAAATTTACTTTCTATGAAGATTATGTAGCCTGCTGCCTGAATTTCTCTTCTGATCACATCTTACCAAAGAGGGCCAGCTATATCCAATAAAGATCAACTCCACTTACTTAATGGTCCCTCTAGTCTCAACCACTAGTATTGATCATTCCTGAGACTGCTGGCAACAGTCTAAAAGAGATTTGTATTTTGGGAGAGGGTATATTAATGTTTCCCTGGTCAGGGCTGCCCCTATAGTACTCTGGGCCTGGCCAAATACTTTTTTCAGGACTCCTGTTTAAAAAGCAATTTGAGTCATCCAAAATGAACAGGCCAGCACTGTTCTGGGACCCAGTCTCACAGCATCCTGCCAAAGAAATACCATGCCGGCCTGCAAAAGAGATGAGCTCACCTCCCCACTCTCCTGGGATTGGTGCCTATCTGGCCACAGGGCCTCGGGATGACCCTGTAGGTGCAAGTCCCAGAGCTCCTCAGGGCATCTGGTTGACTCATGCATGGGGCGGGTGGGTGGAGGGTTGGAGAACATCCAAGAGGGGAAGACAGGCTGGGCTCAGGGGTCCTGCTCAGATGGCTCTGTGAGCCAGGCCACACACAGGCATTGGAGCTTAGAACTCTGAAGGAAGGCACTGCCAGGCCTGGGGCCCCTTAGGTCTAAGGATGACACCATCCTTGGTTTTCTAAGACAACCATTGGGAGTACACAATAAACATACTACCTTGACAATATTTAAGTGAACATTTAAAGCCACGGCCTTCTGTCCCCTGGGCTCAGAGGCTGAGAGCTGAGGTTGACTGGACATACAGATTATACACAACCCAGCAACAGTGGGGCAAGGGCCAGCCGTCTGAGAGAAGGGACATCTTCAGGGATCAGACACATTCTGAAACTTATAGGTTCCTGGCATATAAATGGAAGTTTATACTCACTGCAATGATGATTACGTTTTCAGAAGAAAATGCTGACCAGTTTCTACATAGGAACTGTTCTCCTGGCACAAGGCTACTAGACCATCAGACCAATTTCTCAGCAGTTCTGTAACTCAAGTGCTTATGGCTTCTATCTCTGGACACACAGTTACTCACTCCCAGAACTGGAGTGTAGTATTGGAAGGCTAACAGTTTAGAGTGGTAGGTATTACCTCTGTGGCCTGGACCCTAATTTAACAGATGCAGCCTCTGACCTGCCTGTCTCTGCAGGGAGGGATGCTTGTTTAACCCCTTAGCTCCTGACTATTTCTCTGAAGAACTCAGCCACATAACAGAGTTCAGGGAAAGGCACCTGCAGGCTCTACCTAGCAACCTCCTGATCCTGTCCCTCCCCATGTCTATCATATGCAGGCGGGGACAAGGTTCTAAACCCTTACCCAATGCCCAGGACATGCTTTGGATCCCCACTGGGATGGGAAACACAGGCACCTAGGGGAAGGGCAAATGAGATGGGAGGACACCCAAGACCTTCCCTGCTCCATGGTGTCTCTCAAGAGGAACCTTCTAATGAGAATGGTATTGCGACCCTAGGAACTTGGACGAAGCCCTGCCTATGGAAAACCAATCAGGCAAGGATCGAGGGATTGTAAATACCCAAGGACACTGTGCCCACAGCCCAGGGCTGCCCAGCCCACCTCCTGAGCATTTTGGTTCAGCTGTTGGCAGTTCAGAGAGAGCAGCTGTGCAGCCTAAATTGTCCCCAAAATGGCATCTGTCTCTCTGCCCTGGCTCTGCAGAGGGCCTGAGCCACACGGGCTCTTACCATTCGTGAGCTCGACACTCCTTCAAAGGAGATCCTGAGCTTTGGTGTGTGTGCATGCATGTGTGTGTGTACATGCATGTATGCAGTATGAGTAAAGTTCTTTTAAAAAGAAATCTCATACATTCTATGGCCATTTCTTAGGAGATATTTGAAAGTGGGGAAATCACATAGATCACATCACCTTAGACTTCAGTCAATCTAGCTCTAAAATGGGCTTGAACTAGAAGAATTCTTGGGTTCCATCTATGGTTTTGTTCTGTAAACTTCAATAACAATGTGGTAATACTGTGAACAGGCTTCAGGGGTTCAAATGGGAGTAAATTGGTGGGCTGTTTTTTCTGTTTCTTGGATTGCATCAGTAATATTTTACTGAAAGCATCAGTTTGCTTTGTAGAAGATCTGACATGGGAAAGGTGGGAAGGAGTGGATGGGTTTCATCAAGATCCCAGGCAGCTGAATTATCATTATTATTGTCCAGAGATCCCTTAAGCCCGAACATCACACAAACACACACAAAAGGTTAGCACCCATCAGTAACATGCAGAATTGAATATATTCTACAAAGCTTTACAGTCAGAGGAATGGCCCTGGTTCTCAGTTCAAAACGATTTCAGTGAAAATATCCCAGCGAAGTATGGAATATTTCCACAATATAAGGAATAGTTCCCCTAGACCTTTTCTTCTTGGTCATAGTTACCACACTTCTCTTGGATCACCAATCAATATGGCAATGGCAGCAGCCAACTTTGGACTTTTCCTGCTGCCTGAAGTCAGCTAATAGGTCATTTCCCTGTCACCTCCTGGCTGATGGGAATTGAAGGAACAATTATGTTTCACATGCTTGGGCTGATCGAGGAACAAATCATCAGCTGCTAATTGAACTATGGCTAAAACTCTAAATGCTCTAACCAAAGATACTGTTGGTGTCATTGGGTTTGAGAGTTTGCCACCCACGGCTGGAGCCCCTGCTTCTGAGCTCCACTTCAGGCTACACAATGGCGGCAGTCAGCAAACTATGGCCCCGGGGCCTGCTGTTGTTTTGTAAATAAAGTTTTATTGGTACACAGTCACACCCGTTCATCTATGTGTTGACTATTGCTTCAAGTAAAAGGAGAGTTGAGTAGTTGATAGGAAAACTGTAGGTCCTGGAAAGCCTAAAATATTTACTATTTGACCCTTGATGTAGAATTTTGCTGACCCCTGCTCTGGGGATGGCTGCTGAGCACTTACTGTGGTCAGAAAATGACCAGCAGAGGGTGGACCTGCAGGTGTATTGGCTGTCAGCTGTGGCCATTTCAGAAGCACCCATCTTTATCAATGGATGTGAAATGGCTGATGTAACAAGTGCCTTTTATCTAAAAGTAATAAGGCCAGGCTCAGTGACTCACTACTGTAATCCCAGCATATTGGGAGGCCGAGGTGGGCAGATCGCCTGAGATCAGGAGTTTGAGACCAGCCTGACCAACATGGTGAAACCCGGTCTCTACTAAAAATACAAAAAATTAGCTGGGCATGGTGGTGCATGCCTGTAATCCCTGCTACTTAGGAGGCTGAGGCAGGACAATCTCTTGAACCTAGGAAGCAGAGGTTGCAGTGAGCCGAGATCCCGCCATTGCACTCCAGCCTGGGCAAGCAAAACTCCATCTTAAAATAAAATAAAGTAAAAGTAACAACTCCCCTCTTGTATAAGCGGCAGGGAGTTGAGATCACTTACTTTGCTTTCTATAATCCCAGAGTAAAAGTTCACTTGACCCAGAAGGCAGACTCGTTCAAAGACTAACGTCAGGGCCACAAAAGCTGCAATTGCGGCCATCACATTAATTTTTAGGCAGGCCACTTCATCGGGTTTTATGCTTTTTATGTACACTGAAAACTTAGCTTGGCTTGTCCAGCCATGGGACTGTCAGGTAAAGAATGCTTGTAATTATGTACGTAACAGGGAGTTTATCTGTTGGGTGGACATTTGGGCAGGTACTTGCAGTCTTCCAACTCCGGCAAGTCAAGGGCTTGTTTCTGATTGGAAAGCCGACTCAGCCAGTGTGTGCTGCTTACTGGATTTCTTGTGTGTTCAGGAAAATGCTGTAGCTACAGAGTCCCCCATCCTCTAGCTGTGGATCAGGTCCCACGCTCCTGGGTTTCTGGTCCTGGATTACCTGAGCTATATGATCACAAATGAATCCCTTATTCTTATAGATGAGGGAACTGAAGTTAAGAGGTTTTGCCGGAACTAAGTGAACTCTAAGGTTACATCCTGATAATGTTCTAATCCCAAAATGGATTGGCCTGAAATATCAGCCAATGACATAAATTTGCTAAACTCCTAAGAAATATTTTCCATACAAGAGGCATCTCAGTCTAGCATTGCAGCGGGCATAAAACTCAACACAAGAATACCAAGGTTATGGATTGAGGCCTGCTCTGTAGGTGCTCACAGTCTTGGGAAGAGTCAGGCTGGGAGACAGAGGGTCCAGAGAGCACCTGCTCTCTCCATCCTGATGGTAACATGCAATGTGAAGATACACCAGTTAGATTAGCTGCTGGTCGCACCCCATCCCTGTACCCCTGGTTCATGTGCTGGACAGGCAGCAGCTGCCTCCTGTGAAAAAATTATGTCTCCTCCTTCACCTGCTCTCTTCCATGTGGCAAGCCTACCCCACTGCTTTCTCTGTCACTGCCCTGTAGCCAGCACCTCCAGCAACCCCTTTATCTCACTTACACCTAAGAAAAGTCTCTCCAAACTACTGTAATGTGACATCTAGGATGCACCAAGGCATAAAAGAGTCCAACAGTGTGGTTTCTGTGGAGAACCCCAGGCTAAGCTCAAAGAACAGGGCATAGAGAGGCGAAAGATGAAGGCAGGAAAGAAAGGCCGTGCCAGGCCGTGCAATGTGTCATGTGCCAAACTCAAATGTGTGGGGTTGATCTCGTAGGCAGGTGATGCTCAAAGGTGATGGAAAAGCCTCTTTAAAAGCATGCCTGCCTCCTCAGCCCCAGGGAAATGTTGCTGTTGCCTTAGGTCAGGTTCCCCAGAAGCAGAGGCTGAGGCGGGGCTGTGGGGATTATTGGGGAGCATGATGTTAATAGGAGGAGGGAGGGAAGTGGCCTGGGGTAGGGGAGACGGGAGGCACTGATGTGGTCCCAACTGGAGACCAGCTGCAGTCGAATGCCATCTGGAAGTGCACGCACGCACTGTACTTCACAGCTGGTCCCTGAGGGAGGGCAAGGGGATGGCTATGTGTGTACCTGCCTCCATCAGTAACAGGCTGCAGGGTCTTGGGGCAACCTCCCAGCAAGGGAGGTCTGGGTGAGCACCAAGAGCCGTCGCTGCTACTGTCTGCTTCCCGTCGAACACAATTGGAAGCAATGATGGCGGGGCATTGCCTGTGTGAACCGTGTCGAGACCAAAATGTTTTCTAAGAAGTGACAGTATTGCTGGTCACAGGCTTACAAGCACAGGAATGCAGTGACAAAATCAGATCAGTGCTGAGGAGGCTCTGGGGACAGGGTGAAGGGCAGTCCAGGAACAGAAAGCCCGCAGCTCAGAGACAAGCCAGGGGCTGCTGAGAAGGTCTAGGGAGGAGGTGACCTGGATGGATGGGAGAGGCCTGGGGCAAGCATCCTGGGGCGGGCAGAAGCAATCAGGTGCCCCAGGTCTAATGCCGGCAGGTGGGACACATATTGGCAGCTTCCATGGAAGAAGCCTCTACTGAAAACCACATCGGGTTCTGGGGAAGCACTGGGGAGGCCATCGTCTGAGCTTTAGGGACAAGCTTGCTATGCACGGACAATGGTAGTCAGTCCGCTGTAGGAATCTAGGGGTTAGATGACAGTCTACAGATCTGGACCCATTGCAGACAAGATCACGGAGTCCCGGCAGGAAGCAGCTATCTAGGAACAGGTGTGGAGGAGGGAGACAGGCGACCTTGCCAGCCTCTCTCCTGGCCTTTAAGAGGAGAGTGGGGAGGAAGAGCCTCCAAAGAGGCCCAAGTGAGTGAATCCTGGTGGGGAAAGCACTTTGGTGGATTCTCCCAACTTGAATCACCAGGCTCCTGATACTTTGCTCAGAGTCCGCGTCTGCATGAATAAATGTAGATATTAAAGGGGGTGACATGGAGGACCCGGCCTGGGCCAGCGCTCCAGGAATCAGGACTGTGCAGCCGCTCTCAGGCCTGGGAATGGAGAGAACCCAGACATCACAGGTGCTTACTGGAAGCCATCCTAGGTGAAATTCTCTCTTCTCCCTCGTGCTGAGACCATAAGATGCCTATTCTTTGGAGACTTGGCAAATATGAGCTCAGACTGACCCTCCAGTCCTTCTGCAGATGTGCCCTTGGGCCTTTCTTTCCTAGGGCTGACTTGGCAATCTCACACAGCAAACAATTCCCCTTTTGCTCTGTTTTTCAGTATATCCTCCCAGAAAAAGCCATGTCTCCACGGAGCCCTGGTATTTGGTCCCAGAGGTCAGCAGGTTGGCAGGCGAGTACCCCTGTGCTCCCAGGATTGGTTTCCCCCATCCTTGGCTGTTTCCAGGGCTTCCTCTGTAAGTCAAGGTGGGTGCCCAAGTGCTGAGGGCAAGTGGGGGGCCTTGCCAAATGAGAGAGGGAGCTCTCAAAAGTTCTGTTTATTTCCTGTTTATGGACTAAATTTTTAAGTTCCAAATTGAAGGTGAAATGTCCAAATGGCACATTCTTTTTTCTTAGAACAGCAAAACAAAAGCAAACCTCTAAACCTCCTCGTGAAGGTGACATCATAATAAGGCATCAGAATCCCACTGTGATCCCTTCTCTGGACAGTTTGCTGTAGATTCAAGCGATGCTGGGGAAAGAAACCACATTGGTTCTGCTTGCTAATCATTACAACACCACGAATCAAATCATATTGTAACAATGAGAAAAAAAGAGCCGCCTTCTCCCAATGAGCTTGTGTGGGAAGCAATGTATCTGCCTGCTGGAACTTTCCCGGTGGTCTGAGCTGCCCATGCCGGGGGCGGGGGAGGGTACCACTGGAGCGGGGGGTACCACGGTGGGGAGTGTCCACAATCCCGGCTTCCCCATGTCCTACACATCACTGAGTCAGTGGCAGCCATTGCTCCGTCTTCTCTTCATCCCAGAACTTCCCCTATAACATTTGGGATTCATATCCTAGCAGTTAAATTGTTGTTTTCCAGTTCTCTATAATCTTTTCTGTTTCTTCTTCATCCATCCATTTCCTTCCAAATGCCAGAAGCATGATCAAGTCTTAAATATGACTTTTTTATAATCCTGCTATGCACAGGGCCTAAAATGCTCTCGGTGGGGAGCCCCCCAAGAAGAGCAGTTCAGAATCCCCAGAGCTATTTAAGTTTTGCAATCATGTTGGTAAACAGGTGGGCCCTCCCCAACAGCACACTTCTGAGGTGCCATTCATCATCCCACTCACATCCTCCTATGCTGGGGGACCAGCTCCAGATGTTGCACCAGATGGAGCTTCGGAGGGAAGGAATCTCACTGCAATTCCCCATCCAGCAGCCAGAAGGCAGGGCAGGGCTTGAAACAACAGGCCCAGAGCCAAGCATCCTGGAGGGCTTCGCTAGGTGCTTGGGCAGCCTCTGGGGCATGGGGCTGGGGCAGCGTGTGCAGGATGAGTGGGGTGGGTAGGTTTTGAGATGGAGCTGACAGCTGGAGCCTGTGTTCCTTCACTGTAAAGGCACTGCAATTGTTCTGCTGATGCGGTGCAGCTATCCTGGGGGTTCACGGACTGCAGGGGAATGGCCATCGGAGGGATGAAGCTCCCTTTGGACAGAACTGTGAGGTTTCTGCCCAGCATAGGTCTGCTGGAGATACTGCACCATACTCATCGTGCACTGCCTCCTGCTTTCTAGCTAAACCCCCATCTGCTACAGGCATCCTCGTGTCAATGTTATACACACGTCAGCACACAGAGCAGCCAGGATGATGGTGCAAACCCACATCACTTGTATCATCCTGATTTCCTTATATTGACCCACATGGTGGCTGCACTGTCCCCCAGAAGCAGCCCCTGCTTCAGTCACAGGGCATTCTCAGCAGGCGTGAGAACAGCTAATACATGCTTGCAATAAGAGCGATGGGGATGAGGCATTTTGGAAGCATTTTAAATTCCTAGCCTAAAAATAGCACGTCTCCTTTAATGACATTTGAAATTTCAAATAAATTAAATATCACTGCTTCAGAAAATTAAAGCCTTCTAGTAGTGAGCAGGCTGTGAGCATCACGCGTGACAGACGTGGCCATGCCAGGAGAGTGCCCACTGCAGCATGGGCACAGGGCAAGCTCTGGGGGTCTCTAGATCCCTGAATTCTCCTTGTGACCTCTGTGCCTGCTCACATCATCGCTCCACTTTCCAGAAGAGGCAGGTGGGACTTGGGACAAATCCTGTGCACACGGTCACACGTCAGAAAGCAGCAGAGCCTGCGCGGAACACCTCCCGGTTCCCTCAGGGCAGGCTCTGCCTTCCTGCCCCACCCTCTCCATCCCAGCCCTCCAGTCCAGGCCCGCTGGCTGGAACGTTGGCCAGCAAACATGTGCAGAGAGTCTGAGGCTGACCCCATGGTCCCTCACCGTCCCCGGGCGGTTGCTGGTGCCAGAGATGGGACAGGCCCGACTGTCAGGTGTGAGTCAGACGGGGGACCTCCCATTACTCCCCAGGCCTTGCTCAGTGGATTTGAAGGAGGTGACTCCCTTCAGACTTTGCGGGCCACAGCCTCAGGGAAGCCATGGCTCACTAAAATTTCATGAGCGGCCATAGGACCTCAGCTACCAGGACACCTTCACGGTCCGCTCTGGCTCCTAAAATTCATGGAGTGCTGGTCTCGGACGTGATCCACCTGGGACAAGTGTGATCGGGAGTGGGAAGTAAAGGGAATAACTGTGAGGTTTGGGTTCATTTAGGAAAGATAAGCTTGGGCTATCGAAAGCACTGCTTTTGTTTCCTTCATTTAAACATCAAAACTATTTCATGTGCTGTAAAAAAAATCAAATACAGAAATTAATAGGCCAGGTGCTGCGGCTCACACTTGTAATCCCAGCACTTTGGGAGGCTGAGGCAGGCGGATCACCTGAGATCAGGAGTTCAAGACCAGCCTGGCCAACATGGTGAAACCCTTTCTCTATTAAATATATATATATAGGTATGTGTTTGTGTGTGTATATACATATATACACACACACACACACACACACACACACAAATTAGCTGGGTATAGTGGTGGGTGCCTGTAATCCCAGCTACTCAGGAGGCTGAGGCAGGAGAATCACTTGTACCTGGGAGACGGAGGTTGCAGTGAGCTGAGATTGCACCATTGCACTCCAGTCTGAGCGAGAGTAAGACTCCGACAGAAAAAGAAAGGAAGGAAGGAAGGAAGGAAGGAAGGAAGGAAGGAAGGAAGGAAATGAATAAAGTGAAAGTAAAACCTCCCCCACCCAACCTACAGGAAAGTGGTTAACAATGAACAGTTTGATAGATTCCATTGAGACTTTTGCCTTTATTCTTATGTTTATGCATGTATTCATCCACAGGAAGACAAAGAAAAGACTGGACGAGAGAATGAGAACTGGGCAGGAAGGAAGTGAGCTAGTGAAGGTCACAGAGAGAGGAGTGAGAACCATGGAGACCCTTCTGACCTCTCACTTTTGCCTGGGACCCCAGGACCAATCCTGTGTTATTTTGGACGCTTCCTGCAAAGAAAAGCCAAGATTTCATGAGGATGGAAGCAGAGTACAATGTTCTGGCCTTTAGTGGATTCCCTGTTTTTTCAGACAGGAGAAATGACAAACAAAGGCAAGGAAATGAAATGATCGCACAATCTGTGCAGGAGGGTTTTCTTTTTTCCTACTTGAATCACCCCAGCTAGGTGGAGACAAGAGAAATCTGCCCAAGCACAATCAGACAGATATGGCCCCTGCAAAGCAGACCCAGTCGCACTGGGCAATGAAGCGAGTGCACTCCCTGGACAGGGAGGAAGTGCACCCACGGGAGCAGGGAGGAAGTGCACCCAGGGGAGCAGGGCCCTGCCTGGCAGCCGCGCGGCTTGCTCCCTCCACCCCACTCCCCACTCCCTGTATTTTATAGTGTGTTAGGTCGTTGCCCTTTAAACTGTCTTTCTCCGACACAAGTGCCTTCTGTCCCTTGTCTACCAAGCATATTTATATGAATAATGCAGGCCAAATATAGAGGTGGCATAACATTCTTAAACGTGGTCATTTGCTGATGGCAACATGAGTCTGAGCCAGACAATTGCCCTCCAGTGTATTTCACAAGCCTGCAGGGAGCACCTGCTGGAGAAGGGGCAGTTGGCCAGCTGCTGCGAGAGGCAGGGAGGGAGGGAAAGAATCAGCGAGGGTTGGTTGCCGGACTCACTGTCCCAGGAGGACACACATATGTAAGAATCTCCAGCTAAAGCAATCTTTAAAACATTTTGTTAGGTATCAGGGTACACAGGAAGTGCTGTGGGATCTATTTTGGTTCCAGGAAATGGGGGATGGCTTCACAAAAAACCAAAGGACATGGTGTTTCAGTTGGCCCCTGAACCACACGTCCTCCTGATACATCATAGAGGCAATCCCACAGAGACACAAAGTCAGGAGAACATGTGGCAGTTTTGGAGAGGGTGCTTGTAGAAGAAGTGGAGAGACAGGTAGCAGAAGGCTGGGAGGAGGGATGGGGTGGGCCCCTGGAAAGGTGAAGGCCCCAGATCGGAGGCAGAGGCTTCTCAGAGCGTGACTTTCAGAAGTTTGCTGCTGGGTGATACCTGGTCGTCACTTTGTGGCTGTAGATACTGGGTCCTCAATATTCACATGTAAGACAGACACCACATTCCTTACGTCCCTCTTATCACCTAGCCTAGCTCCAAATACCTACACACTTGACTTCTCTGAAAGAAAAAATGTTCAAGGAGGATTCTGTAACCTGTTGTTTCCCTAATATTTTGCTTCTGTATGGATGTTCCAACAGATTTCACCCGGTGGCATTTCCACTCATCTGTATGGGAGAGCCCTCTGTATATGCGGGACTCCCCTTCCTCTTCCTTCAATTCTGTATTTTCAATATGCATTGGGTGGACCCTTGCAGTTCAGGCCCATATTGTTCGAGGCGCAACTGTGTTTCATGAGGAGCAGGGTGGGAACTTGCGAAGATCAGCTGCACCGTTAGCCAAACCGCTGTCTGCGATGCCCCAGCTGCAGAGCCAGGCCCCCTACTCCACCTCCGTAGCTGGCACCCTCCTTGCTCCGCAGGGATGTAAACACTGACACATTCACTCTCCATTTCAATGTGACAAAATCCTATAAACCTACCAGTGTAAGACAATGCAAATGCATTATCTTCCAGTTCCAGTGGGTCAGAAGTCCAGGCTCAGCTTAAACGGACTCACAGCTCAGGGTCCCATGAGTTTGGCTGGGCTATATTTCTTTCTTGGGCTTAGAGTCCTCTTCCAAGCTCAGTGGCTGTTAGAACTCAGGGCCCTGTGGTGGTAGGACTCGGGTCTTTCTTTCCTTTTAGCTCTCAGCTAGAGGCACCTGCAGCTCTTTACATGTGGCCCCCAGGCAGTTCATGACAAGGAGGTCTGCTTTCCTAGAGGCCATCCAAAGTCTCTCTAGTCGCCTCCTCTGTGACTAGCTGTAGGGGTCTTTCTAAAAGCAAGGCTCATGTGTTTAAATAGGCCCACCCAGATTATCTCCCCATTTGGATGGCAACTGATCCAGGACCTTAATTATAACCAAATCCCATTGCAGCAGCACTGAAATCAGTGCTTGAGTAAACAACTGGGAGATGGTGTGTAGGCGCCAGGGCCAAGTGAGCATTTTGGGAGGCATCTTAGAATTGTGCCCAGCAGAACTGGTGACTGCATCAGCCTAAGTGGATTAGTCTGCTTGGCTGCCATAACTGGGAGTCTTAACAGAAATTTAACTTCTCACAGTTCTGGGGCCTGGAAATCCAAGGTCAAGGTGCTGGAGGGGTTGTTTTCTGGTGAGGGCTCTCTTCCCGGTTTGCAGACAGCCTTCTCCTCACCATGTCTTCACAGGGCAGAGAGAGCAAGCTCCGCTGTCTCTTCCTCTTCTTATAAGGATGTCAGTTTTGTTGGATTAGGGCCCCATCCTTATGACATCATGTAACCCTAAAAAAACGCCTTATCTTCAAATACAGTCAGACTGGAGGTGAGGGCTAAAACAAGGATTTTGAGAAGGACACAATTCACTTCATAAAGGTATGATGCTCAACTTTGCCATTCTTCTAAATCTTTCTATTCTGAACATTGAATGACTCTCCCCCCATTTCATTGACTCTTACTGTAAATGGCATTGTCATAGTTTTAGGAAAGATGGTTTCTAAGCCACTGCTCTATTTTAGCTTGAATATGCAGATGAATAACTGAATTCACAGAGATCCCAAATTGTTCAGGTCTAAAATTATAATTGAAAAGATTGGTAAATTTGGCTAAATAAAACGGAAAGATTTTTATATGCCACAAAATACCATAAATCAAATTAAAGCTCAGAGTATGGGGGGGATGAGATTACAACACACAGAAAAGAAAGAGATGTAGATAAGTAAATGAATAAATGAATAAATGAGTGAATTAATGAATAAGTTATTAACTTGCAAAGCATTAGGAGAAATCATACCAAATACCAGGGCTAAATGAACACAAAGAGGCAAGAGAAAAAGGTCAATAAACATGAAAAAAATTCAACCTTAGTAAGTAATCAAAAAATGCAAATTAGTAGAGTCTACCATCTATTAGGTTGGCAACAATTAAAAAGAATGATAAAGCCTTGTGTTGAGAATGTCTGATTAGAACAGATTCCCTCATATACTGCTGGTGAGAATATAAACTGATATAAATTTTCTAAAAGATAATTCTCCAACACACCTCATATGTATTAAAAATATATACTTCTGACCTATTAATTTGTGAAAAATCTTATCCTAAGGAAATTATTTAATGAATGTACAAAGATATATGTACAAAAAACGGCACAAAGGTATATGTGCTATTGCGTATAATTGGAGACTATCTAGTAGCTAAATCTGTGAAGCTATAGCCCAAGAAATGAATGCCAAGCAGCCATTAAGACAAGATAAATGTGTAGTTAGAGACATAAAACATGCTCATCATTTATTTCTATGCAAAGCAGCAGGTTACAGAATAAAGTCACACCATTTTGTAAAGAAAAGTATTTGTATGCATAAATGTAGTTAAATAAACATAGAGCTAAGTTGGACTATAGATGCCTAGGAAATCCCAGAAAGAATTTTGCCAACTTGTTAACAGTGATTCTGTTTGGGTGATTAGAGTATAGGTCACTTTTGTATTTCCCTTTTGTTTGTTTACCTGTAATTTACATGATAACCTGAATTTCATATTTTCTTCATTAAACATCCATTGCTCATTTTAAAATGATATGCTGAACTGTTTAGAAACTTATCTGAAAGTTAAGGTTACATCCCCCAGTTATATTCACTCAAAGACTTTCAAATCTACTGCAGATGATAATTCATGATTTGTTTACTGCAATTCACCTCCTTCAAAGACCAAGCAGTCTCCATGTTAGAACTTTCAGGATTGGGAACGGTCAGAAAAGACTTATCTGGCAATCCGCAAAACACTCTGTCTTTGTTGCCTTTTTATTCTGAATACGGCAGACTCTTTTCCTCTCTCTCCTTTCAGGACTCATAATACAACCTCTACACACAGGAAGCAGCCCTTGAATAACCTGTAATCCTAAAAACCTACTGATATTAGACTAGGAGTGATCTCTAAATCCTAGGCAACTTCTCCTCAGATTTCTAACATCCTTTGGTATCTTACTAGTATTTAGCATAGGAAACTAACAAGGAATACATGGCAGGGAGTCATCTGATGTTGGAACAATCCGCTTTGGCATATGGAAGACTGTGAAGGTGTGTCCAATTCTGAACTTCATTTATGGCTGACAATTGAGTAGATGCTCTGATGCTACCATGCCGAGAGCAGATCCTTTTTAGAGACAACTCTGTTTTTCCCCATACGCTGAAGTTTTTATGTAATTTTTGTTTTCCCATCTTGTTCCTTTTTTTTGGTAAAAGTGAGTAGAAAAATGCAAAAATGAAAGTAGTGATTACAATGATAAGGTCATATTAATTTAATTTTCATGGTTTTATTAATAATGTGAATAGGCAGAGCTAAAAGAATAATCACAATGGAAGTCCATGTGACATTAATCAACTGTACAATCATTTGAGTAGAAAAAGAACAGAACTAAGTAACATGTATAAACATTGAAAATATATTGATGAAAACTGTATCTTAAAGATGGGATGCAATGAATAAATGGTTTGATATTTTGTAGCTTTCAGAATCCCCTGCCCCCAACCTAACAAAAAAGTTGTTTATTGTCTTCACATTCCACTTCTGCACATATTTGGGGGGACGTATTATAAACAGTAAACATGGAACTGTGTTTATTTATATTTGTGTTCACTGTATATCTGCCCATTGATTTATATATTCAGTTTGGAAACCCAAATCTCAAACCAAATACATTATCCAATGCCAACTAAATTCCAGTTTCTTATTCAATATTTGGCACGTTGTGTTAATTTCACTTAAATTCAAATATTTGCCCATTTATATTCTCGCATTTAAATTAAAATCTCTATCACTTATTTAAGCCACTTAACTGAGTATGTGTGGAATGAATTAAGGATAAGGTCATTATCAATGTATCTCGTGGTCCTCTTTGTACTTTTCCTGGGAGTACGATATCTTTCAATTCTAAGCACAAATAGAAAGTGTATTCTGAATAGGGGATGCCTAATTAATTGCATAAACTTTAGCTAGAATCCTTCAACATCTCCATCTGGGTTTTAAGGTTTAGCTCCTTTTGATTGGTCCTGCTGCAAGCAAGGAACTAGCATTAACTGAAGGGCAGTAAATCATATTCAAATGTATTTTTAACATAAGCAAATTGATCATTAAATCCAGATATACACTAATTTCTCTGGTTCCTCAGTGATCTTCAGCTACACTTCCTTCCTGACTGTACTGACCAAGATTGCCACAAATGTGGGCCTCTTTGCTGTGGACATAAAGTATAAGTCATTTACTTGAAATGAGCTCCAACAGAAATGCATGCTAGGTACAACTGTAACTGCTTCTCCAGTTAGTACCACCATCTGCATGAGCTGCGTGGGGGCCTCTGCCCTTCAAGTTTAAAAAGGTCCCTTCTAACAGAAGCAGAAGAAAGGGAAATGTTGCAAAGTACCTACTGGGACCAAAGGAATTTAGGAACAGGCATCACCTGCATCGACTGGCTGATTAACTGATTAATTGATTGATTTGTTCATTCAAATGGTATGTACTGAGCAGCTACTACATGCCAAGCACAATGCAAGGTGATCAGATAGAGCAGTAAACAAGACAGAACTGAAACCCTGATGTTTTCAGCAGCTCAGAAAGCAAGGCATCCCCTTCACTGCCTCCACCTGTGCAGTGATGGGAGTCGCACTGAGGAGGGGTGGGGAAAAGAGTCGTAAGGTGCATATGGTGTTTTTGCAACAAGCTGTATTTTCTTAACTGAAAAGTTTAATGAAATTTTAATTCGCCAGAAGGCAACAAGCTGACTTCTTCAATATGGTAAGAAGAGAAACTATTAATTATGGCTTTCTAAAATTGAATATCCTTGTACACAAGCTGAAGCCAACAGTAGCCCACACACCCATGCTTCTCCAAACGTGAGAGCTTATCTCTGGGCAACTCTTCAATGTCCATACATGATGCCTTCATACCTGCTCACTGAACCCAGCAGGTAAGCAGACTCAGCTTCTCACAAAGACAGTCGACAAGGACAAAAGACAAAATGGTCCCCAACTCACCCTGGGATTAACAGAAAATTTATAGACTTCTACATAGAAAAGACTTCGGAGATTACTTAGCGGGGTCAATCCATAATTTGATATATGGAAACCTGAGAACCAGAAGGTCGCTGAGCTGCAAGCATTTTATTTATGTATTAACTGATTTATTTATATCCTCCCTACTTCCAAAAAGGTTTTGAGGCAATTCGCCAAGCATTGTGGTTAATCACTGTGTTATTATTAGAAATGAGGCTTAAAAAAATTTTTGAGTGTTTCTAAAACTCTAAGGATTTAGATCATGTTAGGTATATAATTCAGGTTATTGTGTATAGACTGGCTCTATAATAAGCTGAATCCTCCTTGTACTTTAAAGGATTCCTGGCTGGGTGCAGTGTTTCACGCCTGTAATCCCAGCAGTTTGGGAAGCTGAGGTGGGAGGATCACTTGAGTCCAGGAGTCCGAGACCAACCTGGGCAACATAGTGAGACCTCATCTCTCTTTTTAATATAAAAAAAGTAAATAAACAAACAAACAAACCCCAAAACCAAAATGGATTCCTAAGAGAAGCTCCATGGTTTTCTATCAGGCAAGTGGCATGAACTATACTATAGTGAAGTGTTACCCATGTTTACATGTTTACTTGTGGTAATCCGTCAGAGTAAACTTGGTGTGAATAAAATCAATTATTTGGGGACATTTGCTGTGTCTTTCATAATGTGTGGATTGGTGTTTGCAAACAGAATCATGGTTGTTTAATCAGATATGGCCCTTTTCTTCACATAAATATGGAGCTCTCTGGTTGGAGTAGGTTAGGCATACATGTAGGCTTGGATTTGGAGTGAGCTCCTTGAGTGCACATTTAAAATCATGAAAGAGCGATGTAGGGGCTGGATAGAAGCAGGAGTCCCAAGATATCATGACCAGTGAGCAGCTACCCCCCATCAGACCTAATTCACATATTGGAGGATCTGATGGATATCTTCCCACGGGCTACTCCTTGATGCTTTAAATTTTGTGGGGCACTTTGTCACTGCTTGCCGCTAGAAGTCAAGAGAAGGAATCTTTATCTGTTTCTCCTTTCCCAAGGGCAATGCCATTATTTCTGTCTCTCATACAGACTGGCTGTGAGAGCTGCATAAAGGGCCATGTGTTGCTGGAGGGAAGAAAGAAATGCAAAAGAGACTTCTTAGTTGTAGTGCTCCAGCATAAATAGTGCATGGAATCATGGGCATGAAGTGGGAAGATAGCTGGAAGGTGGATGGTACAACTGATGGGGTAAAAAGTAGTCAAGAGATCAAATGCATTTCACCGGACTTCTTAGGCTATGAGGGACCAAGAAGTCATTCAGAAGGTGTGGTGCCCTCCGCACAGGAAGCAGACACTCGGCCACCTTCTCCCTGACCCACTGCGATGGCTAATTTTATTAACCAATGTCAACTTGCCAGGATTAAGGGATTCCCAGATAGCTGGTAAAGCATTATTTTGGGTGTGTCTATGAGGATGTTTCCAGAAGAGACTGGCATTAGAATCACTTTAAGGTCCTGGATAGAATAAAAAGGCAGAGGAAAGGTGAATTTGCCCTCTCCTTCCCATTCTCCTGGAGCTAGGGTACCCTTCTTCTCTTGCTCTTGGACATCAGAACTCCAGGCTCTCTGGCTTTTGGACTCTGAGACTTGCACCAGTGGCACCCCAAGTTCTTAGGACTTTGGCCTTGGACTGAAAGTTACACCTTCAGGTTCCCTGGTTCTGAGGCTTCCAGAGTTGAACTGAGCCACACTGCCAGCTTCCCCCATTCTATAGCTTGCAGATGGCCTGCATGCGACTCAGCCTCCATAAGCATATGAGACAACTCCTCTGATAAATCCCCTCTTATATATCTGTATCTGTCTATATCTACCTTCTATTGGTTCTGTTCCTCTGGAGAACCCTGACTTGTACACCTCCTGCTTGAGGACCTCCTCTGAGTCTGGCCACACCTACTTCCTCTGCTCTTAGAGAAGAGAGCCGCATAAATGGATTCACAGTAATTCAGGTTGCCACTGTGTGACAGGAGGTGTTTAGGGTATGGGTGTTTCTCCAGCAACTGACATGTTTCCTTGTCAGGCCTGAGTTGAT
The DNA here is from genome assembly GCF_000001405.40 of Homo sapiens. Lineage (NCBI taxonomy): Eukaryota > Metazoa > Chordata > Mammalia > Primates > Hominidae > Homo > Homo sapiens. The sequence goes on along the minus strand of NC_000007.14, from coordinate 154,138,885 downwards.
AAGGCAGATGCTAAGTACCAGGAAGCTTCACTTTGGTCATCTGATGGCCTGAATGTTCTTTGTGTTGAACTAGGTTCACATTGATGGTTGTCTTGTCCAATTAATATTTCTTTAATAAACCAATCAATTTAGAAAAGTAATTGCTCAAGCTCACTGTTGGGCAAGAGAAGTCTTCCCCAAAGCCCATGGGGACACCTCTTTCCAGCCTTTGTTATTTCACCTAGGAGGTCACAGGTCTAGCCTATGACAGTACCAGTTTCATGATGGGTCCAATATGCTCCTGCCTACACAGAATAAATATTGAGTCTCACAACCAAAGAGTTCCAGTGACGATCTTGATCCACCATAGCCAAGTTAAAGGGACTGGGTTGGCTCCTTCCCTGTGGATCTGAGCTTTCCATTTGAGCTGTTCTTGAGCAGAATTAGTCTCTGTCCAATTCTATTACAGAGTTACCTGCCTGATCCCAGCATTCCTCAAGCTTTGAGCATCTGGAGATTTTCCAAATAATGTCTTCATCCCAGAAAGCATCTTCAATGCCATAATCAAGCATTCTCTAATTTGCTATTTCCATTCAGTTGAATTAAGTGTCTACTTTACATAAATAGTACTAGTTCCTTCTGGAGAAGTGTGTTTATTGGCACCATACACATAAAACATCTTGGCTGTGTCTCATAAAAAGCCTTGATTGGTGTGTATGTAAGCTTTTAATGAACTTCTGAGAGAGTAAATGAAGCAGTCAAGTCCACATATTTTCTGTTCACAAAAACACCTCGTTTGCAAAGAAGAGGTATGATTCAGAGGAAGCAGATTGGGAGCAGAAGCCAGGCTGGCATCTTAGGAACACTGGTCTATGTTTTTCTGCAGAAACACCCTAGGGTTGGATAGACCCAACCCTGACCCCAGGAATTGTGTAAGCTAAGGCCTCTGAGGCAACACCAGAACATCAGTGTATTCTTATGAGTTGAGGCAAGGGTGGCCCCATACTTCTGGAGGAAGAAGCCACACTGATTTTGCATCCCTGCATACCACAGTCATTTCCCATGTAAATCACCAACAGCCATCCACCTGATGCATGTTGGTTTGGTGCCCTGTGAGAGGAGAAGTGGAGGTCATGGCAGCTGATCATGATCATTCCCTGAGCACTTTCTTCAGCAGGGAAGATGTGTGTTAATCCAAGGGGCTTGGGCCTTTTCCAATTTGGATAATTAGCTCGCCCCACCCCCCCCACCCCCCCACCCCCCCCACCATCTCCTCCTGCTGCTTCGTCCCCTCAGCATTGTTCTCCTTTGTCAGAGGCACCACAGACCCTTGGCACAGAACCTGACACCAGCCTGCTCTGCAATGTGTGTATTAATATTTCTCACTGTAACCCTGTCTTCACAGATTCCAATTTTTTATAGAAATACCATTTTTCAACCCCATACATGGTGTATGGGGGGAAGACATTTACTGGAAGATTGCACATGTCTGTGATTCTGCTTTTGTGTTATCTCTCTAGAGAAGGTGACTCAAATGGTCTAACTGTATTGTAAAGAGAAAGGCATGTACAGGCAGTGGAGAAACAGATGGATTTTGACTGGGAAGAGGGCTGGTTTCCAGCAGGGACTTCACTCATAAAATAATTACACAGGGGGATGCAAAGAGGTGGCCCCAAACTAGACACGCCAGAGGCAGATGTGGCTGAGTTTAGATGGTTGTCATAAAAGAAGTCCTAAGAAACATCCTCAACGGGGTGGAAACGTTTTATGGTCATTTATCTACCCTAATAAAAAATTTCTGGGATTATAAGGAACTAACAAAAAGGTATAGGGAAGGGCTTCATAAGAATGTCCCCCTAAAGTTCTCTTCCCAGGTCATGGCAGTGTGTTGAGCAGACATACACTGTGGTAAGACAGGGTGGTTCTCCCAACCCTATCTATAGGTAAAGTGCATTTTCACTGAGCACACAGTCCTACAATTAGACTATACTATAATTTTTAAAGACTGAATTTTTATGGACCACACTCACCAGCTGGAACAATATTGCACTTGCAGCCATTTCTGCAAATATCCTTCTATCAGGCATATGTTTGTAGATTAATGTTTTCCAGAACTCTACCTAAATTATCAATCTGACATAAGTCTTCTTTTCAGAGGGTCTCAAGGTTCTATTATTAACATTTTAGTGTTCTTTATCTTCCTAAAGAAAACTGTCTTTGAGGTATTATGATCAAGATCTCTAAAAGCAATTCTCTGGGTCTGAAGTGCCTGAGTAATAAGGAAGAAGATATGTGTTTATGTGCTTGTGAGAGCATTTTGAAAAGATTTTAGGAGTTTCGCAAGTGATGTGTGTCTGAAAATGTATTGACAACAGAACACAAAAATACGGCTTACCGGACTAAATGAAATGCACCGCGCACCTTTTCAAAAATCTGGAATAAAGATTCTGTGGTTCCCCTGTAAAAAACTGCATACTACAAACAACCCAAGCCCACTTTTAAATTTAATTATGTCTCCTAGGGAGAGGAAGCCCAACTGTAATACATCCTTTCAGTTAGGGAACATTTGGGAACACCAGGGAAGGCTGACCCTGGAGATACCACAAAGAACAAGGCTGACTTGGTTCTGCCATTTTGGAAGCCACCATCTACCAATGACAGTCTTGGAGTCGACTGTCATTAAACAACAATCCTTCTATGTAAGTGCCACCAAGAAAAAACACAGGTCCCAGTGAAAGCACTGCACAGGGAGGCCAGTGGTATTTAGGAAGAAATCTATGGATGAACTGGCATTGGAGAAACACAAGAGAGGTAGGTCTCAGAAAGCAACACCTTCCAGAGTTCTGGGGTGGTAAAGAATCATGTGCAAGAACCCCAAGAGCAAGAGTGATTGTGCAGGTGAGAATGCACACAGCAAGTGTGGACTTAGAGAAAGTGCACAGAGAGGAAGTGTGTGCTCACAGGAAGTGCATAGAGGAAGTGTGGGCTCACAGGAAGTGTATACTCATAAGAAGTGTACACTCACAGAAAGTGTGGGCTCACAGGAAGTGCACAGAGAGAAAGTGGTACTCACAGGAAGTGCACAGAGAGGAAGCATGGGCTCACAGAAAGTGTATACTCACAGGAAGTGTACAGTCACAGGAAGTGCACAGATAGGAAGTGTGTGCTCAGAATAAGTGCATAGAGAGAAAGTGGTGCTACAGGAAGTGCACAGAGAGGAACTGTGTGCTCACAGGAATTGCACAGAGGAAGGGGGGCTCATGGGAAGTGTATACTCACAGGAAGTGTATATCATAGTAAGTGTGGGCTCACAGGAATTGCACAGAGAGGAAGTATGTGTTTAGAGGAAGTGCACAGAAAGTGTATGCTCACAGGAAGTTTACAGATAGGAAGTGTATGCTCACAGGAAGTGCACAGATAGGAAGTGTATGCTCACAGGAAGTACACAGATAGGAAATGTGGGCTCACGGGAAGCATGCTCTCTTAGGAAGTGCATAGATAGGAGGTGTATGCTCAAAGGAAGTGCACAGATAGGAAGTGTGGCCTCATAGGAAGTGTGAGCTCACAGGAAGTGTGGGCTTATAGGAAGTGCATAGATAAGAAGTGTGTGCTCACAGGAAGTATACCATCGGAGGAAATGTGGGCTCACAGGAAGTATACACATAGGATCTATGGGCTCATAGAAGTATAAATTCACAAGAAGTGTAGGCTTACAGGAAGTGCACAGATAGGAAGTGTGTGCTCACAGGAAGTGTACACCCACAATGTGGGCTCAAAGGAAGTGTACACATAGGAAGTGTGGGCTCACAGGAGGTAAACACATAGGAAATATGGGCTCATAGGAAGTATACACTCACTGGAAGTATACACAGAGGAAGTATGGGCTCACAGGAAGTGTTCACTCACAGGAAGTGTAAGCTCACAGGAAGGGTGTGCTCACAGGAAGTGTACACTCACAGGAAGTGTGGGTTCACAGGAAGTGAGAGCTCACAGGAAGTGTAAACTCACAGGAAGTATACACTCACAGGACATGTAAGCTCACAGGAAGTGTATGCTCACAGGAAATATATGATCACAGGATGTATACACTTATAGGAAGTGTACACTCACAAGAAGTGTGGGCTCACAGGAAATGTGGGCTCATAGGAGGTGTTCACTCACAAGAAGTGTAAGCTCATGGGAAGTGTAAGCTCACAGGAAGTGTACGCTCAAAGGAAGTATACACTTACAGGAAGTGTATGCTCACAGGAAGTGTGGGCTCAGAGGAAGCATGCAGGGCCAGATTGTGCAAGGCTTCTTGAGGAAGAAAATTAGATCCACACACCATTTGGATCTGCACAGATTTGACCTTGTGAAGCTCAAGGTCACATGGACCCAGGATGTGTGCTGGGACGGGAGGGAGCCCAGCCATGTGGAAGACCCTACAGGAAGGAGCACATCGGGAGTCAGGCCATGTCCCCGCCATGTCTTCTTCCTTCCCTGTGGGCAGCCCTGTACCACAGGCTGCTGCTCTCCCAACTCCACACCTCCCTGTACAAGGAGCTGTGGAAGCATCAGATAATGTCAGGGCAATGGGATCAGAGGGAATGAGCACTAGATCATAGTTCTGGAGACTTCCAGCACTAAAATTCCAATTCCTCACCCTGGTGTTTGTGCTGGAAAGATGAGTCTCAGCACAAAATGGGAAAAAGTAGACAAACAGCAAAGGAACAGTCAGCCTTGCTTTGTGTGCACATCCTCGGCATTCCCCTGGGTGCTATCCAGAAACTACGTATCTCACTCATTCACGCCAAACTGCCCATAGTGGGAGGAAGTGTTCTCAATCTGAAGACTGCACTGAGTGGCAGCCCTGTGCACAGTGGAAAACCAAATTAGCCTTTTGAACCTGCAGCCACAAGTTTCCACAAAGTCTGGTTTGGGAGCTCTTCCAGCATGGGGTGTGTCCCATCACATTGGCAGGCTGCTGAGCAGAGGTGTGGACCTCATTAGCAGAGGCCATGGGGGGCGTGGATGCAGCCTGTGAGAGACTCACTCGGTCCTGTGGGTACCACTGAGTTGGCCTCTCTGCCTCCCTGGGATGACGCCAAGTCTTTGCCGGGAGAATGAGTCACTGAGCTGATAGGAGTAGAAGATCAAGTGGGCCTCACAGATTCAAAAGCCACTACTGAAATTAAATGACTCTGTCCCAGATACAGTGGGGAACTGCTGCCCCAGGTTTAGAACAGCCCCACCCTGCCATTTTTCCTGTTGAACACACATTTTTCTCGGTTTATCTACTCTTTGATTAACTCCAAATTGTACAAAAACTATAATGTGAGGAAGTCGAAGGAGAATGACTTTCCTGTATTCTCCCAGCAGTATTATGCCTCATGCCTAACTAATGTCATCCTGTGTCCACTTTCAAAGCACTTCCTCATTTATCCCCTCTCTCCAGCTCTTGAGCCCTGAGGATGGGCAGCCTATCTTCCACTCCCTCAGAATGTCTTCACATCTCCTAACAAAGGATGAACAAAGAACAGAGCCCTTCAGAACAACAGAAACACAGTATTGGAGCCACCCTCACATTGACTAATCCCCAGGAAGGCACACAGGCTCAGGTGGGATAACAGTGGAGAAGTAACAGGAAGCAATGCAAAGGGTGACACGGAGCAGCTGGGTTGAATCCCAGCTCTGCTGACCAGCTATGTGACCTGGGGCATTCAATTTCTCCTCTGTGAGCCTGTTTCTATGAGGTATATAATAACATGACTTATTTTTAAAGACTAAATAAAATACCATTTCTAAGGCCTCTGACACATTCCTGTCCCAGAGCTACTTTTTTTTTGGGATGTTTATGTATATCACTGCTAGTGACAAAAGAGACATGCATGAATCCAACGGACAACGATATAAACAATATAGTGCAGAACACAAAGGAAGGAGTGGTCATTTAAGGCAAAGTAGGATAGCATTACAGAGGAGCAACATGAGCCAGGCTTGAATGAATGAGCAATGTTTTGCTAGAAGAAAAGTGTGGGGAAGGCATTCTTGGAAAGAGAATACTATTGACCAAAGGGCAGAGACACAACAACGTGCTGTATATACCGGGAGGGGGAGCTGTGCCATGTGGTTTCACGTGTGGCATCTCCTGGTGGCCCAGTGAGGGATAAAGCCAGATAATCAGGGCCACCCAATGGAAGATTTTTTGATGAATAAGGAATAGGGATGTTATCCTTTAGGCAGTGGAAACCCACTGAAGACAAGAAAGATCTTTTTATCTGAGGAGGACACGATGCATTTGAAGAAAGAATGGGAAGAGAGATCTTTCGAGACTACTGAACCGAAATGAGGACCTGAAGCAGAGGTGTCGTCATGGGAAGTGAGGAGGAAGAAGAGAGGGATAAAAAATATAGTGGGAGGGGAGGTGATGGTAATTTCAGATTACAGATAATGGGGTAAATGAGGTGAAGGGGTAAGAAGGGCATTGGCAGCTTGCAGCATGAGCAGTGGTGGATGGTGTCCTCATTAAGTGGCCCATGGCAGGTGCCCTGTGGGTTAAGCTGAATTGCATATTGGGTCTTAGGCAATAACTCTAGTCAGTTACTCGTTTCCTTTTAAGACATCAAAAACCTCTCTTGATTTGTATATATTTAGCGAGCCAAGGGAAATACATAGTCAGATCAATATTAAGCCAGCAGTAAAACCAGCAAATCAATCAGCTGTCCAGCCAAAGTTTTCTGATAATGAGGGCTGATGAAGATTTGAGTTCACTGGTTTCTGTCTCAATACAAATTGTGACCAGGTAGAACACTAAGACCTAGAATTCAACAAATAGTGACTGAAAATATTCTTAACCTAGGTTAAATTTAGGAGGAAGTGAATAAGGTCTCACCCTCATCTGCAAAACTTGCCAAATTTGTCCCTCAAAAATATCGTTTTATTTATTGGGAGGAAAAAGTTGTGTGTATGTAAGAGTGTAAAAATGAAATATCCAAGTCCTTTTTGTATTTTCAGGCTAATATTTAACTTTTCAGAGAGTACACAATTTATGAATTCAACTATTCCTATTATAATTAGAATTTATGTTGAGTTTCATGAAATTGTTTATTCTTTTCTCCTTGAGCACCTCTATTTGACATTTACAAATCAGAGTTGAAAGGGTACCTTTTCCAGATATTTTTTCCTTAGGCTATCTTCATTTACATAAGAAACATAGCTTCCTAGTCTATCCCTACAGACGAGGTTAGTTCCTCCAGATGTAATTAGTAAGAGAAAAACCCCTTAGTATTCCACTTATTGATTTAATCAAACATTCTGCTAATCCAATATTCTCCAAACAGGATTTTGATAACTTCCTGGATGCACATTGTAATTACAGAGCAGTGGTTGGGAAGCAGCTGAAGGGGATGACCTAGTTCCACGTGGGCCTTCCCAATCACACTGAGCCTCTACTTCTTTAGCAATGAGGGCCTCTGACATGAAACTCTAATTCTTGGCCTCCTTCAAGCAGTCACAGTCAGAGAATATCTGAAGGGAAAAGGCCTTTGAGATCATCCAGTTCAGTTTTCCCAACACGGGTCCAGCATGTTATCAGTCACAACTGACGTTCCTGGAAAGAAGATATCATGGCAAGGTAAGTTTGGGCTAAAACTGCATATCACACCCCTTCTGGGAGCCGTGGAGAATTTCAGCTTAAAATAGCTTCTAAATCTTAGGATAAGTAAGCAAATTGCATTGAATCCAGAATTTTCCAAACTTATTAGATCATCTTTCCCCTACTTAATGCCTTTGAACATTTTTTAGAACTTGTGGAAAGCAGAGATCTAACCCACCCTCTCCCCAACTTAAAGCTAAGACCCAGAGAGTAAAGGTGTGTGCCTCAGTTCCCTCAGTCAGGACCCTTGGCTCCGGCTTCTGAATCGGCCACTGACGAACTGCCTGGTTTATGTTCATGTTGACTCTCACTACACCTGCAAAAACTTATTTCTCTATGAGCAATGTGTTTCTGAAGGACCTGGACATGTCTGGCTGAGGCATTTTCCATGGTGATCTGCTCCGTAGTTGTTTTGGCGTCTTGCAGGGGCTACTCTTGCTTTATTTTTTTTTATTGTGGAGCTGCAGGCTGAAGTCTGACTCTCAGGTTGGTATATCCTGCAGGCTCTTGGGACAGGAGCTCATTCTGTTGACTGCACTGGAGAAACAGAGGCTGGAAGGCTTTGTCCTCCCCACCCGCCCCCATCTGACGTGAGATCTGAGGCAGGGCCACTGTCAGGCCTGGGATTAAACATCAGGTAAAACACAATGATGTGCAAAGTCCCCTGAGCCCTAGATCAGTGCCATGAGAAACATGAGTGTTTCGGATACGCTTTCCCTCATGGCATCCAGCACTCAAGAAAGTCTTTAAAAGAGAATTGAGGAAAGTAACATCATCCTGCTTTGACCTTCTTCCAAGTTAAGTGAGAGCATTCTCACATAGCATTACCTTATGAAATCAGGGTAGATAGTGTGACATAATCCTACAGATGAGGAAACCGGCCTACAGTTTAAAAGAAACACTCCAGATCTTACAGCTGGCAAGTTTCAGCAACTCACTAGATGCCGGGTCTGTTTTTTTCAAAGTCCCATCGAGACCCATTTTTCAGTGGCAACGACTAAGGAACGACCTTGAGGAAGCTGAAAGTTCTGCCTTCTAGGACACATCCCTGCCAACAGCTTTGGCTGATGTCACACACCCCTCACTAGTTCCTCTTTGTCTTCTAGCTTAAGCTTCCATGTCCTCTTTGAATTTGTCTGTGTTTTCTTTTCTTTTTTTCTTTCCTTTTTTTTTTGTGTGTGTGGGGGGACAGAGTCTTACTCTGCCACCCAGACTGGAGTGCAATGGCGCGATCTCGGCTCACTGCAACCTCCCACTGCAACCTCCGCCTCCCAGGCTCAAGCAATTCTCCAGCCTCCGCCTCCTGAGTAACTGGGATTACAGGCGTGTGTCACCATGCCCAGCTAATTTTTTTCTTTTTCTTTTTTTTTTTTTGAGACAGAGTCTCGCTCTGTCACCCAGGCTGGAGTGCAGTGGCACAATCTCAGCTCACTGCAAGCTCTGCCTCCTGGGTTTGTGCCATTCTCCTGCCTCAGCCTCCCTAGTAGCTGGGACTACAGGTGCCCACCACCACGCCTGGCTAATTGTTTTGTCTTTTTAGCAGAGACAGGGTTTCACTGTGTTAGCCAGGATGGTCTCAATCTCCTGACCTCGTGATCCACCTGCCTCAGCCTCCCAAAGTGCTGGGATTACAGGCGTAAGCCACTGTGCCCGGCCGCTAATTTTTTATTTTTAGTAGAGACAGGGTTTCACCATGTTGGCTAGGCTGGTCTCAAACGCCTGGGCTGAAGCAATCCGCCTATCTCAGCCTGCCAAAGTGCTGGCATTACAGGTGTTTGCCACCGTGCCTGGCCCATGTCTATGTTTTCAAAAGGTTAAGTCAACAGGGAAGGAGCTAGGAGGGTGAGGTTGGGCCCCCTGTCGCTTTCTGCTTAGCAGCTCTGTCCTCTAAAAATGAACTCTGGTCCACAGTTTTGATATGAACTATTCCTGGCTATAAGCAAAATGGTACTAGAAATAGCTTTCACACCGAGGCACAAAACTGACTCAGGCTAGCTAGATAAGCCTCTTGTTAATGTCACTTGTTAAAGTTGGTGACACTAGCCACAATGAGTGTATTGCAGGAAATGTTCATTAAGTTCCTGACCAGCTTCTATAATCTTCCTCTCTGACATTTCCAGGACGGGATGACCTCTACCATAAAGTTGGAGAACTTCTAAAGATGGCATGTGGGTAGAAAGAACTTCCCAGGCTTTTCTTCTTGGGGGTGTGTCGGGGGGTGGTGGGTTTGTAAGAATCTCTGATGGAGATGTTATGTCCTCAACAAGGTAGAGAAGATGCAAAGCTCAACTGACAGTACTCACCATTCCCTTTTCTGCCCAGGACGGCATATTCTGCAGCTCTGGTTGCTAAGCTAACGCTGGGAACTGTGGAAAGTTACCCTTTGGTAAGTTGCAAATGCTGCATGAATGATTCTGTAGTTATACCTCCCAGGGTCAGGGAGAAGACCCAGCAGTAACAATCAGATTTGAGTCCCTGCTAAGATTGCCTTTGGAGCAGTGTCCCAGGCAAGGCTGCCGTCAGATGAGACAACTTACTTTTAAATGTATCTTATTTTGTAAATGTATTTTTTAAAAATAGTCTTGGGCTGGGCACGGTGTCTCACGCCTGTAATCCCAGCACTTTGGGAGGCCGAGGCGGGTGGATCACGAGGTCAGGAGATCCAGACCATGGTGAAACCCCGTCTCTACTAAAAATACAAAAAATTAGCCAGGCGCGGTGGCGGGCGCCTGTAGTCCCAGCTACTCGGGAGGCTGAGGCAGGAGAATGGCGTGAACCCAGGAGGCGGAGCTTGCAGTGAGCTGAGATCGTACCACTGCACTCCAGCCTGGGTGATAGGGCGAGACTCCGTCTCAAAAAAAGAAAAATAGACAGTCTCACTATGTTGCCCAGTCTCGAATTCCTGGGCTCAAGTGACCCTCCCATCTCAGCTGCCCCAAGTGCTGGGATTACAGATGTGAGCCACCATGTCTAGCCTTTTTATTTTCAAAAAATTTTGTTTTAGATTTAATGTCAAACTTAATTTTAATTGTACGGTCCAATAGCCATAGTCCACAGGGCTGCAAATGTGACTGATCACTCTGCAGCTTGTTCCAGCATAAAATTCATGCAATTCGTATTTCAGGGATGTGGCAAGTCATGCATGGGGCAGAGAGGCCAGCTGTGCCTGTTGCGGGTAAGGTAAACCTCAGAGATGCTGGCCATGTGGGCCTGCTCCTGTGTTGCCAGGCATCCCTCTGTGGAGACGTTCTTGGGCTTTCTTCCACCGTCATTGCTACTGTCAGTCCCATTCGCTCAGGCACACTTCCGAGCCCCTTATCTTTGTGTTAATAGGAACAAAGATTTCAGCTTCTCTCTGTGAGGTAGAACCAACCTCATGTCCTTCTGTGGGTCAGGTGTGGCTTAGCCTGCTGCTACAGCAACCACAGACATCAGAGCTGGAAAGCAGCTTGTGAAATGAGGGAACAGCTGAGAACAGCTTTAGAAAGGGAAAGCTGTCTTCATTCTTGGACAGAAACAGATCACAGTCTGGCCAACGCTGGGCAACGATGCCATTGGAAAGAATGATTCCTTCCCAACCTCAGAAAGAGCTGTTTTGTGTGTGTGTGTGTGTGTGTGTGTCTGTGTGTGTGTGTGTGTCTGTGTGTGTGTGTGTGTGTGTGTGTGTGTGTGTGTGAGATGCTGCTCCTGTTTACCCCAACTCCCCCAGCATGACCAGAAAGCCGGAGGCAACAGCAGATAGCAGTCCTGGGCTGGACTACAGAGGCTCACTTGGATGCACAGCTCGTGTACAGCAAGCAGCTCAGCTCCAAGTTAGTGAGGGCCGTGCATGAGGGGAAGTCTTCTCCAGTGCAAGTAAAGCCCTTTTCTTGACTACATTTCCTCACCACAGATTTTAATCTATACCTAAAATGCCTCTTATCTGTACCTAAAACAAATGCAATGTATTCTTGGCAAAAGAAAAATGGTTATATTTTGATATCCCTTTTCTCTTGGAAAATATTTTCTTAAAATGTCTACAGCAATCATTGGAATTAGCTTTTTGACTTTGAGATATTAATTTAATTGCTTAAAATGACGTAACTTAGTATCAAATGCCCACACCATATTCATTATGGCTAATCTGACTGCAAGGTTAGCGTTATGTTTAATTGTTCAGCAACAGAGAATACTTTTTTAAAGTAGTGAAATCCCAAAGGCAAAGAAGAAGAGGGGATACAGCTGACTGAATGTAATTACGATGGATTTAACTATGCTCCACAATCCCATCTTGAAATCCCCCAAGGAGCTGGAAGGGGTGGGAAGAGCAAAACAGACTTTGAAAAAAGTGTTATGGTGGCTTGGGGTTTAGAAGTGAAGAAAATCGGTATAACTAGAAAATAGGGATATTTTGACTCAAATTACACAGAAAGTCTTTAACGGCAGCAAAATGAGTATATTCGGAAGGCAAACTGGGGCTGGCCCCATGAGCTAGGGGCCTCCTTCTTGGCATACAAATCCTTTTTAATGTCTGCAAACTGTTTAGACAGGTTTGAAATGCTATCGTTCTGCACCAAATGTATTTCAACCCCATTTCCAGGTGCAAATTCAAGCAGAGACTGAAGCATGCAGCAAAGGAAGGTGACAAGACAGAGAAGCCCCTGAAAATTCAGGTTTCGAATCGTGATGCTCGATGGACACTCCTGAAAGCTACACCCATGTTCATCTTGGAAGCAAAATCCTGTGGACATGTTTAGCTGATCTACCAAGAGGGCAGGCTCCTGGTCTCTCCTTGTTGTGTAAGGAAAAACGACCACCAAATTGTTCCTAGCAAATGACAAGCCCTCATAAGATGACAGCACATCCAGGTTTCCCTGTCTGGACGTGAATGTTTTCATCTGTCTCAATGTGAATGTTAATAGCACCACTCTTCCCTCTCTCATGACCCCATTTGGATAAAAAATTATATGGTCACCCTACTTAAAGGTCGATTTCCCCTTATGTCAACTCATCATAGCCCTATTTCACAATCACACATTTAACCAACCAACCAACCAAAATGCTAAGTTCTATTCACATATATGATTATAAATGGACCATTTCTAGACAGTTTTCCTACCTCTCCCAGAACCAAAATGAATATTGAAGATGTTTGAAATTTCACCTTCAAGTCCAAAGATCCCTACACCATGAATAGCCCTTTCTCTAATACCTTTCTGATTCAATATCCCAAGGAGGTACCACTTCTTACAGTGAGCACGTAATGAATGGAATCAAGAATTGAAGAGCCTGAATTCTACCCAGTTAAGAACTGCAATTTGGTTCTTCCAGATGACAATTTTTACCGAATTCCTGGAGCAATCACAGAACTAAGAGGACCCTAATAATCAGGTACCACAAAGCTGGCAAACACTTGTGTCAAAGTGGAAATGGACTGTGTCAGGAGGCAACCGAGGGCTCTGCTAGGGAGGCCAGAAGATGATCTGTTTGTGGCCCATTAACTCTAGGTTCTTCTGAACACAATAGAGTCTCTGCTTTAATCTGTGCAATGTGAACCCATTATCTTCACCCTCGCCTCTAGCCACAGGGGTCATCCGTAAGCCCAAGGAGCCATCACACCTAATGTGCACCAGCAGAAGAAAGCCAGTAACAGTGTGAATTCATTTTTGTGCACTGATAAAATAACCAAAGCCTGTGCCCTACCGATGGGGTGTTAGAACGATGACTTCCTTGTAAGAGGCCATGGCACATGGATTGACTGCCAGGCCTGGAAGCGTTTGATGCGTTCACACTCAGGTGCATTGCTCTTTAGTGGTCATGTTAGGATCCTTACACATCATTTCATTATGTTTCTTAGCTTTGCTCTTCTCTAATGCGACTACTTTTTATTTAACAAAAGTAAAAGGAACGTAATTTAATATATACATGTTTGTTTTACACTAGAATTTTCAGAAATGTAGGCGGTATATAAACAGAAGCAGGTAGGACTCTGAAAGGACTTCGAAGAATGAGTTTTCACGTCTTAGTTTGCATCCTGCTGTGTTCCTGGCTTCTCTTTGCAGAAAGGTTTCTGAGTCCACACAGCAGAGTGTCATGTCTCCCTCGTCTCCCATTTACCCTTTCGTGTGCCCTGATCTGGTTTCTACAGGCACTGCTCCTAGTGACATTTTAGTAAACGGTTCCTAGTGATGTCTCCAAAGACCTCCACGCTGCATACCAATGGGCTGCGCCCTGACTGCATCTCAGCTGTTGGAACGTCATCTTTTCTTCTGGCTGTCCTCCAACTCACCACACACACACACCTCAGCCCCCTCTGTTGGGATCTCTAAGGGCCCTCTCCTCTCTTTTCCTGCTTTTTCTTCCTAGGTGTGGTCATTCATTTCCAGGTTCGGAACATAATCTGTGTGCTAACTACTCCCACATTTTATTTCGAGTCCAGGCCATGTCTCTGAGTGTCATTTCCTCAGAGCTGACGTTGCCACTTGGGCATCTCACGGATCTCCCAGTTTCACCGGCCCTGCACACTTACCCCCATCCTCCCGCCCTTCCCTGAGTCTTCTCAGTGACAGAAAATGGTGTCCATATTCAACCAATTGCTCAAAAAGCACAAAGCATAGATGCCATCATACTTCTTTCTTCCACTCTGTTTGCAAGTCAAATCCATCAGGAAATTCTATATATTGTATTGTTTGGGATATTTTTGAAACCATTTACTGCTTTCTATCTGCACTGTTGAAAATACATCAATGTCTTCCATGGCATTTAGGAGAAAACACTAACTCCCTGTCCACGTTCCCATCTGCCTGCTCCCACAGTGCCGGTGCAGGCTGCTTCCTGTCCCTCTCTGCATCAGTCCCTGGCCCTCTTACATGTCCCATGACAAGCTGCACCCCTGCCCCTCTCCAGCCTCTGGAGATGCAGTGTCCCTCTCATGCTCTCACCCTCCTCCCCTGCTCCCGCTCTCCACCCATTTGGCTTCTCATCCCTTACACTCTGCTTCAGCCAAGGGATTCTTCCTTAACTACCAGCTCTGTCACAGATCATTTTCTCCCAGCTCATCACTGCACAGCCAGCACCCTGCATATTTCTTCATGATGATAGCAAAGACTTGAAATGGTGGGAGAGACAAATAAACAAGAACTAAGCAAGTGGAGGAGTGGAACTTCATTCCCAGGTAAGCCCTGTGAGCAGACAGCACATCTGTCCCCAGGTAATCATAGTGAGTGGGTGGCACATCTATCCCAGGTAAGCCCCGTGCGTGGGCGGCATGTCTGTCCCCATGGAATCATAGTGAGTGGGCAGCATGTCTGTCCCAGGTAATCATAGTGAGTGGGTGGCACGTCTGTCCCAGGTAAGCCCCGGCATGGGCAGCATGTCTGTCCCATGTAATCATAGTGAGCGGGTGGCACATCTGTCCCAGGTAATCATAGTGAGTGTCCCCAGGTAAGCCCCACGAGCGGGCAGCACAACTGTCCCCAGGTAAGCCCCGTGAGCGAGCGGCACATTTGTCCCAGGTAATCATAGTGAGTGTCCCCAGGTAAGCCCCACGAGCGGGCAGCACAACTGTCCCCAGGTAAGCCCCGTGAGCGAGCGGCACATTTGTCCCAGGTAAGCCCTGTGAGCAGGCGGCACATCTGTCTCCTGCACCTGGTGCTAGCCTACTGATAAGCACAGAGGCCCCACCCAGGGGTGAAGGAGCACACGGGTCACTCTCCAGTCTAACCCTGATGTTTGCAGCCCTGGCACTGGCACCAACAGCCCTCAAGGAAGAATAGAATTAGATCTGGGAGAAGCAAGCTATCAGGAAGTAAATGATCATGTATCCTGGTTTATGAAATACCACTTATTATTACTAGAAATGAGCTATACCCCTAACAATTTTAAGAGCAAATACCTTCATGTAAATGTGGAACAAATGCTTCAGAAAGAGCTTTCAGATTGAGCTTTAATTGAATTTAAACTAAATATAACAACTTTACAAGACTGCTTCAAAGAAAGCCCTGAAATTCATTTTGAAAGCAGAAGTCATTCTGGATCTTGGGAGGACAGAAGTACAAGGCTCAGGCAGTTATTTACTGATGTAATTAATTGATATTGGTCAAACACAAAAGTCTTTGAGGATCGTTGAAGGCAATTCGGTCTGCGGGAGTTCATATTCTTTATTATGGTTTGTTTCCCTGGAGACCTCATTTTCCCCTGTTATAAATAACCCCAATGTGTCTTGCCAGTCCAGGTGTCCGACCCTTTGATACGATTCTGATTTTTCGGACAGAAAAACAGTGCCCGAGGATCTGTCCCTGGCTGCTGTTGGCTGCTTGTTGAAGATCCACTCCACGGCTGCTGGTATGAGGAAGTAAGGCGGGCCTGATGGTCAGAGGGAGGAGGAGGATGGGCAGAGGGAGGAGAGTCTGATGCCAGAGGGAAGAGGGTGATGGTCAAAGGGCGCACAGTGATGATCAGAGGGAGGAGGATGATGGCCAGAGGGGGAAGGGTCTGATAATTCGAGGGAGGGGTCTCGAGGCTCCATGTGAAGTAGGTCTGATGACCAGCGCTCAAAGTTCATAAGTCAGTCTAATAACCTAAAGAACTATGGACAGTAGAAAGAATACAGCGACATACAAGAGGGCTATTACATACTGGACATTATAATCTGTGCTTCAAGATATTGTTGCCAATTATTACAGCAAATTGCTAAAGTGAGTATTATTATGACTTCTATTACCCACATGAAGAAACACAAGCTCACAGAGACTAGGAAACAGGCTCAAAGTCACTCAGCTAGTAAGTGATAGGGAATTTAACCCCCATCTCTTTCTAGTAACTTCGGTTTATTTTATATAATAGATGGGAGGTATGCTTGTTAAAATAAGTCATTTCAAGATCATATCACAGGTTTGTAGGCCACTTCTTCTTTCCTTGACTATATGTGGTTCTCTTTCCAGTGTGATTTTTAACTGGATCCTCAGTACACGAAATTCTTTACATTTCCACGTCACCACTGCCGCCCCTCCACACCACGCCACCTCTGATCAGTACACAACATGCAAATGCACAGGGGATGATGTGGTGATCCGTCTGTGATGGGAACAATCATTCCTCATCCTTATTTCATAACTTTGGGCTCCCATAAGGTAATTACTGTCAAACCAACTTTCACATAGGTCTGGAGAGAAATGAGTCCATTGTTTCTAAAGCTGTGTCCTTCCTTAGCTTTACATGCAAATTTCTCAATTGTACTAAATGTAAAATAAGATGATATTTTAGTTGAAGAGAATAGTCTCATGTGTTTATTTTCAGTAATTACTATAATTGTGAGAAATGTAGTCAGTCCGTTGAAAGGTCCCTAGGATGATGTGACACTTTAAATAGATAGCTAAAATAATATATATTATAGTTGAACTGGGAATCTACAATATGGCTTTAGAAAAAGAAAAAAAAGAATTTTTGTTTGTTATTGTGGACATGACACTGGCATGCTCTGGTGGGAACACCTACATTAGAAGCGAGGTATATTAGGGATTATTAGACTCTGCCAAGCCCAGCAGAATACACATGTCCCCCCAGTGCACCTGAAACATTCTCTAAAATGGACTGTATGTGAGGTCACAAAACAAGTCTTCATAATTTTTAAAAGGTTGAAATCAACTCACACAAAGTGTCTTTTTCTGATCACAACAGAATGAATTTAGAAATCAGTAACAGATGGAAAACTGGAAAATACACAAGAATATTTGGAAATTAAACACCCTGATAAATTACCAAAGTATTAAGGAGGAAACCACAAGGGAAACACAAAAATACTTTGAGCTGAATAAAAACAAAAATACCACACAACATACCAGAACTTAGGGAATGCAATAAAAACAGTAATTGGAAGGAAAATTATAGCCGTAAACATTTATATTAAGAAGGAAGAAAGATCTCGAATCCACAACCTACACTCTGCCTTACGAAACTAGCAAAAGAAGAGCAAGCTAAACCCAAAGCAAGCAGAGGGAAGGAAACAATAAATAATAGAGCAGAAGTAAATAACGTAGAGAATAGAAAAACAGTGGAGAATATTACCGGATTAGTCCGTTCTCATGCTGCTATGAAGAAATACCTGAGACTGGTTAATTTATAAAGAAAACGGGTTTAACAGACTCACAGTTCCACATGGCTGGGAGGGACTCAGGAAACTTACAGTTATGGAGGAAGGCGCCCCTTCACAGAGCAGCAAGAGAGGGCATGAGAGTCGAGCAAAGGGGAAAGCCCCTTAGAAAACCATCAGATCTCCTGAGAACTCATTGCCACAAGAACAGCATGGGGGAAACCAGCCCCAGGATTCAATTGTCTCCACCTGGTCCCGCCCTTGACCTGTGGGGATTATTACAATTCAAAGTGAGATCTGGGTGGGGAAACAGCCAAACCACTTCATTCACCAAAACCAAAAGTTGATTCTTTGACAAGATGGAAATCAAACAGTTGAAAACCCTTTCATTGGACTAGACTTCATCAACTGTTCTGGGTGCATTTTTAATTTCACAAGAATTTCCTTCAACTTTGCATGAAACCAGAGTTCCTCATGTGTACTGTTTCTAATCAACTGTATTTTCATGTTTAGAAAGCTATTTTCTAAGGAGCAATTTCCATAGTTCTTATAAATCATGAAACTTGTATAGATGACCATTTTCTACTACTTTAATCAACTCTTTAATTTTTGGTTCAAGGGCACTATCATTAAGGAAGACCCCTTTGAAATGAACATAGATGGCTGGGCGCGGTGGCTCAAGCCTGTTATCCCAGCACTTTGGGAGGCTGAGGCGGGCGGATCACGAGGTCAAGAGATCAAGACCATCCTGGCTAACATGGTGAAACCCCGTCTCTACTAAAAATAAAAAAAATTAGCTGGGCATGGTGGCGGACACCTGTATTCCCAGCTACTCAGGAGGCTGAGGCAGGAGAATGGCGTGAACCCATGAGGGGGAGCTTGCAGTGAGCTGAGATCACACCACTGCACTCCAGCCTGGGCTACAGAGCGAGACTCTGTCTCAGAAAAAAAAAAAAAGAAGAGAGAAAATGATGCAGGAAGAATGACGAATATAGAAATCATAACACAGTCAAGTATAGTGAGTGATAAAAATAAAAAAAAATTATAAAGTGTAAAAAACACATCACCTCCCACCTGGAGACCACAGGTAATGTGTCAGTCAGAGTTCAAACTTGAGAGTGAAACTCTCAATATTTGGAATATTATAGAGTAACAACCTTTTACAGGAATGATGTGAGGTGCTATGGAAGTAAAGGTCTGTCGAGTGGGGTACAGCATCGCATGGTGGCCCTGGACTCACTGCAAGTCAGCAGGGCTGGAAATCGGGAAATAAAGACAGGGGTAAGGAAGAGTGAAGACAAACTTGCACCCTGTGTCAGCTCCACTGTGTCTCTCACCACTTCTGACCAATTGTAACTGGGCAGTTTAACTGCAAAATGCATTTTAAACTTTTTACTTATTTCTCGTGCGTTTCAAGATATAACCTTGAAGCAAATTGCAGAAGCCTTTCCCTCTTTGTCTTAAAATGAACTCCACATCCCTCCCTTTCTCACCATCTATACTCCCTTCACATTCATCTACCTGTATGCTAGCATCTAATTATGTCCCTTTTTAGAAGCTCCTGGGGGTAATCTTGAGACACATGAACCAAGTCTGGAGACCCACCTGCAAAGTTCCAGAGATGACTTCAAGGTGGCGAGTCAACAGCCTCACCATTGTTGAGATGACACCAGCCCGAGATCCAGGTAAACTGGGACCCAAGATAGCCACCAGAACAAGGTACACAGACGTTGTACTCAGCACAATTCTTGCAAGCTTTTCACGTCAAGATTTCCTTTTTTAAACCCCTGTCTTCCTCTCTGCCAAATTGAAGTGGTTGCTTTGGATGGGAACCCGGCCACTTGTTCTTTACTAGTTTGAGTGAATAAAGTCACTTTCTTTCTACCAGAACTCATTCTTGTTAACTGGATTCTGCAGGCGGTGAGCATCCGGACCTGTGTTCAGTTACACGATGAAAACCTCCAGAGCATAATGGCCCCTCCTTCATTCACCTCCCAAGTCTCATGGCTTCACTGTGGCCAGCTCTAGCTCGGAACCATATGTATATAGGGAAAGAGATTCTGAGAAACTCCCACATCACAAGTTGATTATAGCCCAATCCATCACAGCTACATTTCCTAATATTTCTGAGTTTGCATCTCATCTGGTAAAGAGTATGGTGACATGACTGCATCATAGCCTGGTTGTATCACCTGAGATGATGTAAAACTGTAAAATGCCAGGTGGTATATGTATTATTATTCCAACCAGTCGGTCAGCTTTTATTTTAGAGAAGCAGAATCAGAGGTAATAGGGAAGAAGAAACAGTGTATGTATCAATGGATGTGTTCTAAGATAAGATGACGACCTGACACAGACAGCCAGTTCTAGTTGGCAGGGGTAGGGGGTGGCATGAATACTTCTAGTTTGATGTTGTGAGATTTGTCTGGAAAGCACGGGTTGCCTGTGTGGAAGAGTTTTGCCTTCTTTCCACTTCTGCCATAGCCCTTCAGATGTGCTTCTCCTATATCCCATACGTGATGTACACGTTTGGTTTGTATGAGCAGTGGCAGCGGAGGCCAGGTCTTGGCTTCCTGGCTGCCACTGGCCCTGGTTACCACGGACATAAGTATTTCCCTTTCATTCAGGGCAGGGGTTCATGGCCCCTCCTGCAAACAACAGTGTGCGTCCACGTGACTATTAAACTGTCAAATTCACAAGACCCACTCCAAAATAAACCCTTATGGTCTCCACAAGCCTATTTCTCCTCACTACTATCTGGGAAGCACAGACTTTAGGAAGGGCTTCATGTTTTATAAAAATGCCAGTGATTATCTGGAAAAAATGACACCCAATTTTCCACCACATCCTAAGACCTACGGGTGTCTACCTAAAAGCTAATATGTTGTCATGTTCCTGCCATCTCAGATATGAAGCTGAAGATATTTCATATGTATGTCCCAGAAATCAATGAAGAAGAAATATACAGTTGCTTGACTACATGACATGCAGCTCCCTGTTGCTTATTCTGAATGTGCCCTGCCTCTAGGAGGAGCTGTAGATCTGTGGTACTGGTAACACTAGGCCCACTAGCCTTATCATCATGCACAGCTTTTGTGTTTTCTTCCTCCCTCAGCTTCCACACAACACCCCTGATGTTTACCAGCAGGCATCTCTTGTTTAGTCTCATTGTCTTTGGCAAGTTCAATCTCAACCAGATTGTAGTTCTTCTCAAGAGGACTGATCCCAGCAGGCTCCAGCCCTAAAGCAGACTGTTCGGGAGATCTGTGTTAACTTTGTGTTTCAGTCCTCAGTCTCATGGTACTGGGTCCTACCGTGAGCGGAAAATCCCTCTCTACATCAGAACAGCCTTCTGGCCATGCTACAGTCCTCGCTCAGAAACACGGTATGTGTCTCTGCTACCCGTCTGCTCACCTGCATCTCCTACATCCTATCCAGCATTCTCCCACCCACACCACTGGGCACATCAGATTTAGCAAATGATCAGTTAATTTACACTCATTAAGCAGCAGTCTCTACGATGAATCTCTTCTAAGCTCACGACATTTGACACACACTTTGCAAAAACATTATGTTTCATTGTGGCGAGCTGGCAGGTTCCCAGTCATGCTGAACAATGAAAAAGGGATAAAGCTCTGCAAGAGAAGATAGAGTGGGGAGAGAAAGAAATCTGCATCGCATTGTCAGGACTAAACATTCTTTAAAGAAACCTACAGTGAGGTAAGAATGGCATCTGTGCTACTCTAGTCCAAAACGTGGGTTCCCTTCCCCCTAAAAGACAGACAAAGACACCAAGGTACTGAGCACATCAGTATAAAATAGGAGAAGAACAAGACAGGACTGCAGTAACTTGGTCTTTAAAAGAATCTCTGATTAAAACGATATAAAATCATATTTGCTCAGACTTTGAAGGTAAAGGCAGAGTGTCTTGTACCTTGATCTCTCCACTCAATTATTTTGAGTTACTAATTTGTAACCATCCTTTAAAACTTGTATTTAAAATTTAAATAATAAAATTTAAAAATTTAAATGATACAATAACAGAGTGTCTTAATCAGATCTAGTAAATGAAATGCTTGGGAAATATGTGCACTAGATCAAGTTTCTGATAGTCTAAGCAAGAAATTCTTTTAATTTGTATTTTTAGTTGAGAATGTATTCATTCCCAGGGGTTTCAACCTGTTCCCATAGAAAGTAAAGACTGGAGAAGAGAGGCCTTTTGGATGCTGGAGGATCTTGGGGAGTCCTAGGGTCAGCATTTTGGGGGTGCCCCTCCCGTGACCAGAAATGGAGAAGAAGAATTAAGAATGAGGAGTGAATTTGCCCTGGGACCAAGCTGAGCTTAGAATTTGGTTATTTTTCTTTTAAAAAAATTGTATTACCCTATGTTTTAGAATTGTTCTCTAAATTCACCTTCTGATAAAAGAGACAGGTCTTGACTAATTGAGGTATCTGATTAAACAAACATTTGGCTTGATTAAAAACTAAGCAAAGAAAAATTCAAGAAAGATAGATCAGAAATGACATAAGGAGAAACAACTACTCTGTAAAGGTAGATTGGTCAAATATTTAAAAGACGGTTGAGATGAAGGGATATTTATATCTCGAACACACACTGAGAAAATAATTTTTGAACATTTATTAAAGACCAAATACTTTAGGTTTTGTTTTATTGGGGAAAGTAAACTGTTTGCTTGTTCAATGACTTTCTGGGAGAATTAGAAAATTTAATCACAAATGAACTGCTGCAAATCAAATGTAGTAAAAGCCATTGTGCAGTAATCAAGGCCAGAACATAAATGGTTCCTTTCCTTGAGCAAGGGGTGTATTCAAAAGAGGGACCCTGATTTCTAAAGATCAATGAAAAATAAAGAGTTTGAACCCAGTGTTTTATTCTTTTGCAAAACAAGCTAAGTTATATAAAAAGGTTTTATTCAAGACAGTAAATGTCCATTCATTCATTCATTTAACCACTCTTTATGAAATTTTTCCTTGGATGAGAAAATTTAAATAAAGCAGAAAACATAGTCCTAGACTTAATTTTATGATCTATTCAAGTAACTAACCAAAGTGTGTATGTCTTACCTAACAGGCACACCATATATAAATATGATGGATAAGCAGTGGGTGTGTAAAGACCTTGTGACTACTGAATGTTTTGTAAAAGGTAAGAATTTAACCATTTGCCACAGAAACACATATTTGATTTTACATTTGACTTTATAACTAAGCTGTTCATAACAGGAATGAGATCCTTTTCTTCTGTTCAGAACTTGAACTCTCAAATGAGGTTACCTTATGCATTGATCGTTTGTCTATGATTGGCAAGAGTTTTACCAGACAGCAAGCAAGAAAGTAAACTAGTCAGCTCTGCAGGTGTAATTACTTGGATGGTTGTGTATTCACAATAACTTCTGTAAGTTTGTACTGTCCCCACCTTACAATTGAAAGTGCTGAGACTCAAAGTCAACCAACCAAATGTGAAGAATCCAAACCCTATAGGCTGTATAACACTCTAAGAGCAGAGCTCTTCCCACTACAATGGACACACCGCAACAAGTACAAGTGTCATCAGTAGCAATGGCAGGATTTACAGTCCGTGTGAACTTTTTCAATCCCAAGACCTCAGGAGTAGACCCCACCCATGGACAATCAAGATGCAGCAGCAGGTAAGCCAATCTGCACTGGGCTTTTTGCATCAGGGCCCTATAACACTATCACCTCAGAGCAAATCTCTGATAAGAGCCATGAGAATGAAGATCTGGAAACTCACGAAGGTCACTAATGGCTTCCTAGTCTGATGATTCTGTTCAACTAAAGCCAGGAGGAGTCCTTTGACAAAATTCATCTTGTTTGGCTTTGAGGTTCATAATGGCTATAAGTAGGACCCTATAATTAGGACTCAGACTGGTCAATGCCTTGAGTGGTGCCTAAGTGGCCTCTGTTTACCATGAGCTGATGAGTGGCAGAAGGGGGGACAGCACCTCCCATATATACTGGTTGCCTTTGAGGGCACAAAGGCATTTGTCTTTCACACCACCTGATGACTGCAGCACTGTTCCAAGGGCAGCCAGGAACCTGCCCTCAGTGGGCCATATTACAGGGGCAGCCCGAGAGAGCTGGTCCTTGAGTTTCTTCTGAGCTCTATGAAGTACCCTCACCTGGAGAAGAAAACAAGATGTGAACCCAGGTTTACACCTCATAACTCTTGCCGTCAGCATGCCCATGAGGCGGCCGATGAATAGTTTCTTACCTCTCCTTCCTCCACTCCTGCCTCATGCCTGTATTTGAAGGCAAGGATGTTTTAGAATGAGACCCATGGCTACAGCCAGCATGTAGCACAGATATGAATGCTCAGATGTTGCCGAAGTCAGGTGTAAATCAGGGAGGACATTCTGGCAGCAAAAAAGACTGCAGAAGCCTCCTGGGTGCAGGTTGGAACACTTCCAAAAGTGGAACTCTATGATCGGTTGACTGAGGTGGAAGATTAATTATAACATCAGTATGGAGAGTGCAGCTCCCAATGCTCTATACCTGTTGCTGGGTGCCTGGGAGTTGAGCAACGGAGTTGGATGTGCCTTAGCTCTCTCTGACTCTCACTGGTTAAAGGCATGAGACAATGCAGTTAAGGCCTCCCTGCTTAAGATGAGAAAACTCATGAATTGTTTAAGTTCACTGGGAAATAACTTCTGTTCTTTGGTTCTGTTCTTTATCCTCCTTCCTCCACCCTCAATAATTAAATAAAGGTTAGTTTTTATTATTGTGTCAAGCTCAGGACTTGGAAAGATTGCTTTACAGGATCTCATTTAGCCTTCATATTATCCCTGTGGTATAGACACTGCTATTCCCCTTTTGCAGATAACAAAACCAAGAGTCAGAAAGCTTAAGCAGCTTCCTCAAGCAAACTCAGCCAGTGCATGACAGGGCCATGATTCTGCCATGGATAACTGAGAATTTTCCATTGAACTGGAAATTGTCTGATGTTTGCTGAGTGCCTGGTGGTGTGTCCAGGGCTGTGCTAAATGAAGCTCAGTGTAGGAGCATCTTGTTACTGGCCAGAGGGGAGAAATGATCTAAGCTCATTTTCTAGGAGCTCAACTCTTGCAAAATATTCTGTGAAGATAAGAAAGTTTGGGTTGTCTACACATAAGATCATGTCATCCGCAAATAGAAATAATTTTATCTTTTTCTCATTTAGATGCCTTTAGTTTCTTTCTCTTGCCTAATTGCCCTGGCAAGGACTTCCACTACTATGCTGAATAGAAGCAGTGACTGTGGGCGTCCTTGTCTTGTTCCTGATCTTAAAGGAAAAGCGTTTAACTTTTCACCATTATAGTTAGTGCCAATAATACATGATGGGAAAATAACAGTCTCTTCCAAAAATGGTGCTGGGAAAACTGGATATCCATACAAGAGAACTGAACTCTTATCTTATGCTGTACATAAAAAACGACTCAAAATGTATTAAAGACTTAAACATAATACCTGACATTGTAAAACTCCCAAAAGAAGGCATGGGGGAAATGCTTCATGACATTGGCCCAGGCAATGACTTCTTGGATATGACACCAAAAGCACAAGAAACAAAAGCAAAAATCTTGAAAAGGCATTTCTTCAACTAAAACATGCAAATGGCCAACAGGCACATAAAAAGATGTTCAACATCATTAACCATCAGGGAAATGAAATCAAAACCACAAAGAGGTATCACCTCACACCTATGAGGGTTGCTATTATATATCTATATGTATGTAGGTGTGTGTGTTGTGTGTATGTGTGTGTGTGTGTGTGTATATATATATATATATATGTAGGAAAACAAATGTTGACAAGGATGTGTAGAAATCAGAATCCTTGTACATTGTTGGGGGGAATGCAAAATGGTATAGCCACTTTGGAATACAGTATGAGGCTTCCTGAAAACACTAAAAATAGAACCACCATATAATCCAACAATCTCATTTCCAGGTACGTATCCAAAATAATTAAAATCAGGACCTCAAAGAACTATCTGCACTTCCATGTTCATTGCAGCATTATTCATAATAGCCCAAATGTGGAAACCATCTAAATGCTCATTGACAGACGAATGGATAAAGAAAATGTGGCACATATATACCATCAAGTATTATTTAGCCTTAATACAGCAGAAAATCCTGCCATATGCAAAAACATGACTGAACCTACAGGATGTTATGGTAAGTGAAATGAACCAACCACAGAAGGATAAACCCTACATGGTTCCACTTCCTAAAGCAGGCAGACTTGTACAGAGAGTAGAGAGGTGCTTGCCAGGGGCTTGGGAGAAGGGGAAATGGGAGGCGTTCCATGGGTACAAAGTTTCAGTTGTGCAAAATGAAATAAGTTCTAGATATTTGCTGTATCCTATTGTGCTTTCAGTTAACAAGACTTAAACATTTATGGAGAGGGTAGATCTCATGTTAAGTGTTCTTATCACAAAAAAAAGAAAGAAAAGAAAGTTTGTAGTTATGTTTAGTTATGTTTTTTTCCCTGTTTTATTTAGTACCTACTGAGAGATTCCTTTTTTTTTTCTTTTTTTGAGATGGAGTCTCACTCTGTTGCCCAAGCAGGAGTGCAGCAGCATAATCTCAGTTCACTGCAACCTCTGCCTCCTGGATTCAAGCAAGTCTCCTCCCTCAGCCTCCTGAGGAGCTGGGGTTACAGGCATGTGCCACCACGCCTGGCTAATATTTGTATTTTTAGTAGAGACAGGGTTTCACCATGTTGGCCAGGCTGGTCTCGAACTTCTGGCCTCAAATGATCCACCCGCCTCAGCCTCCCAAAATACTGGGATTAAAGGTGTGAGCCACCATGCCTGGCCACCTTTTATCTATTGTTGATGCATTCCTTGCTACTAAACAGCATCCTAGATTTCCTTATTCCTCCACTGTTGATAATGTAATAGTTGATCTAAATACAGTAGATATCTGATCTCTCTTTCACAGAAAGTCACTGGGGTGTGTGATGGGAATTGTAAAGTAAGTATTGGTGATGGTTTCACCATAACAGGTGATATGATATCCACTGTCCACGTCATCCAAAACCTAAGTTTGTTTGGCTTCAGAGTTGCAGAACATTCCAATTATTCCACCTTTCTCAGCTTCCTACCCTTCGTGATCCACTCCAGCCAACATGCAAGGAGAATCTGGGAGAGTAAAGGAGGGCAAATTGGAAAATATGGCTTCTGTTACCCAGTCTCTGCCCATTTTGGCCTTAATAAAATTTTGATCAAAATTTAAAAATTAGGAATATGTGTGTTTCACCATTTATCTGTGAAGGAAAGAATCCTGTCTTATGCCTAAAAATATTTTAATAATGTGGTAACATTACCCCTAATAATAGAACCTGCCTACGCACCAACACAATTCCAATCTAAGAGTTAGTCATATCCTCCCATCAAGACACTGTGTGCAGATTTGCTTCAGCCATATTCAGATGGGATTTCAGGTTTCAGTCTGAAGACAAAGAGATTATAGATCAGAAGAGACATCTAATTTCAACTAAATCATGCTTGCAAACAAAGCAACACACACACACACACACACACACACACACACACACACGAAACCCTGCCTGTTTTCATTTTTATTATCCCATCTGGCACTACCCAGATAAGAAAATAACTAAAATAAATATTTTCCATTAACCATTGGCATAAATCATGATTTACTCTCACAGGTATCTCAACAGTACCCACACCGGTGATAGGACTGATAATGTTGATTGACTGTTTACTATCTGCCATGCACTTCTAGAAGAGCTTGACTTGGGTTTTCTCATTTGTTTCTCAAAACATTCTTATGAGACAGACACCATTATTATCCCCACGTTACAGATGAGGATACCAAGGCACCACAGAGCTAAGTGGTCAAGCCGGGAGTGGGCACCACCCAATCCAGCCTGTGCTACTGAAGACCTGCTCTCTGATCACTGGAATCCTGGCAGTTTGATGGGAGAGACCTACTTCAAAAAATGCACAGTGCCATCAATGATGGAGCTGACAATAATCACAAATAACAACAACTGAATGTGTCTGTCCTTTCAATCAAGCACAGCCCATGGTACTTGTCAAAGCCCTTCTTTCTGTACCTATTTGAAAGGATGGATTTTTAGGCTTGAGCTCGAAGCCCCCATTCAGAATGAACAGAACCTCCCTATGTCCCACAGACACAGCAGATACATTCAGGTCTTTCTCTTTGGTTTGTCCTGCCTTACATGCACCCTCCTCTCCATCCCCCATCCTTTCCTAACTATCCTTTATCCTAAAACTGCTCATTCTAAGCCTTCAGCCCACATTAACCTCTTGCTTTCTCTTGTATTTTCTCTTCTATCCAGACACTGATCCCCAGACCCTGGAAGGTTTTCTGACTTTGAATAAAATAACAACTTCTAGATCTTGTCCTGGGCCATGGTCTGTCTGCTCTGTGACCTCCAGATGATGGAGAACTCCCGACCCATTTCCTCTTGGTGGGATGAGGTTTGCAAACTTCCTAGGAAATCACTACACATCAGTTGGGGCTGGCTGTTCCTGTGGAAAACCCATTCAACATTGCCAAAGCCTCCATCCCCTTTCTCGCTCATCCCATAAAGAATGGAAGTTTGTGGTCTCCCTTCTGCTCTATTGTTTGTACCTTATGATAAGGGGTCTGATGTGTCTGTGTTTTTCTCTCTGATTTCTGTCCTTCTTGTCTATTTTAAAACTCTGGCTGTTATTGTATATTCACCGCGAGGTAAGTACCAGATTCCAGGGGAAATCAAGATTCTTCCCTGACTACCCAAGCAGAGTGATGCTTCTTTTTGATTCAGTCATAGTGTTTTCTGTTTCATGTAACACAACTCCTTAGTAAAGGGTAAGCACCATGTTTCCTACCTAGTACAAGACTGATCAGAGGGTAGGCACTAATAGCACAAACACAATTTTTAGTTGGATGGAATTGAACAAACTCATTGCATTGAATGTTTCTGCATTTAACATCATTTGGAGAACACCAGGATGCAAATGTGGTCCATTTTCTCGCACAAAACTCCCCACCCATTGGTAGCCTGAAAGCCACAGTTGACAAATGTTAGGAAGCACCAGCAAAAACCAGTTTCCACCCCTCTTACCTTGACTTGTGTGACTGCCCACACTTCTATCCAGAGCCAAATGAAAGCTTCCAGTCAATGAAAAAATCTAGCAACCAATATTTAGGTAAGGTACTAAGAGCTATTTTGCATTCTGTTGCTCCCCCACCCTGCACCCCAATTAGGGTTCCCTGCATGGGCCCCGCAGGTATCTGAGGCTACTGCCTTGAAGCCCCCGCCCCACCCACTAAAGACACTGAGTACTGGAGGGTCCCCTCTCCTTGTTCTACAATCATAACACGCCCACACAGGGGCCTGCTTCTTCAGGGGTTTAGTGCCCTCCACTGGGGGACAAAGGGTAATCAATGGACTATTATGCAACTCACAAAATTCTTACTGTCTTTCCCCTTCTCAGGGAGAATTATGTCCTACCAGAGGAAAAAAAAATGCACACATCATCAATAAAATATTTGTGAGCAGCTTTTTAAAAAAACTATTATTATTTTTAAAGATTAGAAAATTAACAGCGGCCAGGCGCGGTGGCTCACGCCTGTAATCCCAGCATTTTGGGAGGCTGAGGCGGGTGGATCACTTGAGGTCAGGAGTTCCAGACCAGCCTGGCCAACATGGTGAAACCCTATCTCTACTAAAAATACAAAAATTAGCTGGGCATGGTGGTGGGTGCCCCATAATCCCAGCTACTCAGGAGGCTGAGACAGGAAAATCACTTGAACCTGGGAGGCAGAGGTTGCAATGAACTGAGATTGTGCCACAGCAGTCCAGCCTGGGCAACAGAGCAAGACTGTCTCAAAAAAGAAAAAAGAAAAAAGAAAAAAAGAAAAGAAAAGTAACAGCATACTAGAGTATAATTTTCATATGCTCCTCATTAAAATTTTGAAAATTGTTAGTTTTCATATTTACTCCATATCTATTTTAAAAATTATTTCAATTGCATACAGGTACCAAAACATTATGCCTCGAAATCATTCAGGATGCATCTTTTTAAAAAATCTCAGTAAGCAACGCTAAAGAAGAGAGACCACAAGCTCTAGACGTTTTCCTGTATAATTAAGAAGAGTCTGTTCAACAAACCCCCATGACATAAGCTTCTCTATGTAACAAACCTGCATATGTGCCACTGAACCTAAAACAGAAGCTTTTTTAAAAAGGAAAAAGAACATTTTCACACTTAAAAAATGAATACAATTTTCTAATCTCATGTAATAACTTCCCCAATTACTCTAAAGTGACTGGTATAGCTGGTTTGTATAGGTAAGGATTTAGCCGAGGCCCAGGAATTGCCCTTGGTTGGTGGTAACGTATATTTCAACTTAGAACCTGTCCGCCCCAGTGGCTCCCCAGCCCACCACACATTGCTGGCTTGCTGGAAGGAATGGGTGAGTTGTTGCCTCCACGTTTCCACCTTCTGGATTTGTCTGGCTGTTTCCTCCTGGTGTGCATTAGCTGGATGCTCTGCAGCCTGTGTTTGTTACGCACTGAAAGTTAGACCTAAGAGCTTGATTAAGTTCAGCTCACAAGTTTGTGGCATTACCTCACAGGTGATGCTAGGCACCGCATGGGGCATGGAAGGATATCTGCTTGTCCCAGTGTTAGGGATGCAGGAATTGATAAGGTGGAGAGCATCGGTGTTCTCCAGGATAAAGTCACATTTCTCCCCTTGCAACCAGCAGATGATCCCTGGAGTGATACTTTAACACCATGTAAATTCCCTGAGATGACTGTGTATCCATTCATGACATTTGCCTACATCAATTGGTTTACTAAAGATTTCTGCATTTTACAAGCAAGGAAACAAGGCTCAGAGATGACCGGTGGGCCACTTAGCAAATTGGTGGCTGAGAGGCTGGCCTGCCAGAGGTGGGATACTTGCTCACCTCTTGCCCAGTCCCTAACCCACAGAAGTCTCATGATGAGAGAACCCTCAGCACCCTGAGAGAGTTAACGCATCATCCTTTGGCGCCATGAATCTGCCCAGAAGCCAGCTGAGAAAAGAAGGTAGAGAACAGGGCTGAGGGACAAGGTGCCCCTTTATATATTTGGGTGAACACATTTTTAAATTTTCCTTTCATTGTCCAGTCCCCATGAATTATTTATTTGTTATTAAATTCAACTGAATGAGATTTCAAAGCAACGAAAATTGAAGTTCAAATGGAACCAAATTACCACTCTGAGCTCCAGGTGGCCCTGACAGCCCAGTTTTGTGAAGGGCCCCTGAGGCTGTTCACTGAGTCTGAGATGTCACCAGGCATGGAGGGTCTCTGATCAGCATCCAGAGCTCCAGAGTAGGGAGCAACCCCTCACCAGCACTTCTGGGCCCCAGGCAAGGCGGAGACCAAAAGAACCCTGGTAAGGTTCCCCAACCTCCATGTTCATTTAAAAAAAATGTTTAAAACTGACAAATAATAATTACATATATTCATGGGGTCCATTATGATGTTTTGATATACATATACACATATGGAATGCTTATATCAAGCTAGTTAACATATATATCACCTCACAGACTTATGTTTGTGGGTGTGTGGTACAAATATTTAAAATCTACTCTCAGCAATTTCTGAAACATACTTTACATTATTAAATATAGTCACCATGTTGTGCAATTGATCTCAAAAACTTATGCCTCCTGTCCAATGAAATTTTATATCCTTGTACCAACATCTCCCCAACCCACCCCCAACCATCCCTGAGCTAGTCTCTGCCTCTGTAATTTTGACTTTTTAAGATTCTACACAAGTGACATAATGTGGTATTTGTCTTTCTGTGCCTGGCTTATTTCATTTAACACAATGTCCTCCAGGTTCATTCATGTTGTCACAATTGACAGACTCTCCTGCTTTTTTAAGGCTGCATAGTATTCCATTGTGTACATACACCACACGTTTCTTATCCATTCATCTGTGGATGAGCACAGGGAATGTTTCCATATCCTGGCCATCCAGAACAGTGCTGCAGTGAGCATGGGAGTGCAGATGTCTCTTTGACAAGCTGATTTCAGTTCCTTTGGTTCTAAACCCAGAAGTGGGATTGCTGGATCATCCAGTAATTCTATTTTGGATTTTTTTTTTAAGGAACCTCCACACTATTTTCCATATGGCTGTAAAACTCACATTCCCTCTAACACTGTGTGAGGGTTCCCTTCTCTCCATATCCTCGCCAACACTTGTTATGGTCCACATTCACTTTTCAAGGTGAAATCCATTCTCTGCACTCCCCTGCTTGAAAGCACTCAGCGTCAGTGCGTTGCTCCTTCCCTCACTTCCGGAGGCCCCTGATCTGAACCTTCATCCGTCCCTCCCCACAT
The DNA here is from genome assembly GCF_000001405.40 of Homo sapiens. Classification (NCBI taxonomy): domain Eukaryota; kingdom Metazoa; phylum Chordata; class Mammalia; order Primates; family Hominidae; genus Homo; species Homo sapiens. The sequence goes on along the minus strand of NC_000007.14, from coordinate 154,106,794 downwards.
GGGTCTCAACTTTTCCTCCAGCCTTTCAGCCTCTTTTCTCTCCAGGGACTGTGCACCTGCTCTCACCTGTGCCTGGGTTGTCAGTGAGCTCCATCGCACCCTTCATTCCCAGACCAGCTGCTGCCTTCTCAGGAGAGACACCTTCCCAGACCTCCTTCACCCACGTGCACCCCCACCCATCAGCCCCTTTCCCATTTCCTACAAAGTCAGGAGCATTCACATATCACCTGTTGCTCCTCTACCCACTGCCTCTTACCTCCACAAGAACACAGCAGCAGCATGAGTGGCCACTGAATCTCCAGCACGCAGCCCAGTGCAGGGACAGAGCAGTGGGTCCTGTGTTTGCTCAGCCTTTTCACCAGAATGTCAATCACATCTGCTCTGCTCACCCCACCACACTCCATGTCTACCATCACATTCTATAAACACGCACCAAGGATATAACGCCTGGCCTAGCGGTTGGAGATGCAGAGACCAGACCTAGCCTTTCTGTTCCTCCTCTTAAGAAACTGAGCCCCTCATGGAGAAGTGAGGCAGACACATGAACATAAGTTTTGCAACAGAAGCACTTTTCACCAGGTAATGCTATGGGAGCAAAGAAGGAAGTAACGGAGCCTGGGGGAACTCAAGATGTTTTCTGAATGAACTTTTATCTCTGAGTAAGAAACAAGGGCGCATAGGCAGAGTCTGCCACCCCTTTCTCTCCTCTCCATGGGGGCTGTGGAGATGGAGTGGGCAGGCACATAATCTGTGGGAGCACAGTGTATTCAGGGGAGTTATACCGTTCCATAGGTCACAGCTGGGCCCAGGGTACACATGAGGGACAGGCCAAAAGTGAGATGGGAAAGCGAGTCGGGGCCATGCCCTGAAGAGCCTGCAATGTGGACTTATCCTGATGCATCAGTCTGTTCTCATGCTGCTAATAAAGACATACCCAAGACTGGGTAATTTATAAAGGAAAGAGGTTTAATGGACTCACAGTTCCACATGGCTGGGGAGGCCTCACAATCACGGCAGAAGGCAAAGGAGAAGTAAAGGCACGTCTTCCACGGCAGCAGACAAAGACAGCAAGTGCAGGGGAACTCCCCTTTATAAACCATCAGCTCTTGTAAGCCCTATTCATTCTCATGAGAACAGCACAGGAAAGACCCACCCTCATGAATCGATTACCTCCCACTGTGTCCCTCCCAGGACACTTGGGAATTATGGGAGCTACAATTCAGATGAGATTTGGGTGGGCACACAGCTAAACCATATCACCTGACTACTGACCTTTTCTAAAACTGTGAGTTCAAAGGACCTCAAACAGGGCTGTGGTGGGTGCCTGCTGGTGGGTGATGAGGAAAGGCTGGTCGTTATTTGCAGCCAAGGCTCTGGTCACACAGAATCAGACACAGGCTCCGCAGTGAGCAGCCTCGGCAGGCCTGGAATCCCAGGCTAGTTGTGCCTGTGATTGGTTCTGTTATCAGCACACTTTTCATTTTGGATTCTTTTGGCCATCCCTCTCCTCGTTAATGATGTCATCAAAGAAGGAACACAGCATCACCTCAGGCCCGGTCTCTCCCACTTGCCTTCTTTGACACAAATACTTCTGACATCTTAGATTACGTGTCAGAGGGACAAACGGTCGAGTCAAATTCGATCTTATGTTTTTTTGGTTTTGTTTTTTAGACAGAGTCTCACTCTATCACCCAGGCTGGAGTGCAGTGGTGAAATCATGGCTCAGTGCAGCCTTGACCTCCTGAGCTTAAGCGTCCTCCCACCTCAGCCTCTGGAGTAGCTGGGACCGCAGGCGTGTGCCACCACTCCCAGCCTCAAACCTGATCTTACACTGAGTGTTTGTTATGTAAGCACACACACAGAGGTGTGCCACCACTCCCAGCCTCAAACCTAATCTTACACTGAGTGTTTGTTATGTAGGCACACACACAGAGGTATGCCACGACTCCCAGCCTCAAACCTGATCTTACACTGAGTGTTTGTTACGTAAGCACACACATAGAGGTGTGCCACCACTCCCAGCCTCAAATCTGATCTTACATTGAGTGTATGTTATGTAAGCACACACACAGAGGTGTGCCACCACTCCCAGCCTCAAATCTGATCTTACATTGGCTGTTTGTTATGCACAGGTTAACAGCTGCAGTGTGTACAGGCAGATGCCTGCACAGCACAGGTCCAGGGCCGAAGGGTCCCTGAGAAAATACCACATGTCCCATGTCCATGCCACCAAATAAATACACGGTAGCAGACTGTTTTGATATGTCATGTGATCTTTGAAATACGAATGCCATGCCTTGTTAATCATGAAAACACCTTCTCTCATCTTACTAAAGCACGTTCCACCATGGGCACTGGCCCCACTTTGACAGAGTGTTGAAGGAAGAGCCCATTAGTCCTCCCCAGCCATATATCATACATGTCCAATTTTCTAGCCACTGACAAAGGATCTTCATAAAATATGACTAAGTTGTCCAGGAAGCAAAATTTCTCAAGGTCTAGCCAAAAACAATATGAGAAATGCACAACCCCTTCCCGTCCGGGGCAGCTGCATTTCCAAGTGATTATCCATCAGCTACAGGTGACGCATCTCCACATGGAGGAGACTGCGATTCCAGAAAGGCAAGGCCACGTGGGTTCCGTGAGGCCACGTAGAAGTGAACGTGGCAAAGAAGAGACAAAGAAGGGTGGGCAACCGTATTGGTCAGGAATCTCCAGAGGGACAGATCTGTGGGATGTATGTGTATATGAAACGGAGCTTATTAGGGAGAATTGTCTCACATGCTCACGACGTGAAGTCCCACCATAGGCCATCTGCAAGCTGGGGAAGAGAGAAGCCGGTAGTGGCTCAGTCCAAGTCCAAAAGCCTCAAAACCAGGGAAGCCGACAATGCAGCCTTCAGACTGTGGCCAGAGGCTGGAGAGCCCCCGGCAAACCACTAGCATAAGTGCCAGAGTCCAAAGGCGGAGGAACCGGGAGTCTGATGTCCAAGGGCAGGAGAAGCTGAAAGAAGCATCCAGCACAGGATAAAGCAAGAAGCCAGAAGAACCAGCGAGTAAGCTTATCTTACCTTCTTCTGCCTGCTTTGTTCTGCCTGCACTGGCAGCCGATGGGATGGTGCCCACCCACACTGAGGATGGGTCTTCCTCTCCCAGTCCACTGACTCAAACGTCAGTCTCCTCTGGCAGCACCCTCACCGACACACCCAGAAATCACACATTACCAGCTATCTAGGCATCCTTCAATCCAATCAAGTTGACAACTAACATTCACCATCACGGCAACAGAAGAAAAATTGGAGAGGGGGGAGCTGGCCAGTGGTGCCCTGCAAGGCCAAGCAGGGGTGCACTTGTATAATTTGCACACTTATAATTTGACATTTATAATTTCCCCTCCTATACTCAATGAGGCCCTTGCTTAGAGGTCCACCAACATCTAAATTCACTGCAGGATTTTCTCCCACAAGGAAAACCCAGATGTTTTAGGAGAACCTAATGCCATCAGTATGGCTGACGGAATGGAGTCGCTTCCTGCAATGAGCAGATGGTTTTAGGAACAGGACAGAAGGAAGAGGCTTGCTGAGTTGACTGCACTTCTGTCGGAATCAGCTTTCTCAGGAGATGCTCCCCTTGAGCTAAGCAGGGCAACCTTCCCCTTTGCAATCCCCACCCACAGACCCCATTGGAGCAATAAGTATTGTGATCAGGGTACTCATTGGGGACAGTAATTAAATGTCTGTTTGGAGAACACAGGCTCCACAAGGCTAACCAGGCCAACCCTCTGACCCCATGGGGCTGGCCTTTGTGATTCAGAATGGGGGTATTACCCCAGGCCCTCAGAGGACACCCTGTTCACTGCTCTCAAAATCCGATCACATGTTGAGTGGAACATGACACTGATTAGTATTCCATAAAATCCTGTGGATGGCTTAAAGTGGCCTGATTTTAGAGAACTATAGTGTGCATGATGCACATTAAGAGAGGAACAGCAATGATTAAAGCATCAGGAAAAAGGAGCTGGAAGCAAAGCTAAGGGAGCTAGGGTTGTCTGACATGAAATAGAGAAACAGGAGGTTTTATAGTTGTCCATTCAGTTATCCTCTTGTGATTTTTTTGATCAATATGAAAGTGCACAGATATGAGACTTATCCTAAGGATGATACTAAAAAGCATGAAATGTTTTTCACACTCAAGCTGAGGAGACAACTTGAGAACAAGGAAAAACGCACATGGAAGAATGAAGTGGCCATTGAAGGGGCAAGTCTGTGGCTGAATGAGGGGTCCCCACAGAAACTAAAAAGGGGCTTGGCTGGGCACAGTGGCTCATGCCTGTAATCCCAGCACTTTGGGAGGCTGAGGCGGGCGGATTACCTGAGGTCAGGAGTCTGAGACCAGCCTGGCCAACATGGTGAAACCCCATGTCTACAAAAATACAAAAATTAGCTGGGCGTATTGGTGTGTGCCTGTAATCCCAGCTACTCAGGAGGCTGAGGCGGGAGAATCGCTTGAACCCAGGAGGCAAAGGTTGCAGTGAGCCGAGACTGTGCCATTCATTGCACTCCAGCCTGGGCAACAAGAGTGGAACTCTGTCTCAAAAGAAAAAAAAATGGAAGCTAAGGAGGGGCTTTATGGAGACAGTACAATGTGTAAAGGCCCATCACCCATAAAGCCTCAAAGTCCTGACAATCTGTGCGTGTGAGAATAGCTTCATCTTTGAGGTCCAAGTGCCTAGAAAATCTTAGAGGAGGCAGGAAATAGAAATCCAATGTTTACTGAATGAATGAGTGACGAAGGAAGAAATGAGTAAGACGGTAGGAGCAAGAAGTGTTAACATTCTTTTTTTTTTTTTTTTTTTTTTTTGAGATGGAGTATGGAGTTTTGCTCTTGTTGCCCAGGCTGGAGTGCAATGGCGCCATCTCGGCTCACTGAAACCTCTGCCTCCCAGGTTCAAGTGATTCTCTCACCTCAGCCTCCCGAGAAGCTGGGATTACATGCGCCCGCCACAGTGCCCAGCTAATTTTTGTATTTTTGGTAGAGATGGGGTTTCACCATGTTGACCAGGCTTGTCTACAACTCCTGACCTCAGGTGATCCGCCCGCCTCAGCCTCCCAGAGGGCTGGGATTACAGGCATGAGCCACTGTGCCCAGCCCAACACTCTTTATATAAATCTCCATGCAACATCCTAGTTACAGAATGTAAAGGATTTTTTTGCCTGCATATTTCTTGCCTGTGACAACATTAAACATTGCTGATCACCCCTTTTCTGATAAGATTTCCTCACTTTGCTCCTCCACTTTCCCTTCTAAATGTCCTGCCTTGTTCACTCTTCTCTTTCCATTGTGTGGAATTGTACTGATGTGTGCTGAAAGAAAGAAGGAAAGAAAGAAGAAAGGGAGAGGAGGACAGGGGAAGGGATGGAAGGAGAAAGAGAAAGAGTGAAATCACAGATATTTACTGAGCTCCAGGCTCTAGCTGGATACTCGCACAGTAAATAAGGCAGGTCTGTTCTCTTCGAGGTCTTTCAGACTGCAGAGAAAGCTGCACAGACAATTTTAATACTGCGTTGTTTGTTGTGGTAGAATTAAGCACAGGATGAGACTGGAGTGCACAGGATGAACAACTGATCTGAACTGGAAATTACAGAGGAAGCTTTCCAGAACACCACATGGCATTCAGGTTGGTGAGTGTCCAACTGGTCAGTTAGATACAAAGACCTGGAGACAAGAGGCGGACCTCTGGAGGGGTGGAAAGGCCGAAGAGGTAAACACAGGACCAACCACAGCTCCGTCAGGGGCACCGTTGGCAGGACCAGCAGCACGCTGCACGGTCACGGGGAGGTGAGCCTCGTTTGGGGTCTTGACGAGGAAGGGCAGGCTTCACAGCAGAGGTGGTTTGAGGCCTGTCTTAAAGGCCCAGCAGGCTTTTTGTTGATCAGCAAGTGCAGACAGAAGGGAAAGTCCATTTTAGAGAAAGCAGATCATCACCAGCAGGTCACACCTGTGCGGTATGTGCAGTCTGTGTGGGAAATCTCCTGGATGGATGCGTGGGTTAACTGCTGGCGTGGGGAGGGAGGAGGCTGGAAAGGCATGTTGGGACCAGACAGAGAAAGATCACAAACCATTCTAGGGGACGTGGGGAGCATCTGCCAGCAGTGCGGAAGCCTCGGAAGGCCAGAGCAGATGGTCTTGCCCCGAGTGTGGCTCCATGGAAAGGGACGGAGTAAAGGAGGGGAGGGAGGAGAGGAAGGGGTAGGCTTGAGAGGGTCCAGGCAACAATAGGTCTGGGAGACGGCGGAGGCTCCACTCACTGAAAGAGAAATGAAGTGGGGCAGAGGCTTGGCATGACGGGGGATGGGGCGAATCATCCAGAAAAGTCTGTTGCATGAGGCAGAGAGAAACAAAATTGCTATTCAGGAGCTGGAGAGGAGTTAAGAACAGAAGAAAAGGAAACAGGCAAAGACAAACAGGCAGGTGGTCTTCAATTCTATGTAAGGACTCAGAGAATAACTGGGATTTTTTTTTCAGTGTATGTTCTAAGGGACTTTCAGTTTGTAAAAATAGCAGTTCTGGTAAAAAATAAAATAAATAAATAAAAAATAAAACTCCCACTTCTACTCTGGAAGTTGATTTTGCTCTATTATAATCTAATCGAAACCTTTTCTGTGAACTCCAGATTCATACATTTATTTCAGTATCCAATGGCATCTTAAACTTTACAAACCAAACATAACCCTAAACCTGTTCCTTTCTCAGCATTCCCAATCTAAAAACAATGGCACTCTATACTTGCAGGGGCTGGGCCAGAAACCTGACTGTTATGCTCCCTAATATCCCACATGTGGTCTGTGGGTCAATCTTGGCAAGTCTCCTCGCAGAACACACTCTCAGTGCTTTCACCCACCACTGCCACCCGGGGCCACGCCAGCACCATTTCTTGACTCGATTACTGCAATAGCTTCTCAAACACCAACAACCATTCATCCCAGAGATCCATCTCAGATTAGGAGTCTCTTCCTTCACACCCTCCAGCAGCCACCCAGCTCACTTTGGTTAAAACCAAAATCCTTAAATAACCAACAGGCACACATGGTCAGGTTCTTCTGACCACTCCTCAGCCACGATGGACTTCGTCATGCTCTTGCACAGACCACCCTCCCCGACCACCCCAGGGCCTTTGCACTTATTCTGTATTCTCAAAATGCTCTTCCTCCAGCTGGCTGTGGTGGTTCACTCCCTTGCTTCATTTAGCTATTTGGGCAAATGTGAACTTTGCAACGTGACCTCTTGGCCACGCTTTTAATAATTTTAAGCCATTTCCCTGACCCTCTATATTCATTCCCTGATTTTTTTCCTTTATAATTTATCACCATATAACATGTAATAATTTTTACTGATTCATTTGCTTTTGTTCCCTATGCATTGGAATTCAAAGCCAAGGAAGGCAAGGTTTTTTGTTGCTCACTGCTGTATCCAAGTGCTTAAGAGAGTGTCTGGTGCCTGGAATATATTTGGCATTCAATCAATATTTATTTGTGAATGACTGGATTATTAGGAAAGTCTTCAATTTTATTTTTAATATGAATGGACATTATTGCAATTCCACATAAAGGCAGGATAATAGAGTCGATTATCCTCTATTTTCCACTGAGTCATATGAGCCCCTATCCTTACATGGAGCAAACCTCCATTTTCTATCACTGAATTTCCATTTTTACTCTCTGCAAAATATGTGCCTATCTTCCTAAAAATCATAAATCTGTCCACTGCATCAGTATATTAGAACAAATCCTGATGTGATTGTTTGCAAAACAAATTTAAAGGCTCTTTAGTTTCTGCCTGTATGAGCAGATTGGCATGATTTACTTTTAAAGTGTAGACATTTTATGGGGCAAGAATGAGTTTAGATACTTGTTTTATTTATACAGACATTTAGAAGTGGACATTTACTAGTGCAAGTATCATTATCAATTTCTTTGCAGAGGAAAGGTTAAGGGAGTATATATCACTGCCAAATGCAGTAGCGATCATGGAGGCTCCCACAATAGGGCCATTCCTCTTTCTTCTCCTTCTTGACTTGGATCCTGAAATGCAGGCAAACTATAGATATCCACCCTTCTTCTGCCCTCAGTAACATAAAGAGATGGGGCACATCACCCTGTGGCAAGCAGAGCCAATCCCTGGAGCTCAATGCTGTAAGCAAAAAGCTGAGCAAGGCCCCTAGGAGATCTGTCTCCAGACCATAGTGTGTTAGACAAAGTCTTTGTTTCCTTCTTGGAGGCCCCTCTAATTACCTGCCTAGACCTGAGTCTCACTTTATTAATTAAATCTCCTGAAATTTTGTGATTTTAAAAAAGATGACCGCAAATTCTTTGATACCTGTATTAGTCCATTCTCACACAGCTAATAAAGACATACCTAATACTGGGTAATTTATAAAGAAAAGAGGTTTAATTGACTCACAGTTCAGCATGGCTGGGGAGGCCTCAGGAAACTTACAATCATGGCAGAAGGGGAAGGAAATATGTCCTTCTTCACACGGCAGCAGGAAGGAGAAGTGCTGAGCAAAAGGGGAAAAGCCCCTTATAAAACCATCAGATCTCGTGAGAACTCACTATCATGAGAAAGCATGAGGGTAACCATCTCCACGATTAAATTACCTCCCACAGGGTCCCTCCTCCAACATAATCCAACAGGATTATGGGAGCTACAATTCAAGGTGAGATTTGGGTGGGGACACAGCAGAACCATATCAATACCTCTCCCTTCAAGAGGTGGAGTCTTGTGTCTGGGCTGGATTTTATGAATTGCTCCTAATGTATATGGCAGAAGTGAGCGAGCACAACCCATAAGACTAGATCACAGGAAGGGGCTACGCTGCTGTCTCCACCAACCTCCCTCCCACCACTCCCTCAGTCACTTGTTCTGGGAGAATCCAAATGCCACATCATGAGGAAGGGCCTACGTGGCTAGCACCCGAGGCCTCCTGCCAGAGGCCACATAAGAGAGCCTGGACGTTGCCCTGCTGCCTCCACAAGCCCTCAGGTGACAGCTGCCTCAGCCAGCACTAGCTGCGTGCTCCTGGAAGGCCTGAGCCAGAGTACCAGCCAGTCTGCTCCCAGATCCCTGCTACCCAGACCCTGTGGGTAACAAATGTGCATAGTTTTAAGCCACTAAGTGTTGGGGTAATTTATTATATAAGTGTCTAATTTCATCTTCAAATAGTGATAATCCTGTATTTTAAATATGTAATAATTCTGTTTAGCAAAATCATCTGGAGTACAGAGGAATTCGATCATCTGTTTTACGTTCTCAAGTTTACTGAGCATGTCCAGTGTGAAGCCCTGTCCAGCTATGCTGGAGCAATAGCGTTGAATCAGACGGGTCCTGCCCTCAAAGGGCTCGCAGCACGGCGGGAGAGTGGAGGTGTGCCCTGCACATAGAGGCCTCGGAATAAGCGATCATTGCTGCTGCTCCTGCTGTTGTCAGACTCAGCCTCTTCTTTCATGGGATGGGCCAAAATAAGCCCACTTATGAGGGTGTTTGTAGGACCCTGGCTTTGTAAACTCTGGTAGGAGACTGAGTGGCCGCCTGACTGTGGATATGCAATTGGCTGGTTCCAGGTACACCCAGGCTACAGCAAAGGGAGTGACTCACATTGCAGGAAAAACTGACGAGACTGCTAGGAGGCCAGCAAGGGGAGGCTGGGCGTCCTCCAAAGCAGGCTGTGCAGTGTGGAGACAGGCAGCTGCAGTGAACGCCAGGTCCATCCCATCACCTCTACCTACAAGGGGAGCACACGGTGAATACCCAACAAAACCGTGGGTCTTTCCTCTCAGAGTCTGATCCATTTCTTGAGCCAGCCTTGCTACATAACCATAACTACTAATACCTGGTTTTCTAAAAATATAAATCACGTTGACCTTTGCTGCTGTTGTTATAAATATAATTGATGTTAATAGTGAAACATCTGGAATAATATAGAAAGGATAAACTAGAAATCATTTAATCATAATTTCACACACAGAGACAGCAAATCTAGTATAGTCATTATACTATTTTTACTAGTATTTTTAATCTATTGTTTATAAGATTTGGTCTCTATATGTAGTTTTAGATTTTATTCTCCCACTGTTTTCACTTAATGTTGTAATATAGAGATTTTCTTATATAATAAAAAATCTTCCAAAGTATGACTTTAATTATGAAATATTTTATTATGCAGACATAGCACAAATACCAAGATTTAAAATGTTTTACTTTATAAACCAAAAGCATAAAGGTATTGCCTCAATAGCACCTTATGCACACTAGCGATTTCCTTTTACTGACTTGCTTAACTGATCCATAATCATTCTTATATAAATACCCACTGTTGGCATTTACCTCTTGCCATTTTCTAGAACTGGAATTACCAGGTTGATAACTGGAGAACTTTATCAAGTTAACTCAATGTCCCTGAAAAATTTTTCTTATCTGTATAAAGGGGACATGAGATTATTTACGGCATTTCACTATAATACACACTAAGTTGATAGCATGGGTAGATAAATCTTTGTGTGCATAAAAAGGCACAGTGAGGACATAACCCAGATCCCACTCGCTTTCCACGACACCCAGCTGCCTTCTTGTTCTAATTCATGTAAATCATTAAGGGTATTTTAAAAGGTTCTAATGTTGCCTCTGAAGTCAGCCCCACCCAAGCTATAACCTGGGCAACAGGGGAAACCGGGGGCGATGTCACACCTCAGCTCTGTTCCTTCCCCTTCCCAGCCCGCAGCTCCTGGGAGAGAAGCAGAAATCCAGTCCCCTCGACTCCCTGGTCTCGCCTGGAACTTAGCTCTCACCTGGGACTCAGCTCCCAGAGTGAAAGGGATTGTCCTGTAGCGTGAACTGTGAGTGACACCCACACCCTCCCTTGTAAATCTGCTCCAACAAGCTCTCCTCCAGGACGCTGTCTTTTCTGTGCTATCGAGCACAGCCCTGACATTATAGCTGGCCTTGCAGACACCACCAGACGACACCCAAGAAAAATGGCAGCGCCAGAGCCGTGAGCATCACAGGAGGTCTCAGGGACACGCCAAGGCCGCCTCCCAGGAAAAAGCAGAACACCGGAAAAGACCTTGTGAAGACTTCTTATCTTCCCCTCCAAATGGTGTCTCTTGCTTTGGCTCTCGTCGAGTTGGGGCTTGTTGGAAGACCAGGTGAAGGCCCAGCTGCTAAAGCTTCCCCTTTCTACTTCTTGTTACTCTATTACTCAATTAGGACTGGTGCTGCTTTAGGGGAAAAACATTATTTGAAAACACAGAGGTTCCCTCTGCTTTGATCCTACACAGGCAGAGATATCTCCAAGCAGAGAGATCCAAAAAAGAGCGCCCCCTGCGGGAAACGTTCTTTTAATTTAGACTTTGCCGCTCCTCCTGTGGAGACGTTGTCACAGTTACGGTAGTGGGTGATAGATCCCCAAATTTCTGCCACGTGCTCAGAGAGCTAAGGCATATCCCACACCCACGACATGCTTACAGGTGTGAACCTGGGTCCAGGCAGGTGCCCTGTTCCTAACTCTGGTCTTGGACGTGTGATTTAAGCCAGGCCTCAGTTTCCTTGCTCACAGATGTGGATCCCAGGAGCTGCCTCAAATACTTGGAGGCATGAATGGTTCTAAATCACGCATGCCATGCCTGACACATTAACCCCCCATTCTCTTCACTGTGCAGGGTGAAACAACAGACAGCAACCCAGCCTGGGCAGCACATGTCCTGCACCTGGGCTGTGCAGATACTGAGAGCTCCCTCCCTGGAGTGGAAATTCCTGCAGCATGCATGCAGAAAGGAGATGGCCAGGAAGTCCCAGGAAGATGTAGAAAGTAGAAAGGGAGGCAAGAGCGAGGAGTTCTCATTTGGGAGAAAGGCTCACCAGTGAGGCAGGAAGGGACCTTTGGAAACATGTGAGAACCTACGTGCATGGGTCCTCACCAACTTACTCTCAGCAGCGAGGCCTGCCAACAAGAAGGCATAGGCTCACCAGCTGCACACGGCTAATGCTCACCCAGCACCACCCTGCCTGTCCGTGCATCTGCCGTGCACGTCAGAGGTCAACTACACGTCCCAGTGGTACCCATATGGGGACAGTGCTGGTCCCAGAGAACGACACTGATATAAGACCCAGAGACTGGAAATCTGCCACTCCACACTCCTTCCCTCAGAGAAGGTAAGAAATGAGAATTTTATACCCTCTCCAGCTCTGAACATGCCTCCCAGCCATGCCTCTTCTTCACAACTGTGAGATCGCCGCAAACATAATTCAGCACACAGAGCCCGAATCCTTATTTCCAGATAACATGAGCAGAAACATGCAGCTCTCCCTGCGCCGAACCAAGTCCCATTGACTATATCACACCACACCAAATCACACAGACATGGAAAACTCCACCAGGGCCAGCACTCTTCCCTAAGAACTCAACTGCCTGCATGCAACAGTGCTAACTTTCCCTTGAACAATCCGACAGAGCCGCGTGTTGATGGGAACGTCCCCTGACCTTTCAATCAATGTTTATGAATTTGTATCGCAAAGCATCCCGGGAAACTGTGCATGCTAACTGGCCCGAGGATGATCTCGCATCTATTATGAAGCAAATGGCCCATTCCTCAAGGAGGAGTTCTCCCGGGGATACCGTCTGTCTAGCTAGGATTCAATATACATATTTTGTATACCTGTATTTTATATAGATAATTTCTAATCATTTTAATTGTTCAACATTTTTACCCCAGAGCCTCCCTTTTCAGACTTAGAAATTGCTGCAGAAAACCTCATTCTTTTATGCTAGCAGGAATTAAAGGAAACACCCTTGGCCCAAACATGAAAGGAACTTTAATAGGAAACACACTGTAAGGGGCACACACGGGACTCAGGGTGGGAAGGAAGCACGGCGGGATCCCCCTACCCACACCCACACCACACGTGCCACACAGCCATGCTGTGGCTCATCCCAGGGTTCCGCCAATCAGCCAAAGCGCCTCCCTGCCTCACGCCTGCATTTACTAACTTCAGAAGACAGGACTACCAAGTGGAAAGAAGTTGAGGTAGGGAGATGTAGTGGCTCCAAGTGGTGGGGGCACAGCCTCAACAGAAGTTTTTTTTTATGTGTGTGTGTGTGTGTGTGTATGGTGTGTGTGTGTGTGTGTGTATGGTGTGTGTGTGGGGTATGGTGTGTGTGTGTTTGTGGTGTGTACAGTGTGGTGTATGGTATACAGTGTTTGTGTGTGTGGGTATGTATGGTGTATGTGGTGTTTGCATTTGTGTGTGTGGTTTGTGTGTGGTGTATATGATGTGGTATATGGTGTGTGTGGTATGTGATGTGGTATGTTATGGGGTGTGTGTGGTGTGTAGGATGTGGTATGTAGGTTGTGTGGCATGTGGTGTGTTATGTGCTATGTGTCATGCATGTGTATGCTGTGTATGATGTGGTGTGTAGGTTGTGTGGCATGTGGTGTGGTATTTGATGTGTGTGTATGGTGTGTATGATGTATGTAGGATGTATGGCATGTGGTGTGTTATGTGCTGTGTGTCGTGTGTATGATGTGTATGATGTGGTATGTAAGTTGTGTGGCATGTGGTGTATTTGGTGTGTGTGTGGTGTGTATGATGTATGATGTCATATGTAGGATGTGTGTTATGTGGTGTGTTATGCTGTGTGAGTGGTATGTGGGGTGTGTATTATGTGATATGTGTGTGTGGTGTGTGTGTGTGGTGTTCGAAGGTAAGAGTGGTGCTTGCCTCACCTGCCCATGTACTAAAGTTGGAAATATGTGGAGAAGCTCAGCATAGCCACAGCTCTTGCACAAGGAGACGCAAGCTCACGACGGCTCCATATTTTTGTAGAATGCCAACTGATGGGCGCAGACGGAGAAATGAAATTAGAAGATTGCCATCTGACAACCATTGTAATAATACTTGACTCGGGTAAGAATCATCAATGCATGCCCAAACTAGGAGGTGAAAATTTGATGAGTCAAAAGATATGAATATAGTCCGAAAAAATCGCCCCACAATTACTTGTTCATTTCAAAGGAAATAGAGCAACCTACGGTGGGAAAACCTTACAGATGCCACCTTAAACAAGAGATCAAAATGACCATCGCCAGCAGGACACACTGATATCACGTGCCTCTTGATAGGATGCATGGCAAGGACAAAACATCACTTCTCTAGGATTCTGGCCAAAATTCTAATTATGAGGAAACATCAAACAAATCATAGTGATGGGCACTGTACAGAAAACCTGTTCTGTTCTGAAAAATGTAAAGGCCATAACAGGCAAAGAAAGAGGGAAGAAATATTCTAGTTGAAAGGAAATTAAGGAGACAGAGCAACTACACACACTGGAGGCCTGGGTGGATCCCAGACCAAGGTGGCAGTGGTCCACAGTGTGCCAGGGAGCAGGTGAAACTGGAATGTTGATGCCAGGTTAGACGCCGATACTGTGCCAACTGTGAATGTCCTGATTCTGGTCACGGTCCTGTGCCTCTGTAAGAAAATGCTCTTTTTATTGGTAAATACAGAAAGAGAGAAAATAATAAAGTAAGTGGAGCAAAATGTAAACAATTGGTCATCTGAGTAAAGGATATAAACAGGTCATAGTATTTTTGCAACTGTTTTCTAAATTTAAAATTCCACCTAAATAAACAGATACAATACACAGGTGGGAGAGCAGGTAGGCAGATGGTCCAGTCTGTGAGAACCCCTTTCTGCATAAGCACAGCTCCCACCCCTGATGTCATGTCATGGATAAATAAATGCAACATCCTGGAAATTGTTGAGAACCACCAAGGGTCAGCCAGCCCATCATCCCAATCACTGTGATGTCCACACGTCCTAGATGGAACTGATGTGAGAGTTTTGCAAAATCCTGCCTCTTCTGAACCTTGCTTTGGACAGTTTATAAAGCTGCACGATGAACAAAATGCTGGGCAGTGGATGTCCACATCAACTCCTTGCGTTACTGACCCGGTCTCTTCATCTGGTACATCGGGAGGGTCAGCAGAGGCAGTGACACCGCCCTATCTCCTGAGGCCACGTGGTGAGGGGGGGAAGAGGAGGTGAGGAAGGCAGGGCAGGGGGCCCTTTCTTAGGGACCTTATCCTTTCTCTTAGGGACCCTTGCCTGTCAGATTCACCAGCTTCTGCTCTCTCTCTGTCCCTCAAGCAAAAAACTGCCATTGTTATACCGCGAGAGACTTTCTCAAATGCTTCTGACGGGACACAACTAACACAGCAGGCTCTCTGCTGCCTACAAACTAGGGAACACATTTTCTTCCTACAAGGAGGGCTGATAGAAACTTTTCTTCTGCCAGGGTTACAAGAAATGCATTCAGATAACCCAGGAAATAGAAATATGCCCAGCTATGAGAAGCTATAAGTCTGCTCAACAGAAAGCCATAGACCGCTCAAAATACGTAAGCCCTTGGCTGCTGGACTGAGATTCTACCTGCACCCCTGAGGAATTGCTGGAGGTTTCTAAGCAGGGGAGGCGGAGGATTCCTATTTGCTGTGAGTGCCCACTGATCACAGGCTCTGTTTCTTTCCTGTTCCCTTCAAGGTTGGCTCAGTTCTTCTGGGAACCTAAAGGCTTCCCAATAAATACGACTGAATTGCACAGAATTGATTTTTTTTTTTTTTTGAGAAGGAGTCTTGCTCTGTTGCCCAAGCTGGAGTGCAGTGGCGCAGTCTCGGCTCACTGCAAGCTCCACCTCCTGGGTTCACACCATTCTCCTGCCTCAGCCTCCCGAGTAGCTGGGACTACAGGCACCCGCCACCACGCCTGGCTAATTTTTTTGTATTTTTAGTAGAGACGGGGTTTCACTGTGTTAGCCAGGATGGTCTCGATCTCCTGACTTTGTGATCCGCCCGCCTCGGCCTCCCAAAGTGCTGGGATTACAGGCATGAGCCACCGCAAACGGCCCAGAATTGAATTTTGAAAGTAGCCACACAAACTATTTATGGCTCCAGGCTAATATGGAAAAAGCTTAAGGACAGTAATTTAAACAAGGTGAGTAAAAGCCAAGGATTGGATTCAGCTTTTCTTACCAGTTCCACCTGGGGTCCCTGGTGCCCTCAACAACCCACTGAACCTCTGTGCTTCTCAGCTCAACGGACCAGAAGCAGCAAGTCCAGCCTCTGCAGGCGCCTCTATGGGCAATGGTGGTGGTGGTGGTGGTGGCTTTGTATTCCCAAAAAAATATACTTTTTGATACACAAGGGGTCTGTATTTAAAATGAAACATTTTTCAAGGTTTTATTCTTCCTGTTACGGATGGGAATACAAACCCTAGATTTCATAACATACTTCTCAATAGGCATATCCACATATTCAACTAAATGCAAGAGGATTTAAATGTTTCAAGCCAATTAGCAACCGGATCCTAAGCTACACAGAACCTGAACCTTTGTTTGTGGACCAACAGCATCTTAGCTCCTTGGAGCATGTGGCCAGTTGGCTCATTGTGTGAATTTGCAGGTCGGGGGATAGCATTACCACAGCCTAGAGCAGAAACCCCCTCCCCACCAGCAGTGAGGGTCCTCGAAGTGTGAAGACTGGGAAAGATGAAGGCTACTTTGCTGCTCACGACCCAACGAATGGCTCCAGAGACTGAGATCCACACAGCACCCGCTTTTGCCAAGTTCCATGGCCCCATGCCTGGAAGAGTCTGAGGAACTGAGGCTTCCAAGGCTTGCTCATCACATCTTCACAGGCATAGAAATGGAGGAGAAGAAAGGATGTTGTCTTTCTTATAGTATTTACAACAAAACAGTCTGGTCTCACTTGAATTCCTCATAATAAAACATATGGTCTTGAACCCTATGCCAGCATTGGAACCTCTAAAGGTAGACAGGGCTTAGGATGCTCCAAGAACGGTGATTCTCACCTTTGGGGTTTTGACACTTGATAATTGTGCTAGTGAAATCTGCTACTGATAATGATTAAAGTCTCGCTCTGTAACTAATTTATTTAAAAAAATAAACCAGAGAAGATTAAAGTCGATACCTCAGATAACCACATTCTGATTTCCTTGCATTTCACGTCGATTTCATGAGTGGGGTAGAGTTTTGGTGCCTGCGTGAGGACTGCCGTGGGAATGAGCTGTGGATGTTGTGGGTCACGGATGTTGTCAGTCAGTCGTGTGTGTGGAGCAGCAAGGCAGGGTGAGCCTCTGATTAGTGCAAGTCACCTGCTCTGGGACAGGCACTGCCTTTGATACTTTACTTTGTGGTCTCATTTAACACCCAACACAGTATTGTGAGACAATTAGTATTGTCCTCACTTTACTGGGGAGAACGGAGGGGTGTGGTGAGTTGAGCAAAGCCATTAAGTTAGAAAATGATAGAACCAGGACTTGGGTTAAATCTACCTAGTTCTAAAATCCACATTCTTTGCTGACACCTCACTACCTCCATCTGAGGCAGAAATGCCCTCCCTAGCATTGGCAATAATTGGACAGCAGTCTCTATTTGAACGTCTTAAACGAAAGAAAAAAATCACAATTCCTGGAGACTCGCATTCCACGTTTTGAACACTTCTGATGGAAATGTTGGACTTGCATTGAGCTAAAACCTTCTCTTTACATCCCTTCAGTTAATCCAAGTTATGCTGTTGTGAGTCACTCTTGAGAAATCCAATTCTGCTTCTGTGACATAGATTCTGAATTGTCTGAGGACAATTTTGTAGGGTACACAACTTTAGTGTTTTCAACTACTTCTCACTCCATGAGGTCCTGGCTCTGTGACTTCTGGGCTGGACGTGCTCTGAGCCACATCCTTCCAGAGGACAGGGCATGCTCTCCACTGTGCTGCCTGACACTCCAGCCGGAGCCACATGTGGCTCCAGTTCATCTGAAATGTGGCCAGTGCCAGAGCAACTGTTTTAAATTTTCATTAATTTTAATTACATAAAATTTAAATATCCACAGGTGGTTAGAGGCTACCGTATATCAGAGAGCACAGACCCAGACCTCCTCAGGAAAGCACGAGTTTCTCTTAAAAATGTGTCTCCTAGAACTGAGCACAGTGCTCCAGAGATAACTGGTCATCACTGTGCCTCTATTCTACAGACTCCATAGCACTAGCTGCCCAGGGGCCACATCCCCCAGTGACCCATCTCACACTGAGACTCAACTGTAACCTGTAAGACCTTTGCACATCTGCTGCTATCAAGTCCCATACCTCCCATTTTTACTTGACTTCCCCAGGCAGGAACTTCAGGGCTTCCAAACAGGGTTTAGATGAAGGAAGTAACTAGCATAGCTGGGGAGAGTTGCCTGAATTGCATGGACACTGATGAGCAGGGAACGGGGCTCCCGCAAGTCATGGTGTTTGGAAGCCAATAACCCTTGAAGATGGAGTTCACCATACAGCAGTTCTCAGAAAGCCACCAGTGTCTCAGAAGAGAGGGCACAGAACATCTCAGGGAAAACGGCAGGCATCGTGGTTGGTGTTGCCACGTGATGGGCCAGAATGGAATGCAGCTACTGCAGCCCAAGCCCCACTGGGCCAGAAGTGGGGATATTAGGCAGGCAGAGAGCACAGCCCCTCCCAGAGCAAAGCCCTAAAAGATAGTCAAGGACTCTGCTAGGCCAAGTGGATGGTTGTTTCCGTTTCAGCCAATGGTGCTGGGGCAGGTGCTGTGCCACGAGGGGCTTCCCATCACTCCATCACTCCAAAAGTGTGGTCACAAGACTGGCTGAGAGGGTAGATTCCAATGAGGGACATAAGAATCTGTCCTCCATCCCAGCACACCCAGGAAGACAAGAGACACAAGAACCAGGCTCTGCAGCAGGTCTGTGCATTCAGTGAACACCCGATGAAATTTCCAACACTGTGCGAAGTGCATTTTTGGCATTTGTAGAAGGTGGCCCCTGTTCTCAGGATGGGATGTCACTCCAATGACCTTGCATACATATGTGTCTATATGTCTGTATTTAATAATCCCCAAATGCAGTAGCTTTGGATAATAAATACCTGTGAGTTTCTTTGAGTACCACCCCATGTTTACTTGACCACTGGGCTATAAAATTTAACAAATCCTCAGAGAACCATGTCTGGCTAGAAAAGCAAGAACGGGGCAGCAAAGGACCAGAGGACCTTTTAAACTAAGAGCCTTCATTCTCTCCTGGCTTGGATTAGGGACGGACAGAGAGAAACACCAGAGAAGAACAATCACTCACTGTTAAAAAGGCTCTCTAGCTGAGTGTGGCTTTTAGTGAGAAGTGTCCTTCCAAGGTCCCTGGCCTGCGGCTAATTCTCTCCTCTGCTCTTACACTCCATGTTTGCTCCCAGCTACGCTTGCTCTCACTCTCTCCCTCCAACCCATATTCAGTCCTTCTTCAGCTGTAGAGAGCAGACAGAGTAGTCTTTGAAAAGCACAGTTCAGCTCCCATTACTTGCCAATTTAAACTCTTCAGTGCCTTCCTGCTACTCTTATAATGAAGCTAAAATCTGTGCCATACTCTGCAAAGTCCCAAGAGGTTGGTGCTGACACCTGCTCAGCTTCATCTCACACCACTCCTTTCCCTTCCTTGTGTGCCAGCCAAGTGGGCATTCTGTCAGCCCCGTGACACTCCCTCCTGTCCCACAGCCTCATTCGGGCTGTTCCTTTGCATGAACAATGTTCTCTTCTGTTCCAAACTAGTGAGCACCTACTGACACTTTAGCTGTCAGCCTACACATCCCTTTCTTGGGAAAAAAATATGTAACATCACCCTGCACCTCATTCTCAGCAGCCACATCCCACTCATTGGTCTCCCTGAACCACATCATTTCATTTGACAACAGTCCTCAGATGTGTAATGTTATATGTGTGGGTGAGATATTTAACAGATCCCTGGCTTCTTCACTGGGCCCTTAGCAATATACAAGTAGGCTCTACTTTAGGAGGCCAAGGCAGGTGGATCATGAGGTCAGGAGTTCGAGACCATCCTGGCCAACATGGTGAAACCCTGTCTCTACTAAAAATATAAAAATTAGCCGGGCGTGGTGATGGGCCCCTGTAATGCCAGCTACTCAGGAGGCTGAGGCAGGAGAATCGCTTGAATCTGGGAGGCAGAGGTTGCAGTGAGCCGAGATTGTGCCACTGCACTCCAGCCTGGGTGACAGAGCGAGACTCCATCTCAAAAAAAAAAAAAAAAGAGTAAGCTCTGTGGTTGTTTCTGCTCACTGTATATCTGCAGAACTGTGCCTAGCAACTGGTCCATGCTCAGAAACGAGCCCTGAAATGGAACATCGTGTAGGGCAGCAGATGGAACAGAATGAGAAAGGGGTTGTGTCTGAGGGGTTGGTCCAAGTGCCATGTGGATTCACCAGGGCTCACCACAGTGCCCTTCCTGCTGCTGCCACTTTCTTTATGGGTAAAGTCAGTCCTGTGTCAGGGCCAGCACAGCATGAAAGCCAAGGAAAAACACACCTGCAGCCTCTATACCCTGCTCGGCATGCTGTGTTTTCCTCCTTCTTTAGTTACAGTGCTATGGCTCCTGTGTCTAGAAAGTTTCTCCAAGTTGCCTAACCCTGCTCACCCAGGGTCTCTGAATTTCTGATGAGCTATGCCCTTCTCATATTTGTATTCATTCATCTTGACCTGACTCAGATCCATTGGATTCCAAGATCTTTGGGAGAAATAATCATAGAGAATTTATGTCTCTATCTCTAAATAACCAGGACAATGCAATGTTTTCTTAACACCTTCATCAAAGGTCTATATTTTGATTTGGCTTAGAAATAAATGCTGGCTGGGTGCGGTGGCTCACGCCTGTAATCTCAGCACTTTGGGAGGCCAAGGCAGGCAGATCACGAGGTCAGGAGTTCAAGACGAGCCTGGCCAACATGGTGAAACCCTGTCTTGCTAAATATACGAAAAATTAGCCAGGCATGATGGTGAGCGCCTGTTATCCCAGCTACTTGGGAGGCTGAGGCAGAAGAACCGCTTGAACCTGGAAGGCAGAGGTTGCAGTGAGCCAAGATCGTGCCATTGCATTCCAGCCTGGGTGACAGTATGAGACTCCATCTCAAAAAATAAATAAATAAAAATAAAAAATAAGTACTAAGCATACTAGGAAAGTTAAAGTTGCAATAGAAAGCCATGGCTTCTTTTTTAACTCTCAGTTTTTTATGACATAATTTCAGGGTCAGTTTCTCAATTCCCTTCTGCCTTAACTTCTGGGACTCGACATAAACAACATCACAGTTCCAGAAAACAAGGAGTACAACAAAGAACTTACTGTGTTCGTTCAGCAAACTTTAAAAACTTACTTATTAGGTATCACATATTTTCTGAAAATAATAGACATTAAAAAGAGGTATAAAATGCTTACTGTCTAGTTGGCGAGATGCATTAATGACTCATCACTATTTAAGAGATGTCAGAAGACAGTGAACGGTAAAGGCCAATTGAGTACAAGAGGCAAGAGAGTTTTCAGTTCAGATGAGGTAGATATTACTGCAGAATGTCCGGAAAAGCTTGAGAGTGGCGATGGGATATTCTTTGGGATGGAAAAGAAGTTGAGAATTGGATAAAATGAAAGATAAAAGGACATTCCAGATGGAGAAACTATATCAGCCCAGTGTGTAGGCTAAGTCAGTAACTGCTAAATGCCTGTCCACGGATTGCTGGTCTTTAAAGAAGCTCTTTTTTTTTCTTTATTCTTTCCCTTTCTTACTCTAGGGATAATGAAGCTCTTCTGAATTTGTGGTAAATTAAAACAAAAGAAAAAGAGATACAACAAGGTTTTATAAAGGCACCTGTTTTTTTTTTTTTTTTTTTTTTGAGACGGAGTCTCGCTCTGTCGCCCAGGCTGGAGTGCAGTGGTGCGATCTCAGCTCACTGCAAGCTCTGCCTCCCGGGTTCACACCATTCTCCTGCCTCAGCCTCCCAAGTAGCTGGGACTCCAGGCGCCCACCACCATGCCCGGCTAATTTTTTTGTATTTTTAGTAGAGATGGGGTTTCACCATGTTAGCCAGGATGGTCTCGATCTCCTGACCTCATGATCCTCCCGCCTCGGCCTCCCAAAGTGCTGGGATTACAGGCGTGAGCCAACGCACCCAAGGCATCTTTTTAAAATTAAGGAGCCATGATATTTGTTCTGAAAATGTTTTTCCCACTTTTTGATGTTAAAATGTCCTTCTGCTTTTGAAATTACGGTGATAGAAATGGCAGTTGGTATTTTTTTCAAGCTAGATCATCAATTTGTTGTTAGGTTAGATCGCCTCTCTCCATGTACCATTAAAACAGAAATGCTGGCATCTACACACTACCAGGGGACCTACCTGCAGCCAGGGAGTATGTGCTTGCAGGATGAGGCTGGAAAGGCGGCTTGGTTCCGCTCATGAACATTTAGACCAAGGCTTCCCTTCTCATGCTAGAATTATAGAAATGCTTTTGAGAAAAATGTGACATGATGAAAATGGAGTTTGGGGGACACACGCAGTCTCCTTAGAAAATATCACTTGCAGATAAATCTTGAGAACCCTTGTAAGTCTATTTGTTCTTTTCAATGTTATTTTTACCATTTTCCTCCTGCTAAACTGAAACCAGCATCCCTCTTCATTCTTCTCAATGGGCAGAACCCAAGCTCTGACTCCTTTGGCACCCTCTGGTGCTTCAGAAAGCCCTGAGCTTTGTTCTGAGGCATGAGTTAAAATCTCTCCTCCAGTATGTTTTCTAGCTGAATGACAAATTCAGTTTCTCCAACTTCAAACCAGAGAGACTTAGATGGTAGACTCTGCACAGAAAAGCATATTTAAACTCCCAAGCATCTTATGAGTTATACTAGGCTTCTTGGGACCCCTCAGAACACTGCTCCATCTCAATTCTAGCCCCCAAGGTTTAGGTGAACCTCATGATTCATAAGGCAGCTGTTCTCCCATTTCCCACACTTCCTCTCAATACCTGTGATTCAGGAAGAACATGGAAATATCCATGCCTGTCTTAATGCATGAAGCTAACTGCACCAAGAGATTGGAGCCTGTCCCAGGAACAGGCTGGAGGCACTGCATGGAACCTGGGATTGGCCGTTCCCTCCTCAGGGCTCTCATAGGAAGATGCCTTGGGCATGCATGGCTGGTGAGAAAACATGAGATCCCTGTTCTCTGCTTTTTCCTTTATTTGAAACAGCTGAAGCTAAGTCCCTAGAGCTGTCCCCATACCCATCTATACCTAGACCTCAGTCATGCTGAAGAGAAGTGGTGCTCAGCATTTTGAGCTGTGGCTTAGGGTATTAAAAAATAAAAGGAAGAGAAGGGAAGAGGGCATGATGGAGGCTTGGGTGACCAGGAACCAGAGACTCAGAGGTGGGTAGGGAGGATGGCAACGCTATTCTCCTTCAGAACTTCCATGTATATAGGCCTCTTTCACTTCCTGGTACCTGAAGAGAGATAAATAAGAGGAGGAAAGACACTGGGTATTCTGCACAGAGTCTGCCAACCTGAGTGGCTGGGATATTTCTTCTGCAAGGAGGGCTTCCATGGGCTTCTGCAAGGAGGGCTTCCTCATCCCTTAGAACAGGTAGTCAAAATCAGGTCCATGTAGCAGCCCAGTGCACTGCAAAGAAGCACAACAACTAACCGACTCCTCACTAATCCAACTAGTCAGTTAAACGATAGGCACAGGCCAGGCACGGTGGCTCACGCCTGTAATCCCAGCACTTTGGGAGGTCGAGGTGGGCGGATCACGAGGTCAGGAGATCGAGACCATCCTGGCTAACACAGCGAAACCCCGTCTCTACTAAAAAATACAAAAAATTAGCCGGGCATGGTGGCGGGCGCCTGCAGTCCCAGCTACTTGGGAGGCTGAGGCAGGAGAATGGTGTGAACCCAGAAGACAGAGCTTGCAGTGAGCTGAGATCACACCACTGCACTCCAGCCTGGGTGACAGAGTGAGACTCCATCTCAAAAAAAAAAAAAAAAAAAAGAAAAAGAAAAGATAGGCACACACAGCACCATCCTTCACAGGGCTCTGTCCTTTAATACTCCTCAAGGTTTGTGGAGGCTGACTTTCATTAAGGGAGTTCTAGGTGGCAGCAGGACCAGCATTAGCAAACTTGATTCTATCAGCCTTGAAATGCAAACTGAGCCATTATGCTGCCTCTGACAGTGGAGGAAGGGGTGAGGGTCCACAGGCGGTGGTTACCTAAGAAAGGAATGGCAACTAATGCTTAGTGGGCCCCTTCTGTGAGCCAGGACTTTCTGTACTTCATGTCGTTTAATGGAACTGGGGGTGTTCTTTCCATTCCTGAAATGATTGTGTTGTTGAAATTAGGTGACTTCTTGCTACTCCTCACTGCAATAACTGGGATTTGACTCTCAGCAGTATTACTCCAAAAGCCACGCTTTCCTCTCCATCCTCTCCATAAGTTCAGTGTTTGACCCTGGATCAATTTTCCAGCTTTCCCTGGATTTCGTTTTCTCCTCTATAAATTAGGATGTATGGAGAATAACAAAACAACCCCTATGATACAATGGCTCTGAAGATGAATGTAGAAGAGATATAAAAGGACTTCTGCAGAGTTCTACAACTCAGGCAGGTGAAAGTATATATTAAATAAGGTTTATTCATTCATTTATTCAGCCATGGTCGAGGGCCAAATGCTATGTGACTCTCTAGGGGGACTGGCTCCAACCCTTGAGCACCATCTCCCGTAGACGATGGAACCCGCTGCCCCTGTGCTGCTGTGTTCACATGCAGAGTAAGGTTCTAAGAGGGTTGAAGTCCTCCAAGCAGACCACACAGTCCAAGGCAGTCTCTGATGTTTTGAAGAGAAAGGTCACTCAAGTTGATTTCTAATATGAATCAGTAGGGAGACGTCCCCAAGAAAGAGGTGGCTCCAGAAAGTCTTCAGTAATGACCTTAAAGTAAACATCCATTTTCCGTCACATACACTCAGTTGCCACAGGATCCATAACATACAACCTTATTTGCTAACGTCAAGAGCTGTCCCTTTCTATAACAAACTAGAACTGCAGAAAGACACGTTCCCTTTTACAATTAGCACTTGGCATTGAAACACACTTTCTGGAGGTTTTGACATGTCTCTAAATGGCAACTCTAGCAGATATGTTTCTCCCCAGGTAGTAACAAGCTATTACCACGCTCTTGACGTCCCTTGATTTTCTCTCCTACCCACATGAATCCCACCACGGATCATGAACCAAGGCCCGCCTTTCCTAGAAGCCTTCATTGCCCAGCCTACTCCATGCCACAGTGACCGCTCCCTCCTCCAGCTTCTAATGGCACAGGTGGTGGGGAGGGAGCAGAGGAAAGGGTGACTACATGTCCTCATTTTGCTAGGAGCATTCTGGTAGTGTATGTCTGTTGTTTTAGCATCATTAATAGCACATCTACTCTCAAAAGTACGCTAATAGGATGATGTTATGTGGTTTTCCATGGCACAGTGAATCCACCCTGGAGGCATCAGAGTCTAAGGTGTTGAAAGGCTTGGCCCTTTCTACATTCCTGTGCACTGATCACAGTGCATAGGAAAGAGAGGCACAATGCTTCAAACTGCTACCAAGCACACTCATCCCCCACAGAGGGCCTCACTACAGGGCCTTTGCTACTCCATCCTGCTCTCTGCCCCAGCATACTGGCTCATTTGGACTAACCACAGCTGATCAGGGGCTAGGTCATGCTAAGTGGCTCAAGCCTCCATCAACACCCTCTTCCCTTGTCTTTCTATTTTTTAATACCCTAAGCCATAGCTCAAAATTCTGACAACTGCTTATTTGCAAAATTTCCAAGATCTAGGTATAGATGGATGTAGAAACATCTCAAGGGATTTAGCTTCAGCTGTTTTACATACAGAGAGCAGAAGGTAATACACATCTCATGTTTTCTCAGCATCCAGGCACACCCAAGGCATCATCTTCCCATTAGAGCCCTCATGAGGGGATGGCCAATCCCAGGTTCCATGCAGACCTCCTAGCCTGTTCCTCGAACTGGCTTCGACCTACCAGCCAGTTAGCTTCATCCATCAAGACGGGCATGGATATTTCCACTGCATGTTTCAATCACAGGTATTGAGAAGACATGCAGGAAATGGGAAAAGATCTGCCTTATACTTTGTGAGGTTTACCTTGTGTTCCATGAAAGGGGAACTTACAGACGGAGGTATGACCTTGGGTGGCACCAAGACAGGTAGATCTCTGCACTCTTACTCCCAGACCCAAGGCTTATCTACCATAGGGAAAAGCATATGTGCTCCAGCAAGCAATTAAAGGCAATCCTCTAGCACAGGCAGGAATGGTATATGTGTCATAGCCTGTAATTTGTGCAATAACATCAAGGTCGCTTTGGTCTAAGGGCAGGATCCATGGTGAGTTAAACATTCTTACATAAGAGAAGTAAATAAAGTAGAATTCTTGGAGGTATTCCCAGGACTGGGGTTAATCAGAAGTCAACATGGTGGATTGAAGTCCGAGATGTCACTGTCAACTCCACACCTTGATCTTGGATGCTGATTAAGTAGGAACCTGGGAGCAGGATTAGAGTCAACGGCCAATCTTCTCCCAAGCTCCTACTTCACTTAGGCCAAGGGATGCACTGGCAGTAAATGAGGTAGGATCAGAGTATTCACAGCCCACTTCCCACTGTGGGTCCTCTTGACTTCCCTTGTACTCCTTCTCCATGCAAAGTGTTATGAAAAGTGACCTTTTTCATAACATGTTCCACTTCCGGCTTCTGATGACAGCTCCTGCACATCCCCCAGCCTGCGCTATCTCGTGTGGCTTCCCAGCCCACAAGTTTCAAATTGTATTTGGTGCCTTTCTTAAACTTCCTTCAAGTCTTCTTATTTGGGATCCCCTTCTGTTTCTCCAGGTCCCTGACTGACACACTATATCACAGACCAGGTCCATTCTCCAGGTCTTGTGTTTGCAACACAAATTCTAAGTCCCAGAGACCAACTGTGCCATCGTGCAGTTGTAAATACTAGAGCAGAGCGGGGCAAGAATAGGTAGCGCAGGTGGGCCAGGAACATCGAAGGGTCCATCTGGGCATCAGGGATCCTGCAGAGGAGCAAAGTCCAGACTCTGA
The DNA here is from genome assembly GCF_000001405.40 of Homo sapiens. Taxonomy (NCBI): domain Eukaryota; kingdom Metazoa; phylum Chordata; class Mammalia; order Primates; family Hominidae; genus Homo; species Homo sapiens. Next base: position 154,079,726 of record NC_000007.14, on the reverse strand, counting down.
TTGTCAGAGCAGTCTTCCACGGTCACCTGTCTCCTAACCCCAGCCCAATTTCATTTTCCAGCCTCTGCCCACAACACTTCCCCAGCACACCCTCCCAACCCTGGCCCACCAGTCTGTTTTCCACCTCAAAGGGGCCGTGCTTGTTCCTTTCACCCGTTATCCCCCATCTCTAGGTCCCCAGAATCACTCACTCTAGAATCCTTCCAGTGAAAACTGCAGGCTCCACCTTGCCTCTCGTTTGACCATTCTTGGGTTTTCGGGGTGAGTCTCTTCCCTTCAATAGCTCCCACCCTTCATTTGCGCAGTACGCAGTACTTAACTTTTCTCCACAGGTTCCAAAGGCTGATTTCTTGCAAGCAAAGGCCACCTGATGTGTCTTTTTTTACAAATCTCTGCTGAACAGGTAACAGGTGCCCAATAAAACTTTGTGAGTTGGCAGTCTAAGGGCATCTACCCTCAAAACAGCTAACGTAGCATTTTATGGGAGTGGAAACGGAGTTGTGTGGAAAGACGACCAGGCACTTTCGTTTTTGAGATGGAGTCTAGCTCTGTCCCCCAGGATGGAGTACAGTGGTGCGATCTCAGCTCACTGTGGGCATGCACCACAAAGCCTGGCTAATTTTTGTATTTTTAGTAGAGACAGGGTTTCACCATGTTGGCCAGGATGGTCTCCATCTCCTGACCGCGTGATACACCCACCTCGGCCTCCCAAAGTGCTAGGATTACAGGCGTGAGCCACCACACCCGGCCCAGGTATTTTTTTTTTTTTTTTTTTTTTTTGGAAAAGAATGTATTTTCACTTCCTTTGAGATACCCTCAATGTTTTGAATTTAAAAAAATTTAAAAAATCTACAATCATTTTGGAAGGAAAATAAAATAGGGTTTGTTTTATAAATCATTTTGGATGAATTTGTTTCTCCAAAATTAAAGTCTAAAACCAGGTGGCTTTCCTTGATTCCAATGCTTTTCATGTTCTTTCGTGTGTCAAGCGAAAACACAGTTGCTATGGCAACCACTCATTATTTTTCAGGAGTTGGCTAGATATTTTAACAACAACAAAAAAAATCCCCAAATCTTTCTAGCCTCCAAATAGTCTTAATTTATATCCTACAGTGGTTTCTAATTTTCATATTTCCTTCACTAAGTGCTTTGTTGAGCTCTAACAAGCCTAACCAACCCACAACTTTGTCACTAAATGAGCTTGGGAATAACTCAGTTGCTGGCTCTCTCCCCATATTGCTCGTATCTAAGACACTTTCAAGATTTTCTGACATTTTGGAATCTTGCTTCATCTTCAAGGTGAAAGATATATGTGAGTCTAGCAATGCCTTAAAATGGTGTGTGTGTGTGTGTGTGTGTGTGTGTGTGTGTGTGTACATATGCACTGAAGTTTGAAAGTCGTAATATAAATTGAGAAAACAAATATTCTTTAAACATTCTATATTAAGCCCCTTTTCTGTGCTTTTTTCAGAATCTCATTGTGGTGCTAAAATTTCTGAAGGATTCAATGAAAGCAGATGACAACACAACTACCTTCAGCACACTTAATGTCTGCTTGGAAAAAGCAAATCAAAACATGAAAGAGATGATATATAAAATACAGTCCTGAATGCATTCACATGTAATTTACAGAGAGTTGAGATCATGAAGGAAGGAAGTAGACACACTGTCGGAAATATCTAAGTTTACAGAGGATACTTGTACAGCCAGGGTTTTGTGAAAGAAATAATAACAGAAAAATTATATCTATAATCTATTGGCCGGGAGCAGTAGCTCATGCCTGTAATCCCGACACTTTGGGAGGCCGAGGAGGGCAGATCATGAGGTCAAGAGATCGAGACCATCCTGGCCAACAAGGTGAAACCCCATCTCTACTAAAAATACAAAAATTAGCTGGGCATGGTGATGCGTGCCTGTAGTCTCAGCTACTCGAGAGGCTGAGGCAGGAGAATTGCTTGAACCCGGGAGGCGGAGGTTGCAGTGAGCTCAGATCACACCACTGCACTCTAGCCTGGTGACAGAGTGAGACTCTGTCTCAAAAAAAAAAAAATAATAATAATAATAAATAAAATCTATAATCTATTTAAGGTTCTCAACAGGGCCATTCTACCTCCTAGGAAGCATTTTTGAAATGAGGAGAGTTTTTCAGTTGTCACAATGAATCCTAGACTTCACTGGCATTTGGGGTAGAGGCCAGGGGGCTGGACACCCTGCAATGGGTAGAGATCCTGCACGGTGAGAAGTGTAGGTGCCCCACATCCCAGTTTTCAACAGACTCGTTGGAATAAATCCACAGAACTATAAATAAGGAGTACTTCAGTACATAATGATACTGAAAGTTTTTATGGGATGAAAAATAAAGGGTCCAGGGATTCAGGACAAGCTCGTTGCAGAGGTGGACGCTGGCTTCTTCATTCTACACATTGTGTCTATTATTGAATATGGTGTCTATGGAGTACTGTGTCTAGTGAGTATTTTATAACCCATCCAACTACAAAGTTAATTGGCTTTAGTACAGAGTTACAATCACTACACAAACAGTGCAACAATGCAAAGGCATTTTAAATCACCTTAGTCAAATAGGAACATTCTTAGAAGCAAACATTATTTTTAGTGCAAACACATGAAACATAGAGGTCTTAATAAAGTTTATCAAAAGTATTGTTTTAAAACATTTTATAGTGTTTCCTATATGCTTCACAATTATAGCACCAGAACAAGAAATCTACATGGTAAACTTTAAGTATTGAAATTATTTCCTGGAGGGAGGAATCTGTGGTTTTTCGGTCCTTTTCTGACACTGCCCCCAGGATCTTATCATACAACTTCTCTAGAGACCTATTTCGGTTTCTGTTTCAAAGCGCTGTATTCCTCATTAAGTATCAGAGGTTACAGTTTACAAGGCATTTATTAAGCATTGGAGACTGAGGGTACACCTTGTCAGGTGGTAGGATCCCAGGGACACTTCATGCCCTCATCATCCATGTCATAATTTGTTTCACGCCATGCTTAAAAAGAAGAAGCCACACCTGGCTATCAGTGGAGAATCTCACACATTTTCTCCTCTCAATCTGTGATCCACCTTGGTACGCATCCTGTATTTCAAATGGAGTGTGTCCCCATTTTCTTTTCATTTTCAAAATAAAACTAATCTATTATTACTTAATCTCAGGCTTTATTCTAAGGTTCTTCTGTATTATCTGCTCTTCCCTTTTCCTATATTTTTTATATGGAACTATTTCTGGTCTGCTTTTTAAAAATTTATTATTTATTTTTGTTATGGAGTTTTGCCCTCGTCACCCAGGCTGGAGTGCATTGCCACAATCTCGGCTCACTGCAACCTCCGCCTCCCAGGTTCAAGAGATTCTCCTGCCTCAGCCTCCCGAGTAGCTGGGATTACAGGCACCCGCCACTGTGCATGGCTAATTTTTGTATTTTTAGTAGGGACAGGGGTTCACCGTTTTGGCGAGGCTGGTCTTGAACTCCTGACCTCAGGCGATCCACCTGCCTTGGCCTCCCAAAGCGCTGGGATTATAGGTGTGAGGCACTGCGCCCAGCCTTTTTTTTAAAAAAAAATATTTTAAACCCAGTTTTACTCTTTACACATAGGAAGAAGCTTCTGACTTCATCACAGATGTCAGTGCCCTAGCTGCAGACCACCTGGCAAGCAGGACCTGAGCAGTGACACGCTGAAGGACAGATAACTGGATTATAAGTTCATTCCTTTATTTAGCCTATATATTGAAACTTTTAAAGTGGTATATGCATATACATTTTATCACCTATGAATTTAATTTAAATTAGGAAAGGAGCATTAAAATAATTTGCCAAAATAAGGAGGTGTAGGTTCTGGTACAGTTGAGAGTTATTGTCTATTTCAACACATGTATCTCTTTTTTAAAAATTTATTTTATGTTTATTTCAATAGTTTTTGAGGAACAGGTGGTTTGGGGTTACATGGGTAAGTTCTTTAGTGGTGATTTCTGAGGTGTCGGTTCACCCATCACCTGTGCAGTATACACTGTACCCCATGTGTAATCTTTTATCCTTCATCCCCCTCCCAGCCTTCCCCCCGAGTCCCCAAAGTCCATTATATCATTCTTATGCCTTTGCACCCTCATAGCTGAGCTCCCACTTAAAAGCGAGAACATACGATACTTGGTTTTCCATTCTTGAGTTACTTCACTTAGAATAATGGTCTCCAACTCTGTCCAGGTTGCTGTGAATGCCATTATTTCATTCATTTCTTATGGCTGAGTAGTATTCCATGGTGTATATATACCACATTTTCTTTCTCTACTCCTTGGTTGATGAACATTTAGGCTGGTTCCATATTTTTGCAATTGTGAGTTGTACTGCTATAGGCGTGCGTGCAAGTGTCTTTTTCATATAATGACTTATCTTCTGCTGGGTAGATAGATACACAGTAGTGGGGTGGCTGGATCAAATGGTAGATCTACTTTTAGTTCTTTAAGGAATCTCCACACTGTTTTCCATAGTGGTTATACTAGTTTACATTCCTACAAGCAGTGTAGAAGTGCTCCCTTTTCACCATATCCATGCCAACATCTATTATTTTTTGATTTTTTAATTATGGCCATTTGTGCAGGAGGAAGGTGGTATTGCATTGTGGTTTTAATTTGCATTTCCCTGATCATTACTGAGGTTGAGCATTTTTTCATATGTTTGTTGGCCATTTGTATACCTTCTTTTTAAAATTTTCTATTCATGTCCTTAGCCCACTTTTTGATGGGATTATTTGTTTTTTTCTTGCTGATTTGTTTGAGTTCCTTGTACATTCTGGATAGTAGTACTGTGTCAGATACATAGTTTGCAAATATTTTCTCCCGCTTTGACAACACATGCATCTCTTGATTTCCATTTCTTTTCAAGAAAATAGTGACTTGCTTATGAAAGGCATATACCAATCATAAACTGAGCTGGAACTCTCAGCGGGGTCTTTATCCTCCCTGCCCTGGTTCTTGACACTCCCCTCCCTGCTGTGGCTATAAAGCTTCACACCCAGGGAGTAGCCGGTGTGTCTCTTATGCCAATTCCTCTTATGTGACTCTTTCAGCAATTTAACCTTTCTTTTTCTATTTTCTTAAAGCATTAAATGGAGACCTATAAACGTTACTTCATGGACAGCTGCAAAGATTAAATGAATTTATATTGGAAAGTTGTTTAAAACAGCCCAGCTGGTAACAAGAACTGTGTAAATATGACCAATTGTTTCTGTTTGGTCCACTGATTTACTTATTCTGTCTCTGCATCCATGTGGGGTATAGTCATCAGAATTACTAAGACTTTATAATAAGTTGCCATCTAGTTAGACAGAAATGTTCCTCTTCATGATTGTCTTGGTTAGTCTTGGTGTTTTAATGCTTTCATAATATTTGCTCCTACCTATTTTACTAATTAATATATGCAGAAACTCACAACTCACACAGTACAGATCACATAAAATATCATCTTCATCCTTCCCACCCTATTTCCCCGAAGGTTATGACATGCACCTGTTGAGTATATATGTTCTCCAGGTCTCTTTCTCTCTATATATAGCTACATATCTATATACATATATAGAGAGATATATATAGATATCTATATATATCTCTCTATCTCTATATAGATCTCTATATATCTCTCTCTATATGTATATATGGAGATATATAGATAGATACTTACATACATACATACATACATACATACATACATACATACATAGATATATATTTTAGAGACAGAGTTTCACTCTTGTTGCCCAGGCTGGAGTGCAGTGGCACAATCTCAGCTCACTGCAACCTCCTCCTCCCAGGTTCAAGCAATTCTCCTGCCTCAGCCTCCCGAGTAGCTGGGATTACAGGCACCCATCACTAGACCCAGCTAATTTTTTGTATTTTTAGTAGAGATGGGGTTTCATATTTATTTAAAAATAACTTACTTTCAAATACATTAAGTAACAGCAAGTTTTTCCAGACAGGAATACCAATTTCTCCTTAGGATCTTTAATGCCAAGGATGTAAAACTAATGGATGTGGGGAGATTTTTAGCTAAGAAATGAAAGGTTTTATTCTGGATCTTGGCCTTTACACATTGCAATTATTTTGCTGAAGTTCATTCATGTATTAATCGCGATGAGTACTGAGACCCTATCTTGTGTAAAGGTAAGTATAGAAAAGTACTCGTCCTTGAGTCTTCTGGGCTGGTGGGCACGGCCGACACTTAAGTGAATAACTGATGTATAAAACACTAAGTGTGATCACAGATATAGGTCCAGGGGCTGCGGAACAGGAGCCAGAGCCACGGAGAGGAGCAAAGGAGACGACAGGAGGAAGCGCAGGCTTGGAAAATCCTTGGTAGAGAGCACAGATTTAGAGAAGAAGGCGGACCAGGAGTTCCCCCACTAAAGGGCATCCTAAACAGAAGGAAGGAGACAAAGGCAGACAGAGGACCATGGAAGGCCATGACGGTGCCTGAAAGCAGCCACAATCCCAGCGTCACAGACCAGAGTCAGGGCTGTCAGAGAGGCCGCCCAGGGCACGAAGGAACATGCTCGCTGCACAGAGCGACTTTACATTTAAATTCTTTCTTTTGGGCAATTAAGGGACCACAGAGGACATGAGGCTGAGGTGCAGCTACTCCAGGGTCTCTGCACCTGCAGATATTGGCCCGAGATGGCAGCAAAACGGGGAGCAGGAGGACTCACAGGAGGGTGGATGAACCCTGGATTCTGCTAAGTCACAGTCGTCATGTCTCACAGTTGCTGGCAGGAACTGCGTGAGCGTGTGGGTCCCCCGGCTCTCTCTGTGCCAGACAACCATACCCGTGGGAAGAGCCATCACTTACCACTCTGCAAACCACATTAAGTGAGGGCCTGTGGCTTCCGACAGTTGCTTTCCTTCATGTTGCTCTGATGGAACCACCAGGGACATCAAGCCCAAGCCCTTGGGCTCATTAGCATGGTGCTGGGACAAGTCCCCCAAACAAACGGGCACAGGTTCCAGGCTATTTTTATTTCCATCTGACTCAGCACAGCCTAATAACCCTTGGTGTGCAATGAAAAACACCACACTTGCGTGCAAGAGCCTATTGACGTCCCGTAATATCAGGGTAGGCAGCTACCTGCTCTCTGCCAGTGCTTACTGTTGGGCTGGAAGAATGATACTGGAAACAGTGAGCCAACTCTGTGATGTAAGCCTCTCAGCAGGGAGATCTGTGCAATTCATGCATTACAAATGCACAATCAGGGAGCTTTCTCATGACAAAAAGGAATCAAATCCTGTCTATTATTGAGAAGTCCTCCTTTAGGTGAGCAGCAAAGCGCAGGCAGCTTTGCAAAGCAGCAGCATGCTGTTAGCAAGGTCTGGAAGGTCACACCTCTGGATAGGATGTTTATCATGATACAAACATATAAACTAACACCATGGATAAGCAATTGATTCTTCAAAGAAGAGCCTTTCTCATGAAAATCCTGAAATAATATATGGAGTTTAGGGGGAATGAACAGAACTGCAAGCGGATATAAGCTCTTCCATCTTGCCAGTTTTCCCTTATGTAATAATTTCCTTCTATTGACATAAGGAATAATGTTTCATAGCCTACTGCTTTTCCTCCCCAAGCCGCACTGCACTTTTGCAATGCCAGGAAACTCTAATCAGTACACTCTGCCCTCTGGTGTCCACACTCAAAAAGCACATCACCCTGTTTTTTTCCCTCCAACATTAGCATGTGTACCAGGCACGTGGATGAAAATGATTAGCTACTAGGGGGATTGTATTTGTTTGCTTAAAACTGTTGATTTTTCTGTTTTCAAGGGATCGAGATTTTAGACTAATTTAGCTGCATTTTTCCCTTGTATCACAGAGGGAAGTTGAAGAAAGAAGAAAGCCCCCTCTCTTTTCCCCAGCAGTAAGACAACGGTGTCCTCTTTTACTCTCATTTGAAGACATCCTAGAACATAACTTATGTGAAGGCTTAGTATAAAATACGGGCACAAACAGGATCCAACATAATAAAATGTTTTTAGCGGAGAAAAATGATATCTGGCATTTGTTTCAAATCATAGTGGTAGTGAAATGGATGAAACGAGATTGCCGAAGCCTTGATAATTATACAGCTGGGTCATGGGTACAACTGGCTTATCGCCTAATTCCCTCCACTTTTCCGTATGTTTGGAAATTTCCAGGAATCAAGTTTTTCCCCATCTTAGTCTGATGCAGACTGAGCTACTATGTCTGAAGGATAAAGATGTGACATTCTAACATGTGAACCAGGGCAGTGGAAGGAATACGGCTTTAGAAATCAGAAACACGTGAATTCTCACCCCGCTTCGAACTCTTGCTGACTGCAAGGCCTTCGGAGGGTCACTCCATCTCTCTTCATCTAAGCTAGTTTCCATATTTGTAAAATGAGAATAATGAAACCTCCCACACAAGGTTATTCCAGGGATAAAGAAAGAGAAAATGCCTGGCACACAGAAGGCAAATGACGTAGCTTCCCTTTCTCCTTTTTCCAGCAGCCCTCAGATAAATAAATCCCAATGGTCAAAAAAATACAACCAGTATGAATAACTCATTAGGAATAACCCTGGCAAACCCTGATTGAGACGTTTTGTTTGCTCTATTTCAGTCTTTCATGGTGAAATTCATCATAACATCATTCCACCTTTATCAGCAAAAAACAAATAAAATAGCATGCATGCACATACATGATAAGCTACTATTTCATACTATATGTTGTCTTGATTGGTTTTATATTCAAGCGTTCCTGCTCAATAACACTGATGTATCTCAGGCCTCTATTATTTCAAAGAGGATGGATTAAAGGCAATATGAAAGAACAGCTATTCATGCCATACTATCTTTATATAATACAGTTCATCTGGCAATTTCCAGAGTTTGGCCCATGGGTAATTCACTTATTGGGAATGGTTTGAGTGAACACTACAAATACAGTTTCCCATACCTTCAATTAACCAAATGATGTGAAGAATTATCTGTGCTAATTTAAATTTTCTGTTAAACTAAGCATTAAACAGAGGGCCGTCTTTGTTTACAGTGGATTTTAATGAAGGAAACTGACTTAGCTATTTTCCTTAAGAATTTTGCATGACCTCATTAATTAATTATGTCATTCAGGAAAAAAAAATCTTAGAGAAGCAAATATAGAAGCTGATGGAAAATTTGACAGCATGTATATTAGAGGCAAGCCTTTTGCCTATTAGCATGTCATCTAACTGATCACATAAAACACTTAAAATTTGTCAGGACCTTTTAAAAATGAACAAAAATGTCATAAAATAATAGATGCATCACAACTATCTTCTGAGAAATAAATGCATTTATTTGTCTCACTTTTTAAAGGAGAAAATCAAACCGAGGCTTAAGGTTTTCTTCCATATAATTAATTTGTGACCGAGCCAGGATTCAGAGCCAGGTGGTCTGACTGCCTAAGAAGCTCTTTCTGCCACTCACACCCTGCCAATCTCTGTACACAGTGAACGACACAGTCCACAATTACCTGATACCTCGGTATGGAGCTCTAGGGAAACTTTCTTCTCTTTTGCTGCCTTACCTAAATTCCTGATAGTACACAGTGAACGGCACAGTCCACAATTACCTGATACCTCGGTGTGGGGATCATTGCATATGAGAAACTGTTGTGTTTTGTTTTGAGACGGAGTCTCGCTCTATTGCCCAGACTGGAGTGCAGTGGCACAATCTCGGCTCACTGCAAACTCCGCCTCCCGGGTTCACGCCATTCTCCTGCCTCAGCCTCCCGAGTAGCTGGGACTACAGGCGCCCACCATCACACCCGGCTAATTTTTCGCATTTTTAGTAGAGACGGGGTTTCACTGTGTTAGCCAAGATGGCCTGAAATCTCCTAACCTCGTGATCCGCCCGCCTCGGCCTCCCAAAGTGCTGGGATTAGGGACGTGAGCCACTGCGCACGGCCCCATAGTTCTTTTTTTAAGTTGTCCAAATAATTGGGCATTTTGCAAAGCTACCTTTAAGAAGATGCCACTTGAAGGAGGAATAAACACTGACTTGATTAATTCATCTAACTCTATCAGACACAGGAACACTGATTTGTTATTAAATGAAGTATCATCAAAAGAAGATAAATAACCAATGGTCCATGACAACCTAGCTCTCAGTCAGGTTTAAATTTTTGAAAAAACAAAATACTGTGCTTAATTCCAAATAAGAATAAAAAATATAAATAATGGGCCAAAGACTTTTAAAACTATAATTTGAACATTCTCAAAAATTATACTTTATTTTCAGACTCTGGAGTCCACAGTTTAACTCTTGAAAAGTAGTCACTAGAGCATGCTTGTATCAAAACATCTTATGTACCCCATAAATATATACTAGGTGCCCAAAAAATAAAAAAATTAAAAACTTTAATAAAAAGAAAAATAGCCACCAGAAAACACTCTTCATTGAATTAGTCCTCTTAATTGATTTTTTGACTTCTATATTTTATTTCTAAGTCGATATGTTTTAAAAATAATGATTATGCAGGCTTTCCATTCAGAATATGGAAATCATCTGGAATTTGGTTTTAGGGGACTCTCTCTTGACCCAGCCGTGCCCTTCACTATTTTACAGTCCAATTATCTTCCTCCCACGGGGGCTGGAGCCCTGTGCATTACTTATGGGACAGGCTCTTAGATGTGTGGCATTGACATCTTTGTGGCTGGGTTTTTATCTGTCTCATAAAAGAGGTGTGTGCATGCCTGTGTCTGTGTCTGTGTCTGTGTGCATTTGTGTAAGTGCACGGGAGATCAAACCTCAATGTAATCTGACAATTCTCATAGGTTAATTTCCAATCATCAGACTTTAAAGCAGTGAATTAAGCCTCTGGTGGCCCAGTTTACTAAATTTCCAACAGTTAACATCTAGTCTCCAAGTGTCCTTCAGACCTAAGACCCGCCCGGGCGCCGAGGCTGATCCCGTGGGCACCTGTTTGTGGGCTTAGCGGCATCTCTGCTTCTGGCCTTTATCCCCCCACCTGACACTCAGCAGCTGCTGTCTGGGAAGAGGAGGGCCTGTGCAGCAGCCCGGAAGAAACCCCCACACTCATCCCCCTGTGCTACGTGCCTCGGGTTCGTGTTAATCCGACTTTGGTCACCTCAGCCTCAACCACACCTGTGCTCCTGCCAAAGCCACCCTCCCTGCAGACACCAGCTGCCCTCCAAGGCCGGGGCCACTGGGCCCTTTCCCAATTCAGGTTACTTGTCTGCTATGAGCCTGCCTTTTTTGCTTTCTTAGAGGTAGCTTTCTCCTGGATTCTAACAGCATCTTCTTCCCATCCTTTTTTCCAGGCCTTCCCTGAGGCCAGAAGCCTGTAAACATGGGAGTCACCCAGCTTGTTCTCCAGCCCTCTCCTCTTATTACACTGCCCATTGCTTCTGGGTAATCTCTCAATTCTTATTACTCCAAGAATCAACAATAGAATAATAACCTCAAAATACAAACACCTCCACCACAGGATTGCTGTGTCAAGCCGATGCCTCCTCCCACAGTGGCCTGTGTTCAGCACAAATGTTGACACCCCTAAGGACATGCTGCAGCTGCCCCTTCCCTGCTAACCTCTCCTTTCCCAACTAAGCCATTGCCAAATTCTGTTCGTTTCATTCAACTTCAAACGAGTCTCTTGCCAGGCACGGTGACTCATGCCTGTAATCCCAGTACTTTGGGAGACCGAGGTGGGAGGACTGCTTGAGCCCAGGAGTTTGAGACCAGGCTGGGCAACATAGGAAGACTCAATCTTTATCAAAAAAACAAACAAACAAACAAACAAAAAAAAAACAAAAAAAAACCTTGAGTGGGTGTGGTGGCATGCACTTGACAGGCTGAGGCAGGAAGATCGCTTGAGCCCAGGAGTTCGAGGTTGCAGTGAGCTATGATCATACCACTACACTGCAGCCTGGGTGGCAGAGCCAGATCTCACTGCAACCAATAAAACAAACAAAAACTCTTACACTGCTCTCCTTCTTTCCAGCAACATTACTGCTTTTTGGAAAATACTGAAATGGAAGCAGAAAAACAGAAATCTCACGTGTCTGCTTCCAATTTTCAAATGACTCCCCATGACCTTAAAAAAAGTCATCTGAGGCCTGAGCCCCATGCAAAAGCCCCATGGTGCCCTGCCCATCTCCGAGGGTCATTCTGAATGGCTTTGCCCCACATGCACGAGTCTCCAGGCCCACATACCTCCCTGAATACTCTGACCTCTCCCTGATGCTGCTGCTTCTCTGATAACCATGGGGTTGTTGCCTCCACCTGAGATAGCTTTCTCCTCCTTCTCAAGGTTATCTCCCATTAACTCTTCAAGAATCATCCTAATCATCGAATCTCCCAGAAAACTCTCCCTGACACCCTTGAAGCTGAATGAAGTGTCCCTCCTCTCGCTCCCATGGGCTCCTTTGCATTTTCTCAGATAACAATAAGATAAGGTGATGTGTTTGACTTGAAGGCAAGGACTGCTTTATTTATGCAGTACCATGTATTGAAGCCCTAGTACTTGTGAAACGATTAATATATAGGTTTAAAAAAACTAATCAATGTGTCTTCCTATTAGTTATTGGATATAAATTTCTTACCATGTGCCTCCAGCCCTGTGCTGCCCAATATGGTAGCCACTAGCCCCATGTGGCTGGCTATTTAAATTTAAAATAGATGAAGGTTAAATAAAATTTAAAATTGAGTTCCTCAATCTCACAGGCCTCATTCCAAGCACTCAACAGCCATATGGGGCAAGTGGCTATTGGATTGGATGGTATAGATAGACAGCCTTTCTGTCACCAGAGAGTGCTAACCAACTGCACTATTCTAGACTCTTCATGGGACAGACCCAGCTCATTTATTTGCTCACATGCCTGTCTCTCCCCAGACTGACACTCAAAAGCATTTCTGTATCCCATGGTGTCAGCCTTGCATCAGGCCATGGTTGGTATCGAGTAAAAGTTTGTCATAGATGAATGAATAAAATCTTTATTGTACAATATCCACTATGATTTATCTTCCCTGTTCAGGAAGGTGACCTTGCCCTTTTACATGAGACTCTCACTTTCTTCGCTCCTACTCTTGTCTCTGCCAAACTCTAGCACCCTTGAAGGTCCTGCTCAGGAGCCCCTTCCCATGCACCCCTCCCACCACTTAAGCTGCCTCACTCACTCCATTCGCAATGGCAGTTTCCCATGTGAATGCCTGCAGGGCCCCTCAGCTTGGTGGGTGTTCTTCGTGGCATAGAGCACATGCGTGTTAACCTGGCTCCAGGGCACAACAGCAGAGGGCTCTGTTCAGTAGGGACAAGTCCATTTAATTGCAATGTGGCATCATTGTAAAAAAATCTGAGGCTGGGCACAGTGACTCACACCTATAATCCCAACACTTTGGGAGGCCAAGGCAGGCAGATCACCTGAGGCCAGGAGTTCAACACCAGCCTGGCCAACATAGTGAAACCCCATCTCTACTAAGAATACAAAAATTAGCCAGGCATGCTGGTGTGTGCCTGTAATCCCAGCTACTCAGGAGGCTGAGGCAGGAGAATCACTTGAACCTGAGAGGCAGAGGTTACAGTGAGCTGAGTTTGTATCACTGCACTCCAGCCTGGGTAACAGAGAGAGACTCTGTCCCAAATTAAAAAAAAAAAAGTAAAAAAAAAAAAAAACAAATCTGAACCTAGCCGTGGCTGATATTTCAGTAGTCACAGAAGTATGAAGGTGAGGCTTAGAAGAATGTGAGGGTCTCCAACAGGAAAAATTATGGGTATTCTGGGACTGCTTAAGGCCAGTGGGATACCAAGGCGGCTTCTTAGGAGGATAAAACAACTCACCTCCTGAAGCCCTCATGCAGGCCAGTCAGAAGACATCCTTGGCCCCCAGGAACTTGCCCCATTCCCTGAGGAAAACCCAGTCCCTGAGGAAAACCTGAGTCCAACTCAGGGCCTCTATGCCACTGATGTCCGTGGAACACAGGACTCAGGCTTCTCCAAGGAGCTCTAGGGGCTGGGTGACAGGCAGGTGTATTTATACCATTGGCCTGGTCCTAATTTGTGCCTTTTGCCATTATACCTTGATGGACAATTTGCTTACAATTTCTGCTCTCGGGGGCGGGGGTACTAAGGCCATGGTGTAACTGCTTAGGTAGTAGTATTCAGTAGGGCCTGGCCTGTGCACCCGGCCAGTGAGGACAGCAAAGAGGACAGAGCTCCACTTCACTGCTGGTTGTGTTTTCCTTGGGCCCTTCCTGTTTTGTTCTTACTGGGGGGAATGCTGGAATGGAATGTGGGCACTCAGGCTGTATTGTTTTCACCCTGTATGGCAGCCAGTGATGGGAGGTGTCCCTGCTTGCTCCCAGGGCCCTCAAAGAGTGATGGGAGGTGTCCCTGCTTGCTCCCAGGGCCCTCAAAGAGTGATGGGAGGTGTCCCTGCTTGCTCCCAGGGCCCTCACAGCCTTGCCCCTTCTTCCGGTCTATTTCATCTCTGCCTTGTTGGAGCTGGTTTAAGTGGCAGTGATGTCTGTCCTTCCAGCTGCTGCTCATCACAAGCAGCTATGATTACAGGTAAGATAGTGACAATGGTGAGGATGGTGTGTCATGATAATGCTATGGAAATTCAGATGCAGGAACAGTCACCCATTTAGGGAGTTGAGACAGGTAGATGAGGTTGCTGCTTTGGAGGTGACAGCATTAGAATGGGACCTGAAAGGAGGGGTGCATTTTGAGAGGAAGCTCTTGTAAGGAAAAGGCATTTGAGGAGGAGACGCTGCAAGGTCTGCAGAACCACTTTGTCCTAATGGAGATTCCCTCCCTGGCCAGTCCTGTTCCTGTCTGTGCAACGCGCTTGCGGTGCAGGCTCTGACAACACAACTGACTCCAAGTGGCTGGGCCATGTGACCAGTGCTGGATCAACCAGAAACCCTGAATGAGATTTCACATGTAGACCCTGGGAGAGAGCATGCCTCTGTCTTCCTCTCTCGTTAGGAACTGTAAAACTTCATGAGCTTAGAGCAGAAACTACCTTTGCTATCTGCTTGAGATTAACACCCACAGAGAAAAGTAAATCTGAGAGTTAGGGACACAGATAGAAAGAGTTTTGGGAACATCATGTCAGCACCACATCCCAGATAAGACTGAAGTCCCACAGCCTCTGGTCTTCAGTTCTAAAGAACAATAGGTTACTTTAGTAGAGGTAGTGGTTTGCTATACAATTTGAGCCTTTTTTTTCTCTGTAGGTCATTGTGGAATGTGTCTATCACTGAGAGCTGAAAGAAAACTGACCAAGACAAGTTCAATGGCCATGAATTGAACCATGAGCAAATGTCCAGAGGTGGGAAGGCATGGGGTGGATTCCAGGCACTTGACGCTGCCCAGCTTGCTGATGTGCAAAAGGTCCTGCTGGAGACTCACAGAAGAGTGTAGCAGGGAAGAGCTCTGGTCAGATGGCAGGACGGGCCAGTGCAATGATTGCGAGGGCCCCAACAATCAAGACCAGGAGGTGCTGCTGTGTGGTGAGCACATTGTCAGCCTGAACGGGGAGCGGGACAGAGGTGTATGGGGGTACAGGGTAGATGAGTGTCCCCTCCCTGCAGCAGGGCTCTGTTTGTCCTACCATTGAACAACTCAGTGGCTTTTCCCCACTCTGATCAGCCCAGGACTCTGCTTGCTAGCTGGGTTGCAATAACTCCTGGACCCTTTTCTTCTCAAACCAATTATCTCTTCCTGGGCTTTGCGTTTGCTCTAGGGCTCTTCTCATTCTTGGATGCTCTAGCTGTGCTCTGTCCCTGGAGGCTTCCCGAGACTCAGGAGTATCAGCTCCTGACATGATTCTCCTTCACTGTCTTTTTTATTAGGGTTTCATGCAGACTATCATGCACTTGCCGTCGGAAGATTTGAACTTTCTTCTAGGACACCTAATATCCACAGTCCTCCAGGTGGGTCCTAAGGATCTGAGGATCCACGACGGGGGTCCTAAGCCGGGGGGGAAGAGGGGCTGGCTCTCAGTCCCCACCTCACGGGAGGTGCCTCCCCCCGCTGGGATGGGGGTCCTAAGCGCCAGAGGGGGAAGAGGGAGTGGCTCTCAGTCCCTGCCTCGTGGGGGGTGCCTCCCTCACTGCGATGGGGGTACTATCAGCCAGAGGCGGAAGAGGGGATAGCTCTCAGTCCCCACCCTCGCGGGGGGTGCCTCCCCCTCCTGCGATGGGGGTCTTAAGAGCCAGGGGGGGAAGAGGGAATGGCTCTCAGTCCCTGCCTCGCGGGAGGTGCCTCCCCCCCTTGCGATGGGGGTACCAACAGCCAGGGGCGGAAGAGGGGATAGCTCTCAGTCCCCACCCTCGTGGGGGGTGCCACACCCTCCTGCAATGGGGTTCCTAAGAGCCAGAGGGAGAAGAGGGACTGGCTCTCAGTCCCCGCCTCATGGGGGGTCCCTCCCCCCTCTGCGATGGGGGTCCTAAGAGCCAGTGGGGGAATAGGGGCTGGCTCTCAGTCCCTGCCTCGCGGGGGGGTGCCTCCCCAACCCTGCGATGGGGGTACTAACAGCCAGGGGCGGAAAAGGGGATAGCTCTCAGTCCCCACTCTCGTGGGGGGTGCCTCCCCCCCTGCGATGGGGGTACTAACAGCCAGGGGCGGAAGAGGGGATAGCTCTCAGTCCCCACTCTCGTGGGGGGTGCCTCCCCCTCCTGTGATGGGGTTCCTCAGAGCCAGGGGGGGAAGAGGGACTGGCTCTCAGTAATTCCACGTAAGGTACCTGCCGTCGGAAGATTTGAAATTTCTACCTGGACAACTAACACCCACAGTCCTCCAGGTGGGTCCTAAGGATCTTAGGATCAACGATGGGGGTCCTAAGCTGGGGGAGGAAGAGGGTCTGGCTCGCAGTCCCCGCCTCGCGGGGGGTGCCTCCCCCCTCTGCGATGGGGGTCCTAAGAGCCAGTGGGGGAACCAGGGGTTGGCTCTCAGTCCCTGCCTCGCGGAGGGTGCCTCCCCCCCCCTACGATGGGGGTACCAACAGCCAGGTGCGGAAGAGAGGATAGCTCTCAGTCCCCACCCTCGCGGGGGGTGCCTCCCCCTCCTGCGATGGGGGTCCTAAGAGCCAGTGGGGGAACCAGGGGTTGGCTCTCAGTCCCTGCCTAGCGGAGGGTGCCTCCCCCCCCTGCGATGGGGGTACCAAAAGCCAGGGGCGGAAGAGGGGATAGCTCTCAGTCCCCACCCTCGCGGGGGGTGCCTCCCCCTCCTGCGATGGGGGTCCTAAGAGCCAGTGGGGGAACCAGGGGTTGGCTCTCAGTCCCTGCCTAGCGGAGGGTGCCTCCCCCCCCTGCGATGGGGGTACCAAAAGCCAGGGGCGGAAGAGGGGATAGCTCTCAGTCCCCACCCTCGCGGGGGGTGCCTCCCCCTCCTGCGATGGGGGTCCTCAGAGCCGGGGGGGAAGAGGGACTGGCTCTCAGTAATCCCACGTAAGGTACCTGCCGTCAGAAGATTTGAACTTTCTACTTGGACACCTAACACCCGCAGTCCTCCAGGTGGGTCCTAAGGATCTTAGGATCAACGATGTGGGTCCTAAGCCGGTGGGGGATGAGGGTCTGGCTCTCAGTCCCCGCCTCGCGGGGGGTGCGTCCCCCCTCTGCGATGGGGGTCCTAAGAGCCAGTGGGGGAACCAGGGGCTGGCTGTCAGTCCCTGCCTCGCGGGGGGTGCCTCCCCCCCCCTGCGATGGGGGTACCAACAGCCAGGGGCGGAAGAGGGGATAGCTCTCAGTCCCCACCCTCGCAGGGTTGCCTCCCCCTCCTGCGATGGGGGTCCTCAGAGCCAGGGGGGGAAGAGGGATTGCCTCTCAGTCCCTGCCTCGCGGGGGGTGCCTCCGCCCCCAGCGATGGGGATCCTAAGAGCAAAGGGGGGAAGAGGGGCTCGCTCTCAGTCCCCGCGTCGCGAGGGGTGCCTCCCTCCCTGCGATGGGGGTGCAAAGAGCCAGGGGAGGAAAGGGGGAGGTTCGCAGTCCCCGCCTCGCGGGGATTGCCTCCCCCCCTGCGATGGTGGTCCCAAGAGCCAGGGGGGGAAGAGGGGTTGGCTCTGAGTCCCCGCCTCGCAGCGGGTGCCTCCCCCCCCTGTGATGGGAGTCCCAAGAGCCAGGGGGGAAGAGGGGATGGATCTCAGCCATCACAAAATGGGGGGCCTTTATGTTCAGGTTTTGCCCAAGAATCAGCTTATTTGCTTCTTGTACTAGCAGGGCAGTTGCTGCCAAGGCCCTCTAATAGGGGGGCCATCCTTTAGCAACCCTGTCTAGTTGTTTAGAGATGTAGGCTACCGGCCTCAGCCAGGGCCCCACAGTTTGGGTTAAAAGTCCAGCTGCCATCTTTTCTCTCTCTGACGCATACAATGGAAAAGGCTTTGTCAGATCGGGTAGCCCCAGGGCTGGGGCTGCCAGAAGATTTTCTTGTAACTCATGAAAAACTTGCTGTTGTTGGGATCCCCATTTCAAAAGTTCCGGGTCCCCGCCCCCTTTGTGACCTCATACAAAGGCTTGGCTAATACTGCAGTTTGGGATCCACAGTCTACAAAACCCCACAGCTCCTAAGAATTCTCTCACCTGCCTTCTGCCCTTAATTTCCGGTAGATTGCAAATAACCTGCTTTCTTTCTGTTCCCGAGCTGCGTTCGGACCCGTCGGATCGTAAATCCCACATAAGGTACCTGCCGTCAGAAGATTTGAACTCTCTACTTGGACACCTAATACCCACAGTCCTCCAGGTGGGTCCTAAGGATCTTAACATCAACGATGGGGGTCCTATGCCAGTGGGGGAAGAGGGTCTGGCTCTCAGTCCCCGCCTCGTGGGGGGTGCCTCCCCACTCTGTGATGTGGGTCCTAAGAGCCAGTGGGGGAACAGGGGCTGGCTCTCAGTCCCTGCCTCATGGGGGGTGCGTCCCCCTCCTGTGATGGGCGTCCTAAGAGCCAGGGGGGGAAGAGGGACTGGCTCTCAGTCCCTGCCTCGCGGGGGGTGCCTCCCCCCCTGCGATGGGGGTACTAACAGCCAGGGGCGGAAGAGGGGATAGCTCTCAGTCGCCACTCTCGTGGGGGGTGCCTCCCCCTCCTGCGATGGGGGTCCTCAGAGCCAGGGGGGGGAAGAGGGACTGGCTCTCAGTAATCCCACGTAAGGTACCTGCCGTCGGAAGATTTGAACTTTCTACTTGGACACCTAACACCCGCAGTCCTCCAGGTGGGTCCTAAGGATCTTAGGATCAACGATGGAGGTCCTAAGCCAGAGGGGGAAGAGGGTCTGGCTCGCAGTCCCCGCCTCGCGGGGGGTGCCTCCCCCCTCTGCGATGGGGGTCCTAAGAGCCAGTGGGGGAACCAGGGGCTGGCTCTCAGTCCCTGCCTCGCGGGGGGTGCCTCCCCCTCCTGCGATGGGGGTCCTAAGAGCCAGGGGGGGAAGAGGGATTGCCTCTCAGTCCCTGCCTCGCGGGGGGTGCCTCCGCCCCCAGCGATGGGGATCCTAAGAGCAAAGGGGGGAAGAGGGGCTCGCTCTCAGTCCCCGTGTCGTGAGGGGTGCCTCCCCCCCTGCGATGGGGGTGCAAAGAGCCAGGGGAGGAAAGGTGGAGGTTTGCAGTCCCGCCTCGGGAGGATTGCCTCCCCCCCTGCGATGGTGGTCCCAAGAGCCAGGGGGGGAAGAGGGGTTGGCTCTGAGTCCCCGCCTCGCGGGGGGTGCCTCCCCTCCCGCGATGCGGGTCCCAACAGCCAGGGGGGAAGAGGGGATGGATCTCAGCCATCACAAAATGGGGGCCCTTTATGTTCAGGTTTTGCCCAAGAATGAGCTTATTTGCTTCTTGTACTAGCAGGGCAGTTGCTGCCAAGGCCGTCAAATAGGGGGGCCATCCTTTAGCAACCCTGTCTAGTTGTTTAGAGACGTAGGCTACGGGCCTCAGCCAGGGCCCCACAGTTTGGGTTAAAAGTCCAGCTGCCATCTTTTCTCTCTCTGACGCATACAATGGAAAAGGCTTTGTCAGATCGGGTAGCCCCAGGGCTGGGGCTGTCAGAAGATTTTCTTGTAACTCATGAAAAACTTGCTGTTGTTGGGATCCCCATTTCAAAAGTTCCGGGTCCCCGCCCCCTTTGTGACCTCATACAAAGGCTTTGCTCATACTGCAGTTTGGGATCCACAGTCTACAAAACCCCACAGCTCCTAAGAATTCTCTCACCTGCCTTCTGCCCTTAAGCTCCGGTAGATTGCAAATAACCTGCTTTCTTTCTGTTCCCGAGCTGCGTTCGGACCCGTCGGATCGTAAATCCCATGTAAGGTACCTGCCGTCGGAAGATTTGATCTTTCTACTTGGACACCTAATACCCACAGTCCTCCAGGTGGGTCCTAAGGATCTTAGGATCAACGATGGGGGCCCTAAGCCAGGGGGGGAAGAGGGTCTGGCTCTCAGTCCCCGCCTCAAGGGGGGTGCCTCCCCCCTCTGCGATGGGTGTCCTAAGAGCCAGTGGGGGAACAGGGGCAGGCTCTCAGTCCCTACCTCGCGGGGGGTGCCTCCCCCACCCTGCGATGGGGGTATTAACAGCCAGGGGCGGAAGAGGGGATAGCTCTCAGTCCCCACCCTCGTGGGGGGTGCCACACCCTCCTGCGATGGGGTTCCTAAGAGCCAGAGGGGGAAGAGGGACTGGCTCTCAGTCCCCGCCTCGTGGGGGGTCCCTCCCCCCTCTGCGATGGGGGTCCTAAGAGCCAGTGGGGGAACAGAGGCTGGCTCTCAGTCCCTGCCTCGCGGGGGGGTGCCTCCCCCACCCTGCGATGGGGGTACTAACAGCCAGGGGCGGAAGAGGGGATAGCTCTCAGTCCCCACTCTCGTAGGGGGTGCCTCCCCACCTGCGATGGGGGTACTAACAGCCAGGGGCGGAAGAGGGGATAGCTCTCAGTCCCCACTGTCGTGGGGGGTGCCTCCCCCTCCTGTGATGGGGTTCCTCAGAGCCGGGGGGGAAGAGGGACTGGCTCTCAGTAATCCCACGTAAGGTACCTGCCGTCGGAAGATTTGAACTTTCTACTTGGACACCTACCACCCGCAGTCCTCCAGGTGGGTCCTAAGGATCTTAGGATCAACGATGTGGGTCCTAAGCTGGGGGGGGAAGAGGGTCTGGCTCTCAGTCCCCGCCTCGCGGGGGGTGCGTCCCCCCTCTGCGATGGGGGTCCTAAGAGCCAGTGGGGGAACCAGGGGTTGGCTCTCAGTCCCTGCCTCGCGGAGGGTGCCTCCCCCCCCCTACGATGGGGGTACCAACAGCCAGGTGCGGAAGAGAGGATAGCTCTCAGTCCCCACCCTCGCGGGGTTGCCTCCCCCTCCTGCGATGGGGGTCCTCAGAGCCAGGGGGGGAAGAGGGACTGGCTCTCAGTCCCTGCCTCGCGGGGGGTGCCTCCGCCCCCAGCGATGGGGATCCTAAGAGCAAAGGGGGGAAGAGGGGCTCGCTCTCAGTCCCCGCATCACGAGGGGTGCCTCCCCCCCTGCGATGGGGGTGCAAAGAGCCAGGGGAGGAAAGGGGGAGGTTCGCAGTCCCCGCCTCGCGGGGATTGCCTCCCCCCCTGCGATGGTGGTCCCAAGAGCCAGGGGGGGGAAGAGGGGTTGGCTCTGAGTCCCCGCCTCATGGGGGATGCCTCCCTCCACCCGCAATGGGAGTCCCAAGAGTCAGGGGGGAAGAGGGGATGGATCTCAGCCATCACAAAATGGGGGGCCTTTATGTTCAGGTTTTGCCCAAGAATCAGCTTATTTGCTTCTTGTACTAGCAGGGCAGTTGCTGCCAAGGCCCTCAAATAGGGGGGCCATTCTTTAGCAACCCTGTCTAGTTGTTTAGAGACGTAGGCTACCGGCCTCAGCCAGGGCCCCACAGTTTGGGTTAAAAGTCCAGCTGCCATCTTTTCTCTCTCTGACGCATACAATGGAAAAGGCTTTGTCAGATCGGGTAGCCCCAGGGCTGGGGCTGCCAGAAGATTTTCTTATAACTAATGAAAGACTTGCTGTTGTCGGGATCCCCATTTCAAAGGTTCCGGGTCCCCGCCCCCTTTGTGACCTCATACAAAGGCTTGGCTAATACTGCAACGTTTGGGATCCACAGCCTACAAAACCCCACAGCTCCTAAGAATTCTCTCACCTGCCTTCTGCCCTTAAGCTCCGGTAGATTGCAAATAACCTGCTTTCTTTCTGTTCCTGAGCTGCGTTCGGACCCCTGTCGTATTGTAAATCCCACGCAAGGTACCTGCCGTCGGAAGATTTGAGCTTTCTTCTTGAACACCTCATACCCACAGTCCTCCAGGTGGGTCCTAAGGATCTTAGGATCCCCGATGGGCGTCCTAAGCCAGTGGGGGAAGAGGGGCTGGCTCTCAGTCCCCGCCTCGCGGGGGGTGTCTCCCCACCCTGTGATGGGGGTCACAAGAGCCAGAGGGGGAAGAGGGGCTGGCTCTCAACCACCACGAAATGGGAGGCCTTTATGTTCAGGTTTTGCCCAAGAGTCAGCTTTTTTGCTTCTTGTACTAGCTGGGCAGTTGCTGCCAAGGCCCTCAAACAGGGTGGCCATCCTTTAGAAACAGTAATATTATTAGTAACAGCAGCAGCATGTATTCACTGGGCACTTCTCAGTACCTGGCCTCATGGCTCCCACTTTGTAGGGGCCACTGGGATCAAGAGAGGGCAACATTGCAACTCTCCATGCTCCTGCAATATCCATAGCTATTCTGTAGGTGAGTACACCAAGCACTGGTCCTATTGGTGATGAGAGTAATGGGATCAAATAGACAGTTGAAAGATTTAGACTTTTTCTCATTTATCAGGAAAATCATGTGAAACTTAAAAAATTTTAAATTACAGTTGAAACAGAAGAAAAGTAATAGAGTATAAAAACATATTTGTAGAGGGAAGCTAGTTAAGAAATCGTAAAGTTGATAGATCCCAAGGACACATTAACAGAATGTTGACATTATACCAATGAAAAACCAAGGTGGAGGAAAAAAATGGGTTGGTTGCCGAAGACATAGCGGATGATGAAATTGGCCCTTCCAAGGCTGGTGGACATCATGGGTGGTGATTTGCCCATCTATCCCAGTTTTAACCAATTTGCTGCTTTAAAATCCTGTTGTCATCACATTTGTATTGCTAAGAAGCCACGTGTCACTGAAAATGAAGGATACAGGAACACACTGTATAACCTTAAAAAAACTACTGCTCTAATGGTACAGAAGGCCTCCAAAGCCCTTTAAAAAACTAAAAAGAAATGTTCAAGCAGGCGGATGACAAAGTTCAGTATTTTAAAATTAGCCACAGTTAATCCAAATGAAAGTTAATACATTCCACTAAAAGTCACTTCCAGCAACAATTCCTTTAAGAGTCAACTTATTTTTAAACCTACACAATGAATTTTAAATCAGAAGGGCTATTGATTCCTCAGAGGAGTTGCCCAAGTAATTGACTTTATATTTAAATAAATCTAAGATTTACAAGGAAGTGGATAGAGAAGACCCTCTGGTTTTATTTCTATTTTGAAGTCAGACTTTGCATGTTAGTACTGACCCACCCAAAACAGGCTTTCCTGTGGAGCCACACAGTTGGGAAGTCCCTTTGTTGCCTGTGTAGTTTGTGCATTTAGACCATGCATTATTAATTCTAGCCATTCTATCTCCGCATTTTATTTCTCTGTGTTAGCCTTGTTAGACTACCATAAATTTTATTTGGGTTGTGGCTGGGTAATTGCCCATTCTCAGTCATGCTCAGGCATGTAGGTGTACACACATGCACAGAAGCCAAGAACTATATTTCTCAATTTCCAGACAGAAGGACAACAGGTACAAAGTCCTAAGGATTATAAAGGTATGCTGCTTGCCATCATCTTAGTGACCAAGGCAGCGAAGCTGTTTCTGTACCTTGGAACAGTCTTCCCTGACAAGCCAGAGAACAGCGATAAAGCCACCAGCCTTGGGATCAGGACTGAAAAGGCAAGAGTGATGGAGATTTCTCCTGCGCTAAGCCAAGAGAAGGTTTCAGCACCTCAGACAGCTCCCACCGAAGTAGCGGCGCTCCCAGCTGCTTGCAGATGTGGAAAAGGAAAGCCTCGGTTTGTCTTGAGGTTGTCAGCAGTTGCAAGACACGTAATAAAATGCAATGTGTTCCTAATTCATTGCATATCCTCAGCTTTAAATTTGGGTAGCAAAATGATTACTCTAGATTCTTCAGCCTTGCCTTGGCAAGTATCTGTACCTAAAAAGCAGTTTTTCTACCTAATCTCTTTTTTTGTTTTTGTTTTTCAATACACTTTAAGCAAATTGAAGCTTTTGTTCCTGGAGGAAAAGTGGTTTGATATGTTCATCTATCTTTTAGTAAATTTGGGGGCATAACTTTTCCTATTCTGAGGAACTTTTCTAAGAAGAGTGCATAAAAGTTTGTTGTTGTTTTTAAAGGATGCAACATTCAGCCTGTGTCATGAGTTTAATTATACAATTTAAAGGACATATGTGCAATGCATTTTGCAGATGTGTGCCAGATATATATGTGCAGATAATGGGCAAGTATATATGTGTGCATATATATATCGGGAGTACACTATATAAACACACAATACACGCCCACCCACACACATTGTGTATTTTCCAGAAAAAAAAAAAAAAAGCATGTCAGGACTTACATCTAAGTTAGAGATGCTGTTTAGAACCCCATTAACAAATGTACATGTTATATCCCTGATTTGTTTCTCAGGACACCTGTGTTTATCTGAGAATCATTTCTAGACACATGTCACAATAAAAAGAAGGACATGTATACTCCAAGTTAAGATTTTTTTAAAAAAAGATGGAGATCATCTGAAATAAAATTCAGAGCTCTTGCCTTTCCTTTCTCCTAGCGACACCTAGAGCCTGTTGAGAAAAAAACTGCACATTGTTCTCATTCCAAACATCCACAATTCAACAATTTTAAGTCAGATTTAAGGTAAAAAGTACATTTTTCCTGTTTGCATTGCAGCTTAACTGTCTTCCCCAAGATTCTCGGTAGTTTAATCCTCCAGAACTCTTCACCCTCCCCCAATTAAACCATTTGCCAAAGACTTGAACCAGATGACTGAAGGATCTGTCTATTTCCCTCAGGGCTTGGCCCACCAAAGTGAGGGACATGCCTTTGAATGACTATTTAACCAGGGGAGTCTGGAAACGATGCAGGAGAAAATCACAAAACCTCATGCAAAATCTGACGCAGGGCTGTAGGGGGTGTGTACCTGTGTGTGTGCAAACCACATCTCCCACAAAGTTTTGTGATCTCCATTAAAGTTTCCACATCCTTCATTCATAAAACAAAAACTACCAATAACAACAGCAAAACCTCACTGATTTCATAGTATCTGGCAATTAGGAATTGTCCCTGGGAAATCACTCAATGTCTCACCCCTCCCTCGACCCAAACACAACTCTTGCACTAAAGAAATACGAAACAGGGAACCAGCGTGGCTGGAGGCTGCAGAGAGGTAATGACCAAAACCACCTACTCAGTGCCCGGCAATGTACTGCCCTGGGTATGTCAGGGTAGACTAAGTGAGAGGCCGGTGGGACCCCTGCGGTTCCCAGGTTGAGCAGTTGTGAAACTCCTCAAAGGCATACATAGTAATTTCTACAAACCAACACAGCCTAGCTGTTATAAGAGCTGTACCAGCCAAGCCAGACCTGTTTCTCTGAGAGCCTGTCGGGGATTTTTCTCTTTTCCCTGGGAAAAGAAGGCCTCAAAGAAAAAGCACAGTTTCCTCCCTTCTAAGTCCTAGCAGCCCTCTGCATCCTTGAAAGGGATCCACAGGAGGTGGTTAAACGCATCCATCTAAGGTCCGGCTCCTGTCCTGCATGAGTCATTGGTTACTAGGGCGATGTGCAAATCCAACCTTTGAAACCCAGGCTTCCAGCCCCCATGAAGAGTAGGAAATGTGCTCTCGGAGAAGTTTTCACTGAACACGGTCTAAGGCAGAGGTGCTAGTCCAGGGCTGGGAGGGGAGACAGACACGGCCTGAGGGCTCTCAGCAAAAGAGCTGGGCCCTGGGACAGAGGGTTGGGGCTCAGATGCCAGTATTTTGGTATTTTTTTTTTCCGGAAAGGATAATCACCATCACCACCGCTGGGGGGAAAAAGTGTCTAGGAGAAGTAAGAAGAGGAACGAAGGAGAGGCATTTGAGTCAAGGGACAGAGTGAGTAGGAGAGGAGGGGCACGATGGAGAGATTCCAGACACAGGTGGGAGGGAGAGAAGGTGCCTGAGGCTGTGTTCCCGGAGCACGAAATAAATAAAAAATAAACCAACTCGTAAGCACAGGCCGATCGAATTCTCTCCTTAGGAACCATAGCAGCATGCTGTTAAAAACAGACATCCGCGCACCCAGGGAACGTAAGGCGAATTCCAGATCCCAGCAGGCGCAGTACCCAAACCCCGCTCTCTCCAGCCACCAACTCCCGGCCGCCGCGGCTGCAGACACAGACCCGCTCCCTCCGGGACGCGGTGACCGCGATCTGGCGCCACGGAGCCTGTCTGGGGGCGCCCGGAGAGTCGTGGGCGGGGGGAGGGCGCCTGATTCCCCCCCCAAAAAAAATTTCCCCTGCCGACGCGTCTCGCTGCGCGCTCAGCCCGGAGAACCCGCCGCCGCCCCCCGCCCCCGAGAAGCTCTTACGTCCTCCTCGTCACCATCGCTCCGCGCCTGGTACTGGAACCGGGGCCGGCCACCCGCGCCGCCGCCGCCGCCGCCGCGCTCCCGGGGCGCCGCCGCCTGCGCCCGCGGGCCGAGGGGCTTGGCTCCTGCGCCGCCGTCCTCCTCGGGCCCCTGGCCGCCCAGGAGGTGACTCGCCTCCGGGGGCGCGGGGAAGGACCTCGAGGTGTTGATCTTGCCAGTGAACCTCTGGTACAGCGAAGCCATCGGGCACCGCGCTCCTGCTGGCTGTCTTTGGGGCTTTTTAATATTTTGCTTTCTCTCCGGTTCCCACTCCCCACCCCGCTCCAGATTAAAAAAAAAAAAAGGCGGTGGGGAGGCAGCAGCAGCAGCAGCAGCAAGGCAAGCCCAGCGCCGGCGGCCGCTCCTCCCGCGCGCCACTCGCGAGTCTCCGCTGGCGACTCTGCCTGGCTCAGCCTCCTCCGCCCCCTCCCCGGCGGCTCGCGAAGCCGGGGCTCTGGCTGTGCTTTCTCTCTTTCCTGTTTTTATAATTTTTTTCCCCAACTCCTTGCCACAGCCACGTACGGCCTAATCAAAGAGATTGAAGGAAGAAAAAAAACCAAAAACATAAAGCGAGGGAAATGCCTAGGCCCCAGAATTTGGCACCACCTAGAGACCGGCACACATTCCGAGCGCTCTCCTCGCTCCCCGCCCCCAGGCCCCTCGCGCAGCTCCTCCTCCACCCCGGCCCCTCCGCCCCCTTCCCCACCGGCCTCCTCCCCGCGCCCGGGACTGGCACCTGGGTGGCAGGGGTTGGCAGCCCGGAGAGGGCACGGGGTCGCACAAAAGGGTGCGAGGGTGCGTGAAGAGGGTGGAGGGGCTGGGACCACGCGGGTCGTGGGTGCGGGGGCGGTGGGGGAGTCCCGGGAGCTCAGGGTGCTGCGGCCCCACCGAAGGTAGTGCTGCGAGTGCCCCGCAGCACGCGAGCGGACGGTGCAAGGGGATGCGGAGGTCGAGGCAGGCAGGCCGGCCAGGGGGCGACTGAAGGTGCAGCCGGCCCCGGGGCGCCCCAGCCACGCACGCGCTGCGGCGCCGGGCTCCCCGCGCCCCCAGCTCCTCTTGCCTAACTTGAAGCAACACCAGAGACACCCCGAGGACCTGGGGTGCGAATGGGGCGTGGGAGAGCCACCAGGAGGGCGCGGGGTGGTCGGACGACGCTGGTGAAGAGGCCGCCCTCCCTCCACAGCCCAGCTCCCTCCGAAACCGCCCCTTCCCTTCGCCTCTCTCCGGAGGAGGGCAGGAAAGGTCGCGGGGCGGCAGAGGACGCCCAGAGGCCCAGGCGCCCCTCGCGGGCGATGCGCCCCGCAGAGAGCCCGGCTGTGACCGCGACTCCATTCTCATTATCATGAACGCAGGCGGAGGCTCGGCTCTCCGGCTGCCCGCAACTTTTCCAAAGCCTGCGCCTCACTGTGCCCGCCGAGAGCGAGGGAGGGCGACATGGCTCCACTCGCCGCGCGCTCTCGGGCTTGCCTCCTGCCCAGCCGCAGGAAGGCGCGCTCCAGCGCCCCTGTGTGGACACCCGCACCAGCGGGCTCCGCTCCTCCGCTCCAGGCCCGGCCTGGCTTCTCTTCCCCTCCCGGCCCTCCCGCGTCCTCCCCGGCTCCCTTCTGCACTCCTCTCCGTCCTTCTGGAGTTGCTGGGCACGCGTCTCTCTCGTCTCGTCCCCACGTCCTCCTTGCGCGCCCCTTCCAGCCCTTCCCGGCCGGGAAGGACCTATCACATCCAGAGAGTGAACGTGGGCCGGGAAACCCCAACTCCAGAGGGGGGAACCTGTGAGACCCGACCCTGCCCATTCCGCCGCCTCCTTCCACATGGAGGTAGGGCGTTGGCTTCATCTCCCAGGACTGCCTAAGGCTCCCTGCTCCTTCCGGGTTTCCATGCCTGTTTCCACTTAGGGTTTCAAAATAACAGCCTCGGCTGCCACTCACAAGGCTGACTGCAGGCTCGCCCCCAGCCCTGGCATTGCCCCAAGCCCAGAGAGAGGCCTGCCTGGGCCTGAAACTGCATGCTCCCTCTGTTTCCCTAACTGCGGGGGAGAATACTGGATGCCGGTGAACAAGTCTCCTGGGAAGAGACCTCCTTCAGTCCCTTCCACCTGCCTCCCTTCCCCAAGCTTTCAATCCAGTGTGTAGTTTTTGGTTTAACCAAAATTTGTACCACGCTCATCTTCTGTTTACTCCACAGTAGTTACCCTTTACTATGAAGAAACATGAGTTTAAAAACACTTTAAAAAATAGCAAATACAAAACCAAGTAAAACCAGGATTGCAACAGCTAAGCGAAACTTGCTGCATGGGAGAGGCCAGGCAGGTGGGTCTGGGGTGGGGAGAGCTTCAGCTGCTCCATTTGACTTTGAAGACAGAGGCAACAGAGCCATAAAACTAAACTTTAAAAGTCACCACAATTAGATAGATAGAAAACCTTGCTCTCAACCCCCTCCTCTGCCCCAGCTGTGCTTTTGATGGGAGGAAGCTGCCTCTCCTAACATGGACATGAAAGAAAGCTCATGCTATTCACCGCAGCATCGCGATCCTGACATTTCACTAAATATAGATGCAGTTAGGGTCCCACTTATGTAATATACATACGCTATCTATGAAATATGCATGCATATTTTTACACAAACTAAATGTCATACTAATATAGTTTATACAAAATACAATGATAGATGTGTGCATATTAATCATAGATAGAATACTATTGGGATAAAGCATATGTGCCACTTTTAAAAACTATATTCTCAAGGCATTGTAGGTAACTGTAATCTAACTAAAGTTTAAAATCTCAATTAAATTATCTAAGAAAATATGATAAGCGATTTCTGCTTAAAATTATAAAATGAAATCACCATAAAACTCATAAGCAACAGGGGAAAGAGTTGAAGTAAAAATTTGTGCTGGGAAGCAAATCTCACAATTAAGCAGAAGAAACGGAGGGCAGGAAAGAGCGAGCGTCTGAAAGATGCAGGTGTGAAAGGAGCCGGAATGCTGGGGAGGACTGGAAACAGCATGGATGAACACGAGGATGTTCCTCAAGGATGATCCAGATGGAGCGCCCTTTACCCAAATTGAAAAGCGCTTGGCTATACTCTTGCACCTTGCACACTGAACGCGGTGCTTCTAGGGACATTTTAAAGAATGTTCTGGCCGGGCGCGGTGGCTCACGCCTGTAATCCCAGCACTTTGGGAGGCAGAAGCGGGTGGATCACGAGGTGAGGAGATTGAGACCATCCTGGCCAACATGGTGAAACCCCATCTCCACTAAAAATACAAAAATTAGCCAGGTGTGATGGTGGCGCCTGTAGTCCCAGCTACTCAGGAGGCTGAGACAGGAGAATTGCTTGAACCCGGGAGGCGGAGGTTGCAATGAGCCGAGATCGCGCCACTGCATTCTAGCCTGGCGACAGAGCACGACTCCATCTCTAAATAAATAAATAAATAAATAAATGTTCTATACCTCGTGTGTATGTGCATGCACGTTTATGCACCCACACATCCAAATTTGTGTTAAGCACGGATACACACATTGCAGTCGAGGGTGTGAGGACACTGTGGTCCCACATATAAAAAAATAAAGTGGTTAGTATGTTAGAATAAGTGAAGTGATACAATTTTAAAGACTGGCAAGCTATGGCATGTTATGTTTATGATGTATAATTAATTCAATTCTTGTCTCTAATCACCTTTCACCTCCCCTTATCCACACACACACACACACACACACAAACAAGGAAAAAGATACCCCGAAGAGGAGCAAAAGTACCCAATGGGCATTTCAAAATAGGTGTAGTGGTTCGGAAGGAAACATGTCAATATTTCCCTCTACTCAATTTCTCCTTGAACGCCTGAAGTACACTGTGGCGATGAAGCAGATTTTTATTCCTACTTATTGGGTAAGTGTGAGAAAATATTTTTGAAAATATTTTGCAAATTATTTAATGTCGAGTTTAATTCTTCCATGCTGCTCCAAACCAAATGCCCCCAACCCATTTTTCTATCTAGTTTCATATGATTAGTGCTTCCCTATTTATTACAAAGGTGTGGGTGTGTGTTTATTTTCCCTAGAACAAATTTACAAAACAAATATAAGTCATTGGGATTAGGCAGATGCTGCAAAATATGTTGGATAGTCATTTTTAAAATGACAATGAAGGCAAATTTTTGGTCTACCTGCAAGCTAAGCATTGTAGGAATAACAAAAGTACATCCATTGAGTTTAGCAGCCTAAGCATGATTTTTATTAGCTAAGAGGTTTTCTTATTTCTGAGAGAATTATATCCTGTAGTTGACTTCCCTTTTCTCTGGGTGCTGAGGGAGGACAGAACCATATTTAAGACTGTTTTTTCTTTTCCAAATACTAATATTTGAAGAAATGAAATGGCTAAGTTAGCATACTCTGAAGGAAGGTCTTCCCTAAAACAGTGGGCATCACTGTCTTTTACATATTATCAGCTTGAACTCATAAACGGGGAGAAATTTTAAAAAATCTGGGTAGCTTGAGAAAACACAATGCTAAATGCATAAATAGAAGGCATATTCTCCACTCTGAAAATCTGTTTCTCACTCTCTATCTCTCAAAGCATGTTTGGTTTCTTGTTTCCGTTTTTGTTTTTTGCAAGAGAACTCTCCACTAGGGGCTGGGTAGTAAGACCTTTTACACACCTTCAAACAGGAAATATCCAGGACACACACACATACACACACACACAATAATTGCTATTTCAGGCTTTTGAAAAACAGAGTTAAAGTATGAATTGGGTCAATTTGGGCTTTTCAACTTAATACTTAAAAATTATGTTTTATGTAAAATCATTTGTTGTAACCCAATAAATAGCCTTTCTCTAACATCAGTAAAGTTAAGCTTCAATCTCCCAATAGCACATGTCTCTGCATTTTAGCCCTACCATTGTGTCACTGCTTGGATCTTACACAGTTCAAAACATACGTACAACTAACTACACTAGTGTCATGTACACAAACACAGTGGTTGATTAACACGAGTGTTAAGGTTTATCGCCAGGTGAGCTGCACAAGCTTTTGATCCTACGCAAATGGCTGGTGCCAACCTCATCCCATGTTTTCTCTGTGGCCCCTCGGAGGGCTGCTCACAACCTTACCACCTTCCTCTAGGATTCTCCCCTAGTTCTTCATCTTGCCTTTCTACATTGAACCATAATCGACTCTTCTCCTCCCACTTTCTAACTACCTTTCTTCACTTCTGTTGTCTTGCCTTCATGCATGTCCCTTCTCTGGATCAATATCTGTAGGCTATACGTAGAATATATATTATTTTCTCTAAAACTTCCTTGCTGCCCTCTGAATATTTATCAAATCTTGCCTTGTGCTACCAACATTGCCTCAGAAATTATCCAAATAATCACCTCTCACCCTGGAGGAGGCACGAACTCCTGTCATTTCCTATTTTCTGGTGACACAATGATCGTTTCCACAGTGCTTCCCAAGGCTCTTAGGTTTTTGGAGCATGGGGTATAGAAGACTCTCTTCTCTTTCTGTTTGTCCCTGGTGATCATTTGACCATAACCATGTTGTTCTCCAAAACGTCTTAGTTCATAGATCAAACTGTATTAGATTAAACGAGATATGACTTCTGCTCCAAAGTGCCCCTAGAGCGCCTTGCCCTTTTCAAACCACACACTTCTTAGGGTCAGGTGAATTAAGTTAAATATGATTCCCTTCAATGTTAAAGTGATAGGAATGAGTCTCTGCACTTCAGTGCTTTAATTTTGTAACCAGGAGAGGTGATGGTTGCATTCAGAAAGAAGAGAAAGCTTGTGTCTGTTCTCTCTGCTGACCACTGGCATGCCTTGTGAAGGACCAAGTCCTGCTTGCGGTATGGTCAGCCTTAGAACTGACTGTGAGCCACAGGGAACAAGGGCTTACACTGTCTTCTGGGGACATTGGCATCAGCCCAGAGGCATTCTCAGGCTTTGACTTCAAAGCAACAGCAAAACCAAAATGGATAAAGATAGGGTCAGTCAAATGCAACGTCTTTTCCTGACAGCAAAACAAACAGAGCCAGTGTCAACTCAATAAATCCTGCCACGTAAATTGGTACTCTCCTGCAGGCTAATAGAAACAGTTACAGAGAGTGGAAAACTTGACTTCACTAAAAATTACTGCAGTTACAAATAAAGGAAGGGGGTATAGTGTATTTCTAAAATGTGCATCTGGACTAAGATTTAGGGAGGGTTGAGTGTGAGCACAACTTAATTCACCCCCGAAAGAGAAGGCTTGTCGGCCAGAAATAACAAAATAAGAAAAGCCCAGCAAGTTGGCCCCCAGGTCCAAGTACTGCAGATTCCAGTGTATCTTTCCATCTCTTCTTCCAACAACACAATGACTGTGAAACATAAGGAGGGAAGAGGAAAGAGTCTTCCTTTACGTGACAAACCCCCTTTTCAGATGTTCAGTGGGACAGTCTGAGTAGCAGCATCTTCTTTCAAGAGCATAATATAGCGGAGCATGTGATTGCATTTCCAACCTATAAATATCCAGCTCCTGAACACTCATCTTTGAGTTCTAAATGGAATAAGCCATTATTGCCATATTGTAAACTGTAACAGACTGGAATGTTGTTCAGCAAATACTACTCTCCACCCCATGCCCCCTGCAGGGAAGCATCTTAACCTGTCCCCTGACACCTACTGCCACCCTGACTTTGAGACTGGTCATGTGACTTACTTGGACTAATGGGATGTGCGTGGACATGATGCAGGCAGAGGCCTTGCAGCTGCTTGCATACCCTAGCTGGCTTCTGCACTCTGATGATCCACCATACAAAAACATGTCCCTATTAACAGCCGATGCTTTAGCCTGGCCCCAGAACAAACACACTTGGAGAAGACCTCAATACAACCCACAGCCTGGGGCTAAGCCAGATAATTGGGGAGCACAAAGCAGAGTCTCTTAGCCGAGCCCAGTGTAGACCAGCTGAATCACAGTTAACCAGCAGAAATGTGGGTCTTGAAATAAATACTTGTTGGGTAAGTCACTGAGGATAATTGGTTAAACAGCATGCTTGTGTCATTAAAGCCAAATCAATGCATGAAAAAATGGCATGGTCAAGTCCATGCTTCTTGTAGGCATTTCACTTATTCAGTTAACACCTGAGCACTGACTATGTGCCATTCATTGCGCTACGTTCTAAGGATGAAATCATGAACTACAGTGAACTTGCTTTCATGCAGATGATCATCAGTACTCCTCAAAGTGAAGCAAGACTGATACTACAAATTATCCGACTGATAATGCTTTACTTTTGTGAATAGATGCCGTTTTCTCAATTTCTTGCTCCTTTTGGTACATTTGGAGCACTGCTAGTCTTACTACAAAAGGACTGTTAGAAACCACTAGCTTGCAAATGTGTTCACAATAAAGCTGTGATTTATTTATTATAGCAGCACCAAGTAGCATTTTTAATCTACTCATACAGTGGCTTTCAAAGAGTTGTTTCTGGACCAACAGCGAAAGCATCATTCAGGGACTTGTTGGAAATGCAGATTCGTGGGCCCTGTCTCAGACCAGCTGAAACTCAGGGCTGGGGCCGGGCAAGCTGCATTTAACAAGCTCTCCAGATGATTCTGATGCATGCACAAGTCTGAGAACCACTGCACTAGAGCAATGTACTAGAGCAATTTTCTTCACGGCACCAAGGTGACCTGGAAGATTTCTCAAATGTTTGCTCAGGTCTCAGATAACAGCTTATACATTTAAAGGATTGGACAAGGATTCTCCTAAGGGTAAGGATTTTTCAAGAATAAAAAAAAGAAACCATTTAAATGAGGGAGGGAGTGTTTTTTTTTTTTTTATCTTTTCTAAGACTTTATTCAGAATCAAAAAAGAATGCAGTCCATTTAGTCTTTGCAGGACATTTTCAGATGCTGTTTCGCCCTTGAACTGATGTTTAAGTTTCATGTCAGGAAGAAGGTAGAAATCAAAAGGGAATTGTCAAAGCAAAGGCAAAGATATGGTCAAACTATCATACCACAACTGTTGTGGCTTATCTGAGATACTCTGATTTTGTACCTTAGCAGAGAGCCTTTTCCCATCTTGCCAGAACATATGCAATTTGGCAGAAGAACTCTGCAGAACTGCAAAGAAAAAAAAGCCTTACTTTCAAACACTGATTTCATAAAAAAAATCTTCCGTGCCTCTAGTTTGGACTCATTGCTTTTTCAATGCAATAAAAAAATCCTGTCCTTAATTAAAAATCAATAAAGTTAATAAACATTTAAAGTTCAAACCTGACTTTCATGAACTTAATTCTCCTGAATCCACTCCTTTCAAGCATGTTAAAGGGTTCATTATAAAATCCATTTTATTTTTCACCGTCACTTAAGATTCCCTCTAAATTTCCATGTACAAATGGAAATATCTACAAATTTAAAAAACGAGTTGATGCTACTTTAGGTAGATCGGTAGCTTTTCTTGAATTTTAACATATTCTCTGAACCACAGGTGCATCTTTAATATTTATAGGCAAATATCAATATACACACAATAGATCTTAAATATGGAGAATGAAACCTAACCTGGAAAAAGAAATACCCCACACAGGAGGTATCAGTGCAAAACCCTGATTCATGCATACATGTGGGTTCTCATTAATGAAAACAAATTGCATTAGGAGCAATAAAACTGAAATGAAACCATGTATCTGCTTCTTGTGGGTAATTTAATTCACTGTGGACTGTAACTTTATCAGCACCACTATACCCATTTCCGAACAATTTCCTTCTCATAAAGGGGAAAAATAGGTTTGTCTATACTACTAATTGCATTTCAAATCATAGTAATTTGGTAATCAAAAAAGTAATTCTCTCAACAATTACTTATATTTTGCTTGAGAGGTACACCGAAATTGCCCATTGGCTAAATAAATCCACCAGTCACATGAGCCTGCAATTTGATCAGCCTTTTCCCTCACTCACAGCAGCAACAACAGTGACTCTCAGCTGCAGCGGGATGAGGTGGGTCCTGTTTGTGCCCCGAATTTGTGCTCTGAGTCCCTGATGGGATTCCATTAACTCAGTCCTCTGCAGCGCACCCATAATCATCACCATTGTGCTCCTGTATAACCCAGCAATACCCAAATTACATCATTGATGCAGACCCATTTCAGTCTTTGTGGGAAAAGTTGGATAAATTAATGCTTTCAAAGGACTTTGAAGGCTTTCTTAGCCATCTTGGGGTAAAAGAAGAAGCAGTGTAAGGCGATATTTACATCTGCCTTTCAGGATTCCTTTTTAAATTTCTCTCTCTCAGGGCTCTGATATCATCCACAACTTCAAGTCCAACTCAAAATGAGATGTAAATGGTTGATTGTGGTCTCAATGAATGCTGAGTTTCCCAATTGAGATATTCAAATCCCTAGGATAACTATCTTCCTTGAGTAGGCAATTTTATCAAATAACATAAAATTATCCAATCCAAATATACCAGGAGATGGAATACCGAACTCATGAGTATTCCAAGATAAAACACAAGACTTCCAATAAGATACCTGGTTATAATACTGATCCTCGGGTGGTATACTTATCTGAGCATTTAATGAAAATCTTGGAATAGGTCCTTTTTTTTTTTTTTTTTTTTTTTTTTTTTTTTTTTTTTTTTTTTGAGATGGAGTTTCATTCTTTTTACCCAGGCTGGAGTGCAATGGCATGATCTCAGCTCACTGCAAACTCCACCTGCCCGGTTCAAGTGATTCTCCTGCCTCAGACTCCCAAGTAGCTAGAATTACAGGCATGCGCCACCAGAGCTGGCTAATTTTGTATTTTTAGCTGGGGTAGAGACGGGGTTTCACGATGTTGGTCAGGTTGGTCTCAAACCCCTGACCTCAGATGATTCGCCCACCTTGGCCTCCCAAAGTGCTGGGATTACAGACGTGAGCCACCGTGCCCAGCCAGTACTCACTTTTAATCTACTGATTATATCTACATTTTATTAAGTCCACCAATCAAAAAACTTCAAGCCTAGAACTTCATAGGTTGCTCCTGATTTCCTGGGAAGGCAGCCTGCTTGGATTTGTCCATATGACTAAAAACAGTCTCCATGATGTTTTTAAATGATGGCATTGCCAATGCATAGAGCATCTCAATGGATAAACTACACCCAACTCTTGGTTTCTACCCTGATTAAAGTGGAATGTTGGCAATTTCTTGAATCAATTTTCACAGCTATAGGAAGAGAATAAAAGCAAGTGATCCACAGACTCTTCTATCTCCCATTGAAGTCGTTGGTCTTTGAGGAAAAATAATCACTAAATGTAATGCAATTCTAGTTTGCCTTAAAATCTTCATTGAGAAGGGGGCTGGAGAGCTCCACAAGTTGACTAGCCCATACCTTGTCACAGATTCGGTGACTTTTAGCTCAGGGATAATGTCACCTTATCATTTCCCTTCATCGTATTGGTCATATCTAACTTCTCTTGGCATGACGGAAGAGTTCTACAGTGCTATCTTCTATTGCTCCTCCACTTAGAAATAATCCTACGTTTGTACTGCACCGAACACTGAGAAAAGCTTGACATTTTTCATCCAATTAATGCTTTGGATAAGACCAGAAGGTTTTTGTTGTTGTTTTCCAAGAGGAAACTATATAAATTTTCCTGTGAGCATGGTTCATGTATTCTTCTGTCTTATTGGAACACCTGCTTGTATGGCCAACCTTTCATTGGTTGCCCCCGTGCTGCACCCATATCCCTTCTCACTTATTTACCTGCCAATATAGAATATCCACAAGTTAAGGGTGTCCGCTTGATGAAGCAGAAATAAAAAGTTTTCTGGGAGGCTGTGGCAAAGATTATTTTTCTCTCTGGTAAGAGAGAGTGGTCAGAGGAGGGACCCCTCCCCTGGCCTGCCAACATCACTTCCTCCTGTTTTCTGTCTTTGAACATAGTTGTGTGAGGATTTGATGCTCAAAGCTGCTGTAGCCTTTTTGAAACCATGAGAAGAGGCCAGGCGCCGTGGCTCACGCCTGTAATCTCAGCACTTTGGGAGGCCGAGGTGGGCGGATCACGAGGTCGGGAAATCGAGACCATCCTGGCCAACATGGTGAAACCCCGGCTCTACTAAAAATACAAAAATTAGCTGGACCTGGTGGCGTATGACTGTAATCCTAGCTACTCGCGAGGCTGAGGCAGGAGAATCACTTGAACCAGGGAGTCAGAGGTTGCAGTGAGCCAGGATTTCACCACTCACTGCACTCCAGCCTGGCCACAGAGACAGACTCTGTCTCAAACAAACAAACAACAAAAAAAACAAACATGAGAAGAAGGGGCCAGTGTTTGCAAGGATGCACACCTTGAGCCCTGATAGCATGCAGGTACTGAACTAAAACCAGAATCCTCTTCCCACCCAGATAAAATCCCCCGGGCTTAGGCCCTTTCAGCCAGGAATTGTTTCACAGCCAAAAGCATTCCTGTTGGACACACTGCACACCTGGTTCTTCCACTGCCTGGCTCTTGCACCAGGATAGGTCGCTAAGCATCAGACGCTCATCTATGGCATAAGCATGCTAAGAGAGGCCAATCCTATCAGCTTTATTTAAGCACAGAGTTCCCGAGAGGGCCAATCAGTTGTTACAGAGGGGAAACCTCAAAACTTCTTTTATGTACCTAACCTTTAAAACACATATGGCCGCCTGTAGCTCACAATCTAAAAAGAAAATCATCAAGCCTTCCCACCTGATTATTTGTTATTGTCCATAACTCTGGGGAAAAATACCACTGTATTTGGGCTTTTTATTGATTTTTGCACATTTCTTCAACTAGAAAATCTGGAGGCAAATGTGTGTCAATGCTCGAAGGCCTCTTAAATATGTGAAGAGAAGAGAACATGTTTTGTGAGATGTTTTCTATCCAGGATTTGTAAAGCCACAGAGGAGGAGTATGAGTCTGAAAGAGGAGGGTAGAGGAAGGACAGAGGAGGAGGGAGAGGGGAAAAGAGAAATAATGCTTTAGCAAATTTATTTTAAAATAACACTCTTATGTTTATCTGCACTTTATACTTAAGTTGTGTTGAAAGGCAAAACCCTGTTGCCCTAAAGAGACTCCCAAGAGGCTGACTTTGAGCTGGCATCATAAGAGCCAGTTTGGAACCCACTCCACCAAGGCTGCTATGAGTTGAAGATGACAGGCTTGAAATCCTCTTCCCGGGGCAGGAGGAAAGAGCTGCACAGGCCATGTAGCACGCAGGCTAAGTGTGCATTCAGAACACTAGTAATCAGAATAAGAATCACAGTTAAAGGAAAAATGTTCCAGCCCCTAGGAACATATATAGAATTCTGTACACAGAATATGTGGGAAAAAATACTTTCAGCACACATGATATTGCTTTTATTAGTTAACAAAATAAATTATCCTTCTGGAATTGCATATGGGAGAGGCAACATGATTTGATGAGTGTTTAGGGACTTTGAGTCTTAATCCAGCCCATAGAATTGTTGTTTGAATGTGAGCCTCGCTCCATATTTACCAGCCTTGTTTATATAAGGCAGGGGTCAGCCACTAACAGATTCTACATGCAGAGTCTATGTTGCAGGTCATCTTACACAGAACTGGTGTTGAGAACAGAAAGCAAGAGAAACAGCCTCATGAAGCGTGCTGCCTTATCTTGCAACTTATTTTGATGATTTAGACCTCGTGTGTTTTTCCTTATTTTGATCCAGGTGAATAAATCAGCATTAAAAAGTGACAAAAAAACACTTCTTACAGCTTCATGGATTTCTCTTTTATTCTCCTTTCTTCTTACTGCTTCTCTTTCCCACCTATGCCACACCAACAGCATCCTCCGTGATAGCACCTCTATCTTTGCAAAACAACTGGTAGATCCTCTCCACTTACAGTTTTTGATTTGTATAACCCTCGGATGAATTCAGCCAACTGCAAAAATAAAAGCAGCCGAACAAACAACAGCAAAGCCAAAGCAAAACAAAACAAAAAGAACCTTATAAAAGCGCTGCTGTTGAGCACACTGAGAACAACTTGGAGCTTGACATCGCCACTTGGGGGCGCCCTGGGAGCTCAGAAATGCAAGCTCCGTCCAGCCCCGGGAGCCCGGGCTGACTCAGGGCAGCCCCTTCCTTCTGACTACACGGTTTCTGTATTCAACTAACCACACGGGAAATGAGACTGCCTTTTAGAAGACTTTTGTTTCCTATGAAAAGGAAGACTGCTGCGCTATAAATGTTTTAAATGCTCTCCGAAATATTAAAATCAAGTCAGTAAATGAACCATAACTCTGTCTTCTCATTTATTGAAGAGTCAGATATTCCAGGAGGAAGGGGAGGGCAGAAAATGAAACTAATTTCCGTTTATCATGGAGGATGGACAGATCAGATAGATGAGTTTGTGTGCAAATAATTCAGTGATTCAGAAGGGATTCTGGATCACTTTTCACTGGGCCATTGGTGGGTGGGACACAACACTGGCTGAGAGATAGTGATGACACTGAGTTAAAAAACAAGCATTACTGGGCCCAGATTGCCTTATTCCACCTATCATGGAATAAAAAAGAAATCCAGAAAAAAGAAAGAGGCTATGCTGTGATGGCTGACAGACTCTGAGGAAATTGCAAATACACTGAGGACCTTGGAGAGCAGCCTCAGATGATCACTTCTGCACCTGTCTTCTTGGAGAACAGGAATTTTCTGATCTTTGAAAAACTACAGATTCATCGTCCAAGAAAACCCAGCTAATTTGTTTTCAATCAGTTTCAAAAAGGCATATTTTCCTGTAAACTGGCAATGTACCTGGGAAGCTAGGACATCAAGAGATCCACCGGGCACCTCCAGATGAACTCTGAATTTATTCGTAAACTCTCATCCCATGAAGGGTTTTACTGAAGAATAATAAAAGATTCTACTTTGGGGTAGCTTTATAACCATACGTTTCACATGCATTGTCTTATAAGGGAAAAGTCCTGGGGTAAAAGTAGGAGAGAGTTTGGGTTCAAACCCAGGTCTGAGTGCTGCATCTTGCAGGAAAATTCCCAGTAATCTTTGTCCACTGACTTCTGTCATTTCATTGACTCATTCACTGGAAACACATTCCAGGATGTTGTGAAATTAAATTTCCAGATGGCACAACCATAGGCTTACTTTAAAGCCCAGCTCACACACCACCTCCTGGCTTTTGAGGTCTTCCATGATTCTTTAAGGAGTTACTACTAGCCTTGCCAAGTCCTCATAACATCTGCATGTGCCTGCCTTATAAAACACACCACTCTTTACCTTGTGCTATTCATCCATCTATTCATATGACACACATCAATGAACATCTGCCATGACTGGCCAAGTCCTATTTTCCCCATTATATGTTCCCTAAGAAGATCTATGTCTGATTACGGTTCATGCAAAAACTGTCATCTACAGGGTAGGAGTTCATTCGAATAAAGTTCACTTAAGACACACTTATCTACAAACAGTCTTCAGAGAGGTGATCGGATGGAAGATATTAACATGATTCTGGAGTCTGCTAGGAGCTGCTCTGACTGGTGGCTACTGAGATACCAGTGACGGGAAGGTGCTACATCGTTAACAACAGTGCCTTTCAAAAATGATGAACTATAATCTACTGGTAGGTCATATTTAAAATCTGTTATAAAATCAGCACGTGATTTTTTTTTAAAATTGAAAAATCTGCCATGCTGTGTTTTTCAACTGCATGTGGGGTGGGCTCCTTCCAGACAGACAGGCTGTACTGCTGGATACCTCCCTGTATCTCCCCAGTAGAGGACAGACTCCTTGAGAGGAGGGACTACTTCCATCTCCTTTGCTGTTCATAACCAGTGTTTGTCACGGTGCCTGGAACACTCGAGATGGGCAACAAGTATTTGTCAAACTAATGAATGAGGCTATGACAACAAAAGTAACAAAATCATGGTAGGCAAGTCTGTGTTTCTATTATATGTAAGAACTGCTGAAATCAGTTTAGAGAATCTTTCTCTGAATGTATCATTATATGTTTTATGTGTGGGGGATTTATTAGCTTCTAACATCTTAGATTCCCAAGGTGAGTATGAAAAGAGAAATCACTGTCATATCAATGAAGCAAGACATCTAGATATATGTGTTATCAAGTTAGGTTGTTGCCATAGGACTCCAACGGTGATTTATTAAGGAAAGGTACTCAGTGCACCAGGGCTGGGTGGCCACAGTGCCCTCCATTACCTCCTAGCAGCTTTCAAGGGTGAAGAGAGCTTCCATCAAGAGGAAGCTTAACAGGGTGAATAGGGAAAGGGCTTTCATTTGGGATTTTTCCTACATTTTAGTGGTATAGCCATTTATATCTAAGAGGCTAATGAAAACACATCCTAGAGAAACTAATACTGCAAAATGACACTTGGGATAGATAGGAAAACCTCTTAGGGTGGTTTATGTATCAAAAATAGATTAATACCACTGATAAGAAGCCCACATAATTTTTCCACACTTTGAAATTAATTCATTTCTTATATATACCAGTGGTATTAAATGTTTTGATTATTCACTCATTTATTCGTCTATTAAGTAATTTGGATTAAGTGTTCTTTTTAATTACAGCATCAGTAATTTTTTAAAAACAACTCTATAAATATTTGCTCAAAGGGCTAACAGTGAACCCCTGAAAAATACATGTGACTGCAGGCTGGAGACTGTGGATAAGGCTGCCATGAGGTCCTGGGAAATGTCTATTAGAGTGCCAGGAGCAGCTGTGTTTCAGTGAACACTTCGGAATACCAATGGGGAAAGTAAATTCATAGAATATAAACCAACTGAACTCTTTTCTCCCATGTGCCTCGCAGGGTCAAAGCTGGCTCTCTCCTCTCTGGTTCCTGGGAAGGCCGTCTTCCTACCAAGCTCAAAGCTGCTCTTGTATAGTGTACTTACTGATTTTATAATTAACATGACTTTCACTGAGTCTAGAGATTTTCAAATGTCTGGATCAGAGACTCATGGGCCACAAATCAACCTTGAACTGAAGAAACTAAGAAAGATCCAACAAAACAGTATTGTAGTTGTGAATATTATTCACAAATGGATTTCTTAATTTCCTTTTGCCTTGGGATAGAGTTTCTACTGCGGTTGCAGGTGACCAGGCCCACTCACCCACCGTGTGCCTGCTGGGTCTGTAGATGCCAGGGAATATCACCTTCCCCACTGGGACATGGATTATGGATGAGTGGTGCAGACATCAGAGTTAGAGTTGGCACGCTATGTCCCCCTTCCCTCTTCCTATACGCAGTTGTTTTTCCATGGACACTGAAGTATGGCAAGTGACTACCAAAGCGGCAGTTTTGCTTGGAAATCCCACTTCCTAGAAGAAAAATACCCCTTGCTTGAACGGGTAAAATGCGAAGTGGTCCATCTGCT
Organism: Homo sapiens; assembly: GCF_000001405.40. Classification (NCBI taxonomy): domain Eukaryota; kingdom Metazoa; phylum Chordata; class Mammalia; order Primates; family Hominidae; genus Homo; species Homo sapiens. The sequence continues at coordinate 154,036,658 of NC_000007.14, read as the reverse complement.
GCCCATTTCCAATCGTACTTCCAGAAAAAGGGCAAAAATAATGCCCAGGGTATGATGTGCCCGTGCACCATCTGAGCTGGGGCTCCTTCTGTATCTCAGTTGCCCAGGAATGATTAGACCCAGCACCTGGATGGCTTCACAAATGGTACAACAAAAATCTCAACTCAGAGCCCCAAAATAGCTGTAAGCAAGACATTTGAAGCTCAGTTTCTTCCACTTTCTAACTGGAGAAAGTAGAGGCCAGACAAGGTGGCTCATGCCTGTAATCCCAGCACTTTGGGAGGCTGAGGTGGGCGGATCACCTGAAGTCAGGAGTTCGAGACCAGCCTGGCCAACATGGTGAATCCCCCCGCCCCCAACCCCCCGCTAAAAATATAAATATTAGCCAGGCGTGGTGGTGGGCACCTGTAATCCCAGCTACTGGCAAGGCTGAGGCAGGAGAATCATTTGAACCTGTGAGGCGGAGGTTGCAGTACACTGAGATCACACCCACTGTACTCCAGCCTGGGTAACAGAGTGAGGCTTGATCTCAAAAAAAAAAGTAGAGAAAAGCAGGCAATTTGTGGATTGTTAAAAAGAATAAACACTAATCATATTGTTTATTTTCACATACACACACACACACACACACACACACAAGCGCGCGCGCGTAATCCTGGCCATTCATCATTCTCTGATTTCATGCCATACTCTCCTTTCACTGGGCTTAGTCAGTGAGTTCACATTCGGAAGGCAGTCTATTCATTTTTTAAGTACTTTACGTTTGCCAAGGTCTCTAATATCAAGGAGAGTTGCTCTCCTATTTTCATCAATAGAGCTAATAAATATACGGTACTACTATGTAAAAAGGGCAAACAGCATTACTATGTCCTTGATCTATGGAAATAATCTTTGTGGATTTCTGTGGATGAGACAAGATTTTAAAGCATTCAGTCTGTGCCTTGGCTGTAACTTTGAGCTTCCTGATGCTTTTACATTTTCCACATAGCTTTTCTAGGGGTGTTTAGATGGATAAATGCCTCTCTAGATAAAAGCATGATGCTGGGCTATCAATAAAGAGAGATGGATTTCCTGCATCAGAAGCTGGATATCTTGATCCCCTGGTTCTACCACTGCCATTACAAGTAATTCCTGCAAGGAAAAAATTGCATTCTGAAGTGAGGCGGGACTGAAATAAAGTAAATCAGTAGCATAAGGGAGACATCACATCATGTTTGTGTTACTTTTTCATTATCTCTAATGAATAGAATGATTTATATAATTTACCAACAAAAACCAAAGTAATTATTGTATTATTGCATTACTGCTATATATGAAAGATGATGAATTATAGTGTAACTTATTCGCTTTACTTATTTTCAAGTCTTAAAGTGAACCCATTACATGACCACATCATAGTTCTTTACGAACGGAGCCTTCACGCCCTCATGAAGAGATGGCATGTAAGGATACCTTGTCCACTGAACCCCAATGATGAGCTAGTGAGCAATTTGTCCACAAAGGAAAGTTAAAGGCTTTACCCTCAGAAAGCGGAGCTTAGGGAAGACCCTTAAGGCTGAAAATGTGAGTGCATAAAGAGGTTGCTGGGTTCAGGTGCCTCAGGGTCGGATGGGGAGAATGCTCTATCAGGATACCATGACCTAGGAATAGGTCAGGTCAAGCCATGGGCTTTGTCCATTTTGCATATGTTTTAGCTTCAGAAAAGGTCAGTTCTTTCCATCTGGGTTGAATAGATGGGGTATTTTGAATCCAACCAATGACTAAAACTGGCCAAACAAATTAATGGACTGACTTTCTCAATTTTCTGTTGGTTGATCCTTTATGAAACAAAAGCAAGCTTTGAGTGAGTCAGTGATAGAAGGGAAGAAGATGGAAACACAAGTGCAATTGAAATGAACCTCACATACTCCCATGCAGTGAAGGAAGTCTTGCACAGTGCCCAGATATCATCAAGAACAACTTGATAATCACAAAAGAATAACCATAAAATAATAATAATTAAAATTAAAAAGAGTGTTACACTGCTGAGTCATGCTTGTCGAGCTCCAAAACAAATGTTATCTTAAGTCAAAAGTAGGCAAAAGAGAAATCATTGATCTCAAACATACACGCACATACACACACACAAAGGAAGGAAAAGACAGGAGAAGGGAGACCCGTAGATTTGCTTCAGGGGACCACAGCTCTAGAACAGGAACTCATGACACTATGTGAGGTGTGCAGAGGGGGGATAAAGGCATGGGAAGGATCCACAGCGATGAGCATCAGAGGCTCCACATCCTCTGTGTGAACTTGAACAGGCTTCATGCCCTCCTGATGGACTTCCATTCCCTCAGCTATAAATTCAAAGGATTGGAACAACTGAACATTTGAGCTTCTTTCATCTTCTAAGTCAAGATTCATACTAGCAGTAGTATCTTTCTTGCTATGAAGGATTTGACCAGGTATACCTCTATCTTTAGATGAAAAATTAGGTTGTACTATTTCCTAGAAGGAACAAATTCAGCTTGACAACAGTTGTGTAGAAAAATATGTGTTATTTAGTTGGCCCTACACTTAATAAGCCATAAATTGATACAGCTGTGAACACTATTACTAGAATAGTGGCATTCACGTCGTTCACAGTAAAATCATCTCAATGAGCCTTCTACCAATGTCACCAGGGCAGAGATATTCTGTTAATCTCTATAAACACGTGCTGTGTGATGCCTGTCAATGAACTGTAGTTTAGTTCCACTCAAATTGCAAAGAAGTCTAGAAACCATGTGATACTAGAATGAACTGAAAAGTGGTTATTTGTAAGAAAAAAACACTTGTTCTTGTGTGCAGAGGAGTGGGCACCAAGTAAGAAGAGGCATTTGGTATCAGCACTTTGAATACATGTTAAGGTCCTGTTGGGTTTCCAAACAAGAACTGTGATTGTGAAGGGTCCTCTTCTTTTCTAGAAAACTAATCAACCATGGAATATGGGCAACTGCTGGTCTAGCTTATGGAATCACTCACAATGAGAAATATCACTGCATCAAAGACAGAGACGAAGGGACTCTAGATACAAGGTCACCTCTTCATGAGGAGGATGTAAAGCCTTGCAGCAAATTCAATGACACTGCAGTCAATACAAAGAATGAACATTCCTTGACCAGGTTAGGAAGGCAGCGTAGCCAGGAGTTCCTTCTTACACTGAATTTAAATGCTGGACGGGGACTTGGAAACGATTCAGTTTGACTGTCTTCATTTAGAGACAGAGAAACAGCCTCAGAACGCAAGTGTCTTCTCCCCAGAGTTCAATGCCAGTGCAGAGGGGCAAAGAAAGGAAAAGAGAGAGAAAGAAAGAAGGAACACTGTCTTAACCACAGATATGTGTGCATTCTGGGGACAAAGCAGACATAAGCCAAGTATGTATATATTTATGTCAAAGGATATAGTAACCCATCCACAGCACACAACACAGTAAAACCTCAGGCCCTGGAGCCCTGGTGGCCGAACCTCTGGACTCAGATTCTATCACTTGTGGGGTACTGGGCAAATAAATGCTTTTATGATTTTGTGAAATAATACAGGGAAATCACTTACCACCCAGGAACTATGTAGACTTAACTGTTTAGCAGTACTGTTGCTTAGCTTGGAAGGCCCCAGAGCTACAGGTGTATAAAGCCACCTTCAAAGGCAGCCACAGGTATATAAAGCCACCTTCAAAGGCAGCCACAGGTATATAAAGCCACCTTTAAAGGCAGTCACAGGTATATAAAGCCACCTGAAAAGGCTGAATTGCCCCACACAACAAGGGGGTAGGGGGGGATGGGGGATGGGGTCGGTGGGGGGTGCGGACACATTTTAAAGAGAGAGGGGATTCAGGCCCTAAAATTTAGAAAAGGTTCTAGATCTTTTTTGTCTCTTTAGACAAAAATGAGACAGAAAAAAAATGAACTCCTAGAACAATCTGGTGATGCCAGCATTTCATTTGTCAGAATCTTCTGTTTAAATATATAAGATAAAATATGTCAGATTGCAAAGAAAATGCATTATTTTGAAACATAGTTATAAATATACAAAAATAAAATGTATTTATATTGCTTTATTAATGATTCACAATGTATTTAAAACACAGGAGTTAGATTTTTTATTTTTAAAGATACATCAGGGAAATGGCTGTCTGGGCTTAGATAAACTAGTAACATTTTACTGGGGAATTGTCTTGGACAAGAAGGCATGCTTTAAATAAAATAAAATCAGTGCTCCCAACGGTATACAAGGATAAATACGCTTTGCTACCTCTCTAAGCTAATTTCCTTCCCATTCCTTCATTCAGGCCCCAGCCACACAGGCTTCCTTGCTCTTTCTCAGCAACACTCGGTGCTTCAGGTTGTTTATGCCAGCTGACCTCCACCTGCAACGTCCTTGTCCCAGTTATCTGCCTAGCTCACTCCCTTGACTTGCCTGTCAAATCAGATATCCAATTTTGAGTTTTTAATTCTGATGCTTATAAGAATGGGACTCCTGCTCATGCCTGTAATCCCAGCACTTTGGGAGGCTGAGGCGGGAGGATCACAAGGTCAGGAGATCGAGACCATCCATCCTGGCTAACACGGTGAAACCCCGTCTCTACTAAAAATACAAAAAAAAAAAAAAAATAGGCGGGTGTGATGGCGGGCACCTGTAGTCCCAGCTACTCGGGAGGCTGAGGCAGGAGAATGGCATGAAGCCAGGAGGCAGAGCTTGCAGTGAGCCGAGATTGTGCCACTGCGCTCCAGCCTGGGTGACAGAGCGAGACCCCGTCCCCCAAAAAAAAAAAAAAAACAAAAAAAAGGAAAAAAGAATGAGACTCCTGTTTAGCAAGGATACCCAATGATAAACAATGCAAATTTGATAATTTACTTTGTAAGGAAAAGACAGCCTGGACTCCAGAAATGCTAGATTCTCCAAAGGCTGTTGAGTTAAACTGCACTCTAAAGCTCGTTCCTTTAGGTCGTGCCCCTGAATGACTCTTGAGAAGGGAATCTCCAGAGACTGACCAGCTCTGTTGCTTGAGTGTCTGCCTAGAGTCTCAAAGCTTATCAAATAGGGGTATGCCTAAAACCTACTATGACTTTGAAATAATGGTGAGAGTATGTTGTATTTCAAGATATCTGCAATTGCCACTGTGATATGGGAATATCTGTGATTTTTTTTAGTCACAGGTAATGCCAAAACTACTGTGTATTTTGCCTACAGACATGCTGAAGGGCAGCAGTTTTTTAGTGAGACTTTAATAAAAATAATTATGACCTTTTTGTTTCTTTAAGTTCACAGGCCCCTGGGACCCCACGTTAAGAAACCTTGCTTTAGAGTCTGAGATGACAGAAGAGGTCTGGGGCTAAGGTGTTAGGGAGGGCCTCTTGGCATGAGGAAGACCCAGAAACCAGAGGAACACAGAAGCCTTGTTTGCAAGATTAGAATTAAAAAAATAGTTTATCTAAAACTTCAGCGGGTGAAACTCATTAAACACACATCATCATTGTGTTAGTGGTGGCTTTCAGTGTGAAGAAGAAGGGATTGTATTCGCCCTGGGGGATAATGGTCAGTAAGAGATAATAGCCAGGGAGAGGTAATAGCCAGGGAGGATAAGACAACCAGGGAGAGCTTGGGCATGTGAGCTCTTGGTGGGCTGAGCTAGTAACCAACGTTTAGAGCTAAAAGTAACCAGATGGATGCTTACTAGGCATTCTCAGACACACTGGGGAGTCCAGAAGAGGGGGCTTACGTTATTTTGTGTATTAATAGCTCAGAGACATGCAGACACTCTGAAATATGTCAGGCTGGCACGCTGGAAACAGTGACAGCTGCTTCCAGAAGGGGTAGATGTTGGCAGCAGATCAGGCTGTGTGAGTGGTCACCAGGGACTTCTGGGGGGAAGGTTTTCCTATGGCTGGGAGTGGGGAAGTCCAGACGCTGAATCTCCCAGCAATTCAGGTAAAGGTATCACAAGAGGAGAGCGTCAGATCCAATGGGGAAGCTGGGAAAGGAACGTGGACGCCTTCCCAAGAACTGAGGTCCAGGTCTGTCACGTGGAAGGCAAGCAAAGATGCGCTCACCTCAGCCAGGGCTGTTCCCAGACCACACATTCCACAGCTTTGGAGCAGCAGGAAGCACCGTTATGATGCAGGAGCTCACGAGGCCTCACCCAGGCCCATGCTCCAGATGGTGTAAGCCTGTCTGGAGGCTCTGGGAGGGCCTCCTAATCATCAGCATCACGGCTGTAAGAACAAGGACCAGGTCTCAGGTCCCAACTCACACCTGGTGCCCTCACCACCCCACAGAAGCCTCCTCTGGGGCCTTCCACAGCACTGGACAAAGGAACCATGATGAGCGATTTCTGATATTTAGGTGAAATCAGTTTGGAAGATGTCTATAACATTTCAGAAAAACATAGGTCAGGGGCAGAGAAATAGCCAGGGGCCAAAATTGCTACTTATTTAATTTCTTTTAGACAGGGTCTTGCTCTGTCACTCAGGCTGGAATGCGGTGGTGCTAACATGGCTCACTTCAGCCTTAACCTCTTGAGCTGGAGTGATCCTCCCACTGCAATCTCCTGAGTACTTGGAACTACAGGTGTGCGCCGCCACGCCTGGCTAATTCTTGTATTTTTAGTAGAGATGGGGTTTTGCCATGTTGCCCAGGCTGGTTTCAAACACCTGGCCTCAAGTGATCTGCCCCCCTCAGCTTCCCAAAGTGCTGGGATTACAGGCGTGAGCCACCGTGCCTGGCCTAAAATTGCTAATTTTTGACATAAGGCAATTTTTTTCTTTTTTTCTTTTTTCTTTACTTTTTTTTTTTGAGATGGAGTTTCGCTCTGTCACCCAGGTTGGAGTGTAGTGGCGTGATCTCAGCTCACTGCAAGCTCTGCCTCCCGGGTTCACGCCATTCTCCTGCCTCAGCCTCCCGAGTAGCTGGGACTACAGGCGCCCGCCACCATGCCCAACTAATTTTTTGCATTTTTAGTAAAGACAGGGTTTCACCATGTTAGCCAGGATGGTCTCGATCTCCTGACCTCATGATCCACCTACCTCAGCCTCCCAAAGTGCTGGGATTACAGGCGTGAGCCACCATGCCCAGCATAAAATTGCTAATTTTTGACATAAGGCAATTTCTTTCTTTTTTTGTTTGAGATGGAGTCTCGCTCAGTCACCCAGGCTGGAGTACAGTGGTGCGATCTCAGCTCACTGCAAGCTCTGCCTCCCAGGTTCACGCCATGCTCCTGCTTCAGCCTCCCAAGTAGCTGGGACTACAGGCGCCCGCCACCGCGCCCAGCTATTTTTTTTGTATTTTTAGTAGAGACGGGGTTTCACCATGTTAGCCAGGATGGTCTCGATCTCCTGACCTCGTGATCCACCCGCCTCAGCCTCCCAAAGTGCTGGGATTACAGGTGTGAGCCACTGTGCCCAGCTGACATAAGACAATTTCTAATCCACCACTGCACTGTCTCAAGGAAGACATGGACATAGAGCCAGATAGAAATGGTCATGTCTCTCATTTAAATCGGAAACATGGAACATGGGAGAAAACAAGTATGTGGCAGTGTTTCAGAGACAGGCTCCCTAGGTTAGTATGGGTGTGACAGTAGCCCTGTGGACTCCCCACCGTGCCGGACTCTCAGAGGCACCTGCAGGACTGTGGGCCTCGAGGACAGAGGGGAGGTGGCAGTGTGAGGATGGTGTGGTCGGAGCTGCTCAGAGCTTGGAAGAGGAAGAAAAGGGCCTCCCATAAGTAAGGCCAGAGTTGTGGGCATTTCAGGTCTGCCAAACTCCAGAACGTGGTTTCCTCTGGCTGCGGGCAGCACACAGTGTCAGGGGTCAGAGGCATCAGGAATTGGATGCAGACGAGGGAGTTAACAAGGGAAGAGACAGAGAAGGCCATAGCATGGAGTGGGCAGAAGTGAAAGATCGGAGCAGGCAGAGCGGGGCCTACCAGAAGCAGTATCTGCTTCTATCAGCTTCTTCAGGGCAGATATCCAAAGGAGAGGGGAAAGGAGGAACGCAGCTTTGTGAAGAAAGGAAGAGGGCTTGCCACAGGGATCCTTTCTATCAAGATGAGAAGATGTGGGCAAGTCCCTGCGTGTCAGCCCCACCGAGGAGGATGCAGGGGGAGCATGTGCATAGGCACCAGCGTGCACATCGATGACAGTCCCAGGAAAGCAGGGACCCACAGGCGTGTCATGAAGGAGGAGAAAATGGGGCTACCTGGGAAAGAAGGCGTTACTTGTAAAAGAGCTGGGAGGTCCAGTAGGGCCGGGCTGGGATCCCACGGAGCAGGCCAAGAGTAAACAGGGCCCCATCTACTCAGGGACACAGTGGCTAACGCAAACGCTGTTGTGGCCTTGGCCAGACAAGGAAAGTGATGCATACAGTCTCCAGAAATGAAACAAGCACATTAGGGTGTATTCGGGGGAATTGTGTTTAAAATTAAATTCTATCAGAGAGGATGAGTTTAACAACAACATATTAGGAGCTTCTCACATTTTTAAGAACCCCACACAAATGTCATAGCTGTCCCGGCTCCACAGCCATGCGAGGGTGGGGACCCAGGACGCCTGGGCACCTGGGCAGCCCATGGGAGCACCGGCCGGTGGTGACGAAGCACCATGCAGTGGTCTGTGGACTGCATGGCTCTGTCCTCTTTTCTAAAATTAAAGCTTACAAACCAGTAAGGCTGGGAAATAAACTGAGGCTGGCAGGCAGGCAGCCACCCATGTTTCCGGGATCCAGGATGAACTACGGAAAAACATTTGGGCTCATGCTGTCAGTATGATAGGTGCAGACAGATTTCCTGAGCTCCTAAGAGGAGGAGCTGAAGGAAGATACTGGAAGAGGAAAGGAGAGGAGGGAGAGGAATTTATCATTTGGATAAGGGGAAGAAGGGACAAACCACCTGCCCAGATGAGCGAGAACAAGCAGGGAGAACAAATAAGACAGCAAATCAACTCCAGAAGTCTCTGTTCATCTGAAAACCACAACAGAGGAAAAGAAAGCATGGGGAGTGGCATCGACTATTTAATGCCGCCCCCTCCCCAAATTCATACTTTGAAATTTTTCCCCTGAAGCGATGGTGTTAGGAGGTGGACTTTGGGAGTGATTAGGTGGTGAGAATAAAGCCCACAAGAATGGGACTAGCGCCCTTAGCAGAGACACTTCAGAGAGACCCCTCACCCCTTCCACCACATGAGGACACAGCGAGAAGCCATCCTCTGTGGGTCAGGAAGCCACATGTTCCCAGAATGCAGAAGACGGCCAAGTGCTTTTCAAACTATGTACTATTAGAAAGTGATGGCTATAATAAGCAAACTCTGAAGAATCAAGTAAGTTAACATGACCAAAAAAAATGTTTAGAAACAGTGAAGGTGTCAGAGAAATTCAGAAATTATTATTAGTTAAGAGTCCTCAAAAATTCTTTTCTATTTCCTGGTGGGAAGTGAGCTAGCCGTGTGGGATGAATTATTTGATAAGATGCTATATTAAATTCATATTTTTTAAAAGTACTCATGCTATGTTTAATTTCCTTTAGAACTCCCTGATCATAATTAAATTTCAAAGCTTTTACAACAAATCTCTTTTGCATTATTTTCCCAAACAAAACAAGAAAACACAAGGACAAACCCTACTGTGAAGCAGTGGAGACTGGAGTCCTGCATTTGCTGAACTTTCTTTTTATGTGTTGGATTCTGATTTTATATTCATTTCCATTCATGTGGACTCTGAAGAGGTATCTCATTTGTTTATATCATAATTAAAATAATTTTAAAAATAGAATATTACCGAATTCATTGATCAACAGAACAACAAGCTCATATGAAAGATTACAGAAAGGCTAGAACCACTTTTGGAGGCAAAGTTTATAATAAGCTTTGTTATTTTATAGCAGTTTTATGCTATTGATGTCCTTGATGGGGGACTGAGAAAGGAATAAAATATTTCATTTCTTTTGCTCTTACCCAGTTAAACTCACTAAGGACACTTGAAGAAGTCACGTCCAGGGATCACTGTCATCACAGATGGAGAAAAGGCCAATGTCTTTCCATGCTGCCTCACCAGAAAAGGACTGAGTTGGTACAGACCTTCATTCCAGCTTAATGTCCATGACCTCATCACACTCCAGGCCCAGGCTTGAGCTACATGTTCTAGAAAGCCCTTAACTTCTCTAGGTCTCAAGTCTAATCTCTGCATCTGCGCCAGGTTCCCTGAGACTACTCTAAAGCTTGATGATTCACTAGGATTCACAGGACTCAGAAAAGCTTACTTTTCTGAATTAGATGTACTGTTCTGATATATTACAGCAAAAGGATATGAGTTCAAATCAGAATAAAATAAAAGGTACATGGGGCAGAGTCCAGGAGAAACCAGGTGAAAGCTTCCAGGTGTTCTTTGCTAGTGGAGTCTCACGGGCTCTATTAATTTTCCCAGAAACCATGTTACCAACCACGGACGCTCACCCATGGCTTGGCGTCCAGGGTTCTTACTGGGGGTTAGTCATGCAGGCATGTGGCACCTGCGTACCTGACCTCAGATCCTCACACCACCCCAAAGCAAAAGCAGGCATTCACCATACATAAATTACATTGTTAGGATAAAGTCATCAAACTGGTTTCATGTGGGCTGAAGCCTAAGGCATCCAAAAAAATTCTTATTGGGCACACTATTCCAAAGGTTGGTGGCTAATTTCCCAGGACCATCCAAGGGCCAGTCCCAAAGCAGGTCTTTCTGAGAATGTGCACGGTTTGAGCAACCCAGGCCTGCTGAGTTAACCATTTCCTGTACAGAATCCCTCTTCCTTTCCATGGTCAAAGGGGGTTCAAAGGCTTTCAAACTTTTGTGACTGCAATCTACTATGAGAAATATATTTTATATAGCAATACAGTAAACACATACTACATACATAGATAATGGACAAAGTTTCATATTAGTTCATTCTACTAGTTATTATGCACTAGGTATATTTCTATTGCATTTTATTTTCTTAAGCTGATCATGGCCCACTCAATTAATTCCCTAACCTTCTATCGTGTTACAACCTACATTATGAAAAACCAAATATGCAAAAGAGTTGAAATGTTTAAAGTGCTACAGAGCTCGAGGACATTATTTTAAGAAAGGTCAGCCACATTCATAACTGTGCTACACTAGGGATTCTTAATTGTGATAGTTGACAGGAAGAGTATTGCATAAATAAACAAAAACATAGCACTACAGGATGAAGGGAGATTCTGACTAAGCTACATAAACACAGTCTACACTGGTGAAATTTTAACCAAAGGCAGCATTCTCTCTATCACCCTTCAGATCCTTCCTCTCAGTACTCCCCCTACCCTATTTCTCTTCATCTCCCTTCTCCTCTTTCCAATTCAACATACAAACCCACTCATCATGGCCTTTTCCCTCAAGATAGTGTCTTCTGAGCTGAACTGACTCCACCTCTCAAGACTCTCATTGGTTTATATCCCTCTAGAAAGCACAAAGGAGGGAAATAATCAGGTGATGTAATTAGCCCAAAGTTTTAAATACTGATGATGCCAATAGTTACTCCTCCTGGGACATTTAAAAAAGGAGTTCTAGAATTGACACTATTTTAGAGCTGCCTCCTCCCCCAAAAATCAGGCCTTTTGGACACTGGCAAGCCTGTGGGGATGGAGTTTTGGAGAATATAAGACATGCAAGGTCCCTCAAGTTCTCCCATGTGGCTGAATCCATAAAGAACTCCTGGTTGACTATTTGACCCTGGCAAATTCCAGCTCGTGCCACATAAATGGAAGGTGAAGACCTTGATTTTACAAAATATCAGCCTGGTGCATCTTACACAGACTGTGGTACCTGGCGAGAAAAGTAGGAGGAGAAAGGTGGCAGCATGCAGATCTCACACTCACGGGGAGACAAGCCCCGCTGCTCGGACTCCATTTATGACAGTACAGTTACTTAGCAAAGAGTCACACAATAAACCCTAAACAAGAATTACATTATGCAATCATAACATACGCACGTTAAAGGGATTTTACAGATTGTCTCAATCAGGGAGTGCCATGAAAGGAATCCACACATGGACATCTGACTTCCAATTCAACGTGCTCCCTGATACCACACCACCTTTCAAAGGCATCCCTTGAAACCTCTGCTTGTTTTTCTAGATCTAGTTAGCTTGGTTTTCCTACATTTGAAAAGAAGTGTTCCAGTGAGCATTGACATAACAGGAAAAAAAAAACTGATCATCTAATAAATGTGTTGTGTCTCCAACAAGCCCAGTCTTTAAGTACACATGGCAATTTATTCAATTACTATCAATCTTTGCAACATGATTTGTGGGTGACAAGAAAAATAATACACATAAAAGTGGCTTTGATGCTTATGATGCTCACATATAACTATATCTACTGATCAGATTATCTGAATCAGGCTGCTAATTTGTGGATTGATACTATTTGTGGATCGATAGCTGAACTATTTGCCAGGTTTAGTCGTTTAATTCAAGTGATAAATACTGTATTTGCTCCCATAATTCCTTCTCGCCCACACCTCTTATAAAGAGATATTTTACAGCTGAGAAGGAAATTATGCAGCCTGTAGGATAAATTCCTCTCCTGGCAGATTGAGTGGATGTAGCACCAGAAGCTCCCAGAATAATCAGAACTTCAAAGGTCATAGGTAAGCATTTGAAGGTAGTAGAACTCAACCTAATCTTGCTGCAGGTAAGCTGTTGGGCACCCCTAAATTCTAATAATTGAATTTATTCTTAACAGAGACAGATGCATCTTTCCTAACTATTTTCTCAATTTTTGCATAATTAAAACATTCCAAAGTATTTTTGGAGGCGTGTAGGTCTTTGTAATACAATCTGTTATGTAAAATATCTAAAGGCAGACCAGAGGCAGTGGTTCACACCTGTAATCCCAGCACTTTGGGAGGCCAAGGCGAGCGAATCACCTGAGATCAGGAGTTCGAGACCAGCCTGGCCAACATGGTGAAACCCTGTCTGTATTAAAATACAAAAAATTAGCCGAGCATGGTGGTAGGCACCTGTAATTCCAGCTACTTGGGAGGCTGAGGCAGGAGAATCACTTGAACCCAGGAGGCGGAGGTTGCAATGAGCTGAGATCGTACCATTGGACTCCAGCCTGGGCAACAAGAGTGAAACTCTGTCAAAAAAAAATTCCAAAGGCAGTATTTCAAATATACCAATTCCATTAAACCGAATGGCAAAGTCCTGTAGGCTTTCGTGATGCTGATTGTTATAGAGCAACATGCCCCTTATTATTATTTGGGGAATGCAGACTTAAGAAGTGTGTGTGTGTGTGTGTGTGTGTGTGTGTGTGTGTGTGTGTGCAGACAAGAAACATTTCCAGAGCCTGCTGTAGGAGGTATTATTCACCTTGCATTAGGTTACATGAGCTGGGGTCACAACTCCATGTGAACTCTGTGGTTAAAGGTACAAAAGATGCCAAGGGTAAGTCTGCACCTTTGTCACTTCCCAGGCAGGGTTCGTGCAATCTTCACAAGGTGTCCTGGACTCACTAAAGGTACATTCATGGAATCCTGAGTGTTAGGTGAAACAGAGACTAAATATAGCATGATGGATCCAGAGGTCATCCTAGCTTACACTCAGGACAAGTACTGGGTACCTCAGGCTGTAGAAGGTTCTTCCTCCTGGAGGAGAAGGGGAATTGGCTTTGTACTGACCCTTGGATTAGAAGTTAAGAAAGAGTCAGCTGTCAAACCACAAGCCACATGCAAACCAGTTGGCAGTTGGGTTCTCCCCGCTCTTTGATGTCTGAGGAAGACAAGCTCCAACCTCTGTCTCATCCTAGTGCAAGACCACAATCTGCACTAAGATTTCTTTCAATTGCCAGGAAAGATTTCTTCTTCTGGCCACCTCTGCTGGTGAGTTCCTTTGTCTATGCCTGTCCTTTTTCCAGACTATGCAATGAGATACGAAGTCATGATGAACTGGAGGTGCAATTCAGCTGCAACCCCAACTTCACACTCCACACATACACACAAGACAACACTTGCACAGGGCAACCGTTAGTCTATAAAATTTGCCTTAAAATTTCAGGGGGGAGCATCCATGGCAGGAAGGGGGACATGCATCTTTCAATCACATATTAGGCATTGCCTAAAACTCTTTTCTTCTACCTTTATCACTAGGATGTTTTTCCCGGCCTCTACTTTCCCATGATGCTTCACATCTTTCACATTCTCCAGTTTCTTCCCCTTTTTTTTCTATTTCTTCCTCTCTCCTTCCCTCCCAAAGGCAAATGCAAGTGTCCCCTACTCTCCACTCAGCATGCCATAAACCATCTATCTGTTGCTTGGGTCCTCAATGTCTCACTTGCCATGGTCAAGCAGCTTTTCAAAATATTTTTCCAAAGAAAGAGAATTCTCTGGTTAAGAAAGAGTCTGGTGACAACTCATAATAATTTATTACTTTTTCCATCACAAAATAATTATAAATGAAATTAGCATCTTTGTAGATCCTCTTGCTCTACCTCTTCCATCACCTTCTGTAGCCGAATGTAAAGTTTATTCTTGTTTTATTTTACTTGGTAAGAATGTTGGTTGGCAGGAAACTCTAGCAGTTCTAGGATTCCTCCCATTGAGAGGGGGAGTTGAATTCTCCTCCCCTTAGATCTGAGTTGGCCTTAACAGCTGAGATAGCGAATTCTGGATATCAACTTGACCGGCCAATGGGATGCCCAGATAGCTGGTAGGACATTATTTCTGGATTGTGTCCATGAGGGTGTTTCTAGAAAAGATGAGCATTTGAATGGGTAGATGAAGAAGATCCATTCTCACCAACATAGGTGGGTGTCATCCAATCTCTTTGATAAATGAAACAGGGAGGCTTAGAGTCCAGGAGCTGGGACACCATAGGAGACTGAGGCTGAATGCACACAGCACTTCACATATCCACGTGCCAAGCTCACTTGTCTCTACTGAAGGATGAGTGAGCTGATGGAACTGGAACACCCAGATGTCTTCTTAATACACTGGAAGGAGGGAAATGGTGGTCCTTCACTGCATCATGAGCCTTCAGCCCCACATACACAGGGGATAACTGGCCCTCGTTTGGGATATATGGTTTCCTCTGCCTCCATTTTTCCCATTTTTATGTGAAAATGGTTGTAGGCTGGAAAGGATTCTGGAAGTGCCAGGTCTCTTACGTGACTTCTGGAGGTGCTGCTGTAAAAAGCATGGCACAAAGGCCTCTTCTCCTGGGCTACAGCACTCTGGGAGGAGCAGACACTGAAGTAGCACAGCACCCCTGAGTACCGGCATCAGGGAAACTTACATATGGCTGCAGGACTTGGCAAACTCTAAGATCTCAGGCCCATTTTGTGACTTCCTGTCCTCGTCCACTAAATGGAGAAAGTGGTGACAGCCCAATCAGTCTCGCACGGCTGTTGTGAGGTGCATGGGTGATCAATGAATAACAGCAGCAAACGTTCGCAGAGTGCTGAAGCCTCACTCTGAGTGGTAAGGTGCTGCAATGTAAGCGTTGGCACCGCTGATGATGGGATGGGTCCTCGTCTTACCCTCTGCATGTGGGTGTTACACCAAGCCCTGTGGTCCTCCGTTGGTGGAATGATGCTATTCCCCGGCAGCTCTCTTCCTCTCTGCCTGGCGTTTCCCACATCTCCCCATCATCATCCATGTGGACCACAGCTTCCTGGGGAGAGGCTCACAGCTCTTTCCACATTGTATCCTCCACAATGGGGGCAGTGATTTGTCACATGTCTACCCATTTGGTCACCAAGGAGTCTTGCCCTTTTCCCAGCTCTGCCTTCCCCCTTCCACCAAGTTCACCCCTAAATGCCTCATGTTTCTCTTGCCGCTTTGCCCCAGACCTTTCTAGATCCCCAAATCCTCCTCCTTTCACTCTTGCACTTGCCCCATGTGTTACATAGCAGGTCTCTGATCTGTTTTGGGGCTGGAGGTCATCTCCACAGTGAGAATTTGAGCTCACTGAGGTCAGAGGCTATTTAAATTCACTTGCAATTTTCAGAGCTTGAACATCATGCTAGAGACAAGTCAGCACGGCAAGAATGCTTGCTGAACTGCTTAAAACATGACATGAATGGCATGGGAATGACAGCTAAGTAGGAGAAAAAGCTCTGGATCAGAACCAGAAGACCTGGTCCCAACTCTGACTCTTGAACTACCTGAGACTCTAGGCTAATCTTTTAATGTTCTCTAACACTTCCTGCACAACAAGAGGTTTGGATCCGCTGATCTACAAAAGCTCAAAGTCATCAGGCAGCTTCTCCAACCGTTTATTCTTCCCCTTCTTTCTACTTCCCTCTCCCTGAGCTTTCTCCTTCCTTCTCTCATCTGCATCTTCACCCTGCACCACATCCCACAGTGGGACTTCTTCACAGCAATTCCCCACAGAGATGCTCTATCACGCTTTTATCTAGAGGAAAATTTAAAACACATGGACACAGAATTCAGAATGTAAACAAATAAAACCCAAAACGACATCTTGACATCTTAGACAGCAGAGCTGCTGTATGAGTGTGTGTGTGTGTGTGTTTGTGTGTGTGTGAAATTCTGGAAAGTTTTATTTGAAACCTGGGCTGTCAGCTCTGCTGTACACCCAGAGTCTGGTCAGCAAGAGACACCTAGATGGACAGTTCTGTGGGCAGCATGGGGTGAGATTCCACGTGATCACTCAGACTCCACAGGAAAAGAGTTCCCTGCAGACACCAAAGTGAATGAAGGTTCCATGGACTCTTATATGAGCTCCAAGAAAAAGACTTTATATGACCCATGGAAAAACTGCACTTAATAGAACATTATCTGTTATGGTTACTGGCCATGGTTGTTCAATAAAGATTTTACAAAGGTTGGGGCATAAGTGCAGAAGAACTAATTTTGGGTCATGATTTGTAAGCTATTACTAAATCAATAATAACACCATCTTTAGAATTTGGGGACAGCCACATTATAAAAGTGTTTCTTCTTGATACAATTCTTTAATGACTATGTTCACTGAAGAGGGAATTTGAAAAGCAATACAACTGCTTTGTATGTGCTCCTTGCTTCGTAATAAGACATCTCTGGAGAAAGAATGATCAGCTATTGAAGCTAGTTACACTGTGTGCATTAAATATGGAGCCTGGTGTTGAAAACTAAGAAAAGAAAGAAAGGGAGAGGGATAGAGAGATAGGGAGGGAGGAAGGGAGGGAAGGAGGGAAGGAAGAGAGAGAGGAAGAAATAGATAGATAAAGAAAAAAGGGAAGGAAGGGAGAAAGAAAGAAGAAATAGAAAGAGAAGAGAGAAAAGAGAAAAGAAAAGAAAAAGGAAGAAGGTAGAGGCAGATAAATATTTGACAGAGGTGGAAGGGAGTAAGGAGAGGCTGGCTTTAGACAGGATATTTGTTTTCCTCTTATAAACATTTCATTATTCATGAAATTAAATTTAAAGAAGATAACAGACTCTTAATAAGCAGGGCCCTGTTAGGAATAGTCAGTCATCTAAGGTTTGTAGCCAGAATAGACTAGGCTTGTTAAAAATGGTGACAGTCATTTTTCTTCACAAGTTATTAATATTAAATAGATGCATCACAGATAGCAAACATGATGGAGGTTTAAATTATTCATTTGTGTGTAGAATCATTTTAAATTGTTTTCTCTGTTTATTGTATTTGTTTTGCATTTTTCCATATTTCCCCTACAAACTTGCACTAAGGGCTGTACTTAAAACTTTGAAGATATGGGGGAAGGAGATATTTGAGAAGTTGTACATTGTGGTAGAAATGCCATTACAAACTCACTCTCATCCCAAAAGGATCTCTCTTAATTAAGAACAAACAGGCTCAGGAGGCCCTGGGTCTCTTCTTCTGCAAGAGAGAAGCTCATCTGCAAGAAGCCTCCTGTATTTACATTCTGCTCATGCAAATGTGCTCAGCCTTGCTTTTAATGAGTTCAAGTTCACCTTGATTTCCTCTGAGTATAAAGAGCAACAAATGCTTCTTTTAATATCACAGTCACCCTTTGCCCTTAGCAATGGGAACTGCCTGAAAGGCTCTCCTATGTAATGTCATGGCAACCACTCTATTGAAAAGCCCAGACAAGCTGGGTTGTGAGCTTAGAAAGCTTGTGAACTGTTCCTTCCTTTCCATATATAGGGACACTTGCCTGTTCCTAGACTCCACAAAGAGTCGTCTTCAACTCATACAGGGGAAAAATAAAGGAATGACTGGGAGACTAGTTGCAGAGTGGATGAAATACTAACAAATGGGCAAAAAATGGTCTCCGGTGTCCACTCTCATCCCCTTTCAGTGCCTTTCTCCTGCTTTTTACACCAGCAGCCATTTTTCACCCCCTTATTGATCTCAAGATCATTGAGCAATTAGAATGTGCCAGGCACTGTGTTGGCCTCTGTGGGTTCTGCAATAAACCAAACAGATGTTCATGATCAATTCCAAAGAAAGCAACCTCTAAGGGGACAGCGTATTTCAGGTCATCTACAGCAGGATAGGGGGCCTCGTGGTGGCCTTGTCTTGATGGATATAGGAGTGGGGGTTGCAAATCACCCTGCTGTGGCTACCACATATAACCCTGAGTGCCCAGCTGGTTCCATGGGTATGCATAATAATGACAGGGCCATACAGATCAGGTGTTCCTCCTTCATGTGAATTTCATCTGGCCCTGCACTCTGCCAGAGAAAGTTTTTCAGGTGGACATTTCAATATAAAATAAACATAACATTTATGTGATGCTTTATGACTCTCTTTGTATTTACGAATTCCTTATTTCATCTTATCTCCTCACTTATGAAGAAGAGAAGGAAGATATTAGGAGTATCTATGGATTAGCAAATGGAAGCACAGGATCACCCTAAGTAAGGATAAGGTTTTGGCTAGGTTTCAAGTATTCTAATTCTTTCTTTATATTTTTCTTTTTTTTTTTTTTATTTTTTTATTTTTTTTTTATTTTTTTTAGGACAAGGGCTCACTCTGTCACCCAGGCTGGAGTGCAGTGGTGCCATCATAGCTCACTGCAACCTTAAAATTCCGGGCTCAAGCAATCTTCATGCCTCAGCCTCCTGAGTAGCTGGGACTACAGGCACATACCACCATGCCCAACTAAGTTTTTGAATTTTCTTTTTTTGTAGAGACAGGCCCGTACTATGTTGTCCAGGCTGGTCTCAAACTCCTGACCTCAAACAATCCTCAGCCTCCCAAAGTGCTGGGATTATAAGTGTGAGCCACCATGCCCAGCCTCCTCTAGATATTTTGAAATATACAATAAATTATTGTTGACTGGGCACGGTGGCTCAGTCTGTAATCCCATCTGTAATCCCAGCACTTTGGGAGGTCGAGGAGGGACAATCACTTAGAACCCAGGAGTTCAAGCTCAGCCAGGGCAACACAGTGAAACCCCATCTCTACAAAAACTCAAAAAATTAGCTGGGCTTGGTGGGCACATGCTGTGGTCCCAGTTACTCGGGAGGCTGAGGCAAGAGGAACACTTGTGTTTAGGAGGTTGAGGCTGCAGTGAGACATGATTGCACCACTTCACTCCCACCTAGGTGACAGAGTGAGACCCTGTCTCAAAAAAAACATATATTGTTAACTATAGTCACCCTACTGTGCTGTGGAACACTATTACTTATTCCTTCTAACTGCACGTTTGTACCCACTAACCAACCTCTTGATGATTCCTTTTCTCCTCTGATGCTCTTGGCTTAACATCCTCCAGGTATTTGCCTTGGTATTATCTTTCCTTCATTGCTCCTTGCCCACCTACTTCTTGGAAACAATCCACTTTCTCCCTCCATAGTGCTGTTTTCTCTCAGTTCACTAATGGCTCAAAATGAAGTGGCTTTTATTGGAGAGGATGTGTAGAAAGGGAAACACTTGTGCACTGTTGGTGGGAATTAAATTAGTACAGCCAGTGTGGAAAACAGTATGAAAGTTCCCCCAAAATCTAAAACTACCAAATGATCAATCTCTCAGCTGGGTATATATCCAAAATAGAGCAAATCAGTATGTTGAAGATATATCTGCACACCCAGCTAATTTTTTTCCAAAAACCTTTGTAGACTTGGGGTCTTGCTATGTTTCCCAAGCTGGTCTCGAATTCCTGGGCTCAAGCAATCCTCCCACCTCAGCCTCACAAAGTGCTGGGATTACATGTGTGAGCCACCATGCCCAGATCCTCAAGTCTTGTAATTCTTTATTGAGATGTTTTATTACTACGCATACCAGTTACTTGGCTTCTCTGAAAAAAAAAAAAAATAAACCTACTTTAAAAACTGAATGTTTCCATTTTTAAAATTGTTATATAATGCTTCCTAACTACCAAGCACATTGCAGATATAGCAAAAAACAATAGACAATGTCCTTCTCTAAGGGGGAAACTGAAATGAAAATCCGTCAGTATTTCCTTGTTCAATGTCTTGATAGTGATACGTGTTGAGAAGAAGATAAAACAAGACAAAGAGATTGTGTGGCGGGGGGAGAGAGATTTTAGGTAGAGTGGTCAAGGAATGCGTCACTGCGGAGGTATCATGGGGCTGACTTGAATGGCGGGAAGATCTATGAGAGAGCCTTCGGGGCAGAGGAGCAAAGGCACTGATGCAGAAGGAATGTGATATATTCGAGGAATAGAACGTGGGCCGATATGGCCAGAGCATGGAGTGTGCAGGGAAAAGGGGTCTTATAAGGGCCGAGGAACAGGGCGTGCACACCATTAGAGGTCAGTAAGGAGCTTCGGTCTGAGATGTGCAAAGGAGGCCAGGTACTCCAGGGGGTGATGGATCTGACTTGTTTCAACAGGATCCCTGTGGCTGTCTTAGGGAGAATGGGTGTGGGAGGGGGAGTGGAAGCAGGGACCTCTTGGGAGTGACTTCAGAGATTCCAGTGAGAGACAACAGTGGCTGGGGCTGGACTGGTGCAGCCCCAGTGGGGAGGTGGGTGTACTGCATGGATTAGGGGTATATTTTGGAGATGGGATCGATGAGGCTTGCTGAATGGTTAGATGAGGTGAAATGGAAAGTGAACGAACGACAACTCCAGGGCTTGTGGCTTGAGCACCTGGGTTGGTGGTGGTGCCATTTACTGAGATGGAACACTGGTGGAGGAGCGATGGCCATGGGGATGAGGAGCTCTCTTCTGGCCACATGTAAGCGAGCACATGTTAGACATCAGAGTGGAGTGGTCAGATGGGCACTTTGAAAACTGAGTTTGCAGTTCACTTACGGAGACAAGGCTTGACATGTAAAACCAGGAATCCTCATCATATGGCCAGTATATGAGACTAGGGCATTGAGAAGCTCATCCAGGAATACAATGCATCCAGAAGAGGGCAGGCAGATAAGACTTCAATGCTGAGAGGTCACGCGGGAAGACAGAACCGGTCGAGGACATGGAAAAAGGAGTGGATAGTGCAATCAAAGGGAAAATCAGAAGAGAGTGTTTCGAGATGGAAGTCAGCTACATCAAACGTGGCTGAAAAGTAAAATTAGATAAAGGCCATAAAAGTGGTGAGGAGAGAGGAGATTCTGGATCTCCACAAACCCCTAGATTTCCTTGGGTTTGAGAACCACCACCAATATTCAGGCACTTCTTACTTTCTCATTTCATTAAAGCAAGTACGTCAATGAGAAAACAGTTTCTCCAGCATTCATTTAATGAACTTCAAGTGCCTGAATGAAAAATTGGATCATTCTAAAGGGTATTCTGAGACCCAGAAGGAATGAGTTTAATAAGTATCCATCATTATCAAGCAGGTGCCGTGAGATTAAGAATTAGATGGTTTGACCTTTAATGGGATCCTTAGTGACTGCTTTATCACAATTCTTTAGAACCAGGATTGCTGCCTCATTATCCATAGCAGACACACTCAAAATGTGAAGGGAGGCTTTGTTTTTAGAACGTGGAGGGGTATCAAGTAAGAGGATGGACAGAAACAAAAAATACAAGCAGAGTAGCTAGCCCATGATTTTTTTTTCTTTTTTCTTTCTTCTTTTTTTTTGACACAGAGTCTCACTCTGTCACCCAGGCTCGAGTGCAGTGGCAAAATCTCGGCTCACTACAACCTCCGTCTCCCAGGTTCAAGCAATAAGCGATTCTCGTGCCTCAGCCTCCCAAGTAGCTGGGACTACACGCGTGTGCCACCACACATGGTTAATTTTTGTATTTTTAGTAGAGCTGGGGTTTCACCATGTTGGGCAGGTTGGTCTCGAACTCCTGACCTCAAGTGATCCACCTGCCTCAGCCTCCCAAAGTGCTGGGATTACAGGCATGAGCCCAGCCCCATGCATTATTTTGACCAGAACAACGAGGTAGTGAAATAGCTTATTCATGGTCACAGATAAGGTTGGCCTTATGCTAGTATAAATTTGAAAGTTTCTATAAATGGGGGTGGAGGTGGGGAGGCATTTACTGGAGAGAGAAGTATTCTTGCCTCTAATAACTTTTGGGCTCAGTCAGAAATTCCCACAGTTCTCATCACTTCGGTAGAATTTATCAAGGCCTCTGCTACATTAGGGTCTTTTTATTTTAGCCCTGCTTTCTCAAACACATTAAGTCAGCTTCAGTCAAAAGGACCCTATTGGAATTAGGTATTAGGTAGTGGTTCTAGAACCTAAGGAAGAGCTGCACTGGCCAGGGCAATCCTGGGCTGGGAAGAGCATGATTAGAGAGCCTGGGAGTTGAGGGCACCTCAAGGGCAAAGGGGAGAGAGGAAAGAAGAGCAGGAGGTGGCCCTCGGTGGCTGGTCACTCCTCCCTCACAATGTGACCGGGATCTGATGGAGGCTCAGACTT